>NC_000011.10:53531806-53831806 GCF_000001405.40 Homo sapiens | reverse complement strand
AAGAGGAAAGTTCAATTCCTGAAGTGGAACACAAACATAACAAAGCAGTTTCTGAGAATGCTTCTGTTTAGTTTTTCTGTGAAGATGAACCCGTTTCCAACGAAATCTTCACAGAGGTCCACATATCCACTTGCAGAATCCAAAGAAAGAGAGTTTCAAAACTGCTCCATCAGCAGGATTGTTCACCTCTGTGAGTTGAATGCAGTCATCACAGGAAACGTTCTGAGAATGCTTCTGTCTAGGTTTGATGTGAAGATATACCCGTTTCGAAGGAAGGCTACAAAGTGGTCCAAATATCCACTTGCAGATTCTACAAAAAGAGTGTTTGAAAGCTGAACTATGAAAGCAAGGTTCAACTCTGTGAGTTGAATGCAAACATCACAAAGAAGTTTCTCACAATGCTTTCCCTGTAGTTCTGAGAAGTTTATCCCGTTTCCAACGAAATCCTCAGAGAAGTCCAAATATCCACTTGCAGATTCTACATAAAGTGTGTTTGGAAACTGCTCCATCTAAAGGAATGTTCAGCTCTGTTAGTTCAATCCAATGATCACTAAGAATTGTCTGTGAATGCTTCCGTTTGGTTTTTAGATGAAGTTATTTCCTTTACTACAGTAGGCCTCAAAGCAGTCCAAATCTCCAATCGCAGATTCTACAAAAAGATTGTTTACAACCTGCTCTACCTATAGGAATGTTCAACTCTGTGAGTCGAATGCAATCATCACAAAGTAGTTTCTGAGAATGCTTCCATCTAGTTTTTATGTGAAGATTTTCCTTTTCCACCACAGGCCTCAAAGCCCTCCAAATGTCCACTTGCAGATTCTAGAATAAGAGGGTTTCAGAGCTGCTCTGTCAAGAGGAAAGTTCAATTCCTGAAGTGGAACACAAACATCACAAAGCAGTTTCTGAGAATGCTTCTGTTTAGTTTTTCTGTGAAGATGAACCCGTTTCCAAAGAAATCTTCACAGAGGTCCACATATCTACTTGCAGAATCCAAAGAAAGAGAGTTTCAAAACTGCTCCATCAGCAGGATTGTTCACCTCTGTGAGTTGAATGCAGTCATCACAGGAAACATTCTGAGAATGCTTCTGTCTAGGTTTGATGTGAAGATATACCCGTTTCCAAGGAAGGCCACAAAGTGGTCCAAATATCAACTTGCAGATTCTACAAAAAGAGTGTTTGAAAGCTGAACTATGAAAGCAGGGTTCAACTCTGTGAGTTGAATGCAAACATCACAAAGAAGTTTCTCAGAATGTTTCCGTGTAGTTCTGGGAAGTTTATCCCGTTTCCATCGAAATCCTCAGAGAAGTCCAAATATCCACTTGCAGATTCTACAGAAAGCGTGTTTGGAAACTGCTCCATCTAAAGGAGTGTTCAGCTCTGTTACTTCAATCCAATGATCACTAAGAATTGTCTGTGAATGCTTCCGTTTGGTTTTTAGATGAAGTTATTTCCTTTACTACAGTAGGCCTCAAAGCAGTCCAAATCTCCAATCGCAGATTCTACAAAAAGATTGTTTACAACCTGCTCTATCTATAGGAATGTTCAACTCTGTGAGTCGAATGCAATCATCACAAAGTAGTTTCTGAGAATGCTTCCATCTAGTTTTTATGTGAAGATTTTCCTTTTCCACCACAGGCCTCAAAGCCCTCCAAATGTCCACTTGCAGATTCTAGAAAAAGAGGGTTTCAGAGCTGCTCTGTCAAGAGGAAAGTTCAATTCCTGAAGTGGAACACAAACATCACAAAGCAGTTTCTGAGAATGCTCCTGTTTAGTTTTTCTGTGAAGATGAACCCGTTTCCAACGAAATCTTCACAGAGGTCCACATATCCACTTGCAGAATCCAAAGAAAGAGAGTTTCAAAACTGCTCCATCAGCAGGATTGTTCACCTCTGTGAGTTGAATGCAGTCATCACAGGAAACATTCTGAGAATGCTTCTGTCTAGATTTGATGTGAAGATATACCCGTTTCGAAGGAAGGCCACAAAGTGGTCCAAATATCCACTTGCAGATTCTACAAAAAGAGGGTTTGAAAGCTGAACTATGAAAGCAAGGTTCAACTCTGTGAGTTGAATGCAAACATCACAAAGAAGTTTCTCAGAATGCTTCCGTGTAGTTCTGGGAAGTTTATCCCGTTTCCAACGAAATCCGCAGAGAGGTCCAAATATCCAATTGCAGATTCTACAGAAAGTGTGTTTGGAAACTGCTCCATCCAAAGGAATGTTCAGCTCTGTTAGTTCAATCCAATGATCACTAAGAATTGTCTGTGAATGCTTCCGTTTGGTTTTTAGATGAATTTATTTCCTTTACTACAGTAGGCCTCAAAGCAGTCCAAATCTCCAATCGCAGATTCTACAAAAAGATTGTTTACAACCTGCTCTATCTATAGGAATGTTCAACTCTGTGAGTCGAATGCAATTATCACAAAGTAGTTTCTGAGAATGCTTCCATCTAGTTTTTATGTGAAGATTTTCCTTTTCCACCACAGGCCTCAAAGCCCTCCAAATGTCCACTTGCAGATTCTAGAATAAGAGGGTTTTAGAGCTGCTCTGTCAAGAGGAAAGTTCAATTCCTGAAGTGGAACACAAACATCACAAAGCAGTTTCTGAGAATGCTCCTGTTTAGTTTTTCTGTGAAGATGAACCCGTTTCCAATGAAATCTTCACAGAGGTCCACATATCCACTTGCAGAATCCAAAGAAAGAGAGTTTCAAAACTGCTCCATCAGCAGGATTGTTCACCTCTGTGAGTTGAATGCAGTCATCACAGGAAACATTCCGAGAATGCTTCTGTCAAGGTTTGATGTGAAGATATACCCGTTTCGAAGGAAGGCCACAAAGTGGTCCAAATATCCACTTGCAGATTCTACAAAAAGAGTGTTTGAAAGCTGAACTATGAAAGCAAGGTTCAACTCTGTGAGTTGAATGCAAACATCACAAAGAAGTTTCTCAGAATGCTTCGGTGTAGTTCTGGGAAGTATATCCCGTTTCCAACGAAATCCTCAGAGAGTTCCATATATCCACTTGCAGATTCTACAGAAAGTGTGTTTGGAAACTGCTCCATCTAAAGGAATGTTCAGCTCTGTTAGTTCAATCCAATGATCACTAAGAATTGTCTGTGAATGCTTCCGTTTGGTTTTTAGATGAAGTTATTTCCTTTAATACAGTAGGCCTCAAAGCAGTCCAAATCTCCAATCGCATATTCTACAAAAAGATTGTTTACAACCTGCTCTATCTATAGGAATGTTCAACTCTTTGAGTCGAATGCAATCATCACAAAGTAGTTTCTGAGAATGATTCCATCTAGTTCTTATGTGAAGATTTTCCTTTTCCACCACAGGCCTCAAAGCCCTCCAAATGTCCACTTGCAGATTCTGGAAAAACAGGGTTTCAGAGCTGCTCTGTCAAGAGGAAAGTTCAATTCTTGAAGTGGAACACAAACATCACAAAGCAGTTTCTGAGAATGCTTCTGTTTAGTTTTTCTGTGAAGATGAACCCGTTTCCAAGGAAATCTTCACAGAGGTCCACATATCCACTTGCAGAATCCAAAGAAAGAGAGTTTCAAAACTGCTCCATCAACAGGATTGTTCACCTCTGTGAGTTGAATGCAGTCATCACAGGAAACATTCTGAGAATGCTTCTGTCTAGGTTTGATGTGAAGATATACCCGTTTCGAAGGAAGGCCACAAAGTGGTCCAAATATCCACTTGCAGATTCTACAAAAAGAGTGTTTGAAAGCTGAACTATGAAAGCAAGGTTCAACTCTGTGAGTTGAATGCAAACATCACAAAGAAGTTTCTCACAATGCTTCCGTGTAGTTCTGAGAAGTTTATCCCGTTTCCAACGAAATCCTCAGAGAAGTCCAAATATCCACTTGCAGATTCTACAGAAAGTGGGTTTGGAAACTGCTCCATGTAAAGGAATGTTCAGCTCTGTTAGTTCAATGCAATGATCACTAAGAATTGTCTGTGAATGCTTCCGTTTGGTTTTTAGATGAAGTTATTTCCTTTACTACAGTAGGCCTCAAAGCAGTCCAAATCTCCAATCGCAGATTCTACAAAAAGATTGTTTACAACCTACTCTATCTATAGGAATGTTCAACTCTGTTAGTCGAATGCAATCATCACAAAGTAGTTTCTGAGAATGCTTCCATCTAGTTTTTATGTGAAGATTTTCCTTTTCCACCACAGGCCTCAAAGCCCTCCAAATGTCCACTTGCAGATTCTAGAATAAGAGGGTTTTAGAGCTGCTCTGTCAAGAGGAAAGTTCAATTCCTGAAGTGGAACACAAACATCACAAAGCAGTTTCTGAGAATGCTCCTGTTTAGTTTTTCTGTGAAGATGAACCCGTTTCCAACGAAATCTTCACAGAGGTCCACATATCCACTTGCAGAATCCAAAGAAAGAGAGTTTCAAAACTGCTCCATCAGCAGGATTGTTCACCTCTGTGAGTTGAATGCAGTCATCACAGGAAACATTCTGAGAATGCTTCTGTCTAGGTTTGATGTGAAGATATACCCTTTTCAAAGGAAGGCCACAAAGTGGTCCAAATATCCACTTGCAGATTCTACAAAAAGAGTGTTTGAAAGCTGAACTATGAAAGCAAGGTTCAACTCTGTGAGTTGAATGCAAACATCACAAAGAAGTTTCTCACAAAGCTTTTCCATGTAGTTCTGGGAAGTTTATCCCGTTTCCAACGAAATCCTCAGAGAGGTCCAAATATCCACTTGCAGATTCTACAGAAAGTGTGTTTGGAAACTGCTCCATCTAAAGGAATGTTCAGCTCTGTTAGTTCAATCCAATGATCACTAAGAATTGTCTGTGAATGCTTCTGTTTGGTTTTTAGATGAAGTTATTTCCTTTACTACAGTAGGCCTCAAAGCAGTCCAAATCTCCAATCGCAGATTCTACAAAAAGATTGTTTTCAACCTGCTCTATCTATAGGAATGTTCAACTCTGTGAGTCGAATGCAATCATCACAAAGTAGTTTCTGAGAATGCTTCCATCTAGTTTTTATGGGAAGATTTTCCTTTTCCACCACAGGCCTCAAAGCCCTCCAAATGTCCACTTGCAGATTCTAGAAAAAGAGGGTTTCAGAGCTGCTCTGTCAAGAGGAAAGTTCAATTCTTGAAGTGGAACACAAACATCACAAAGCAGTTTCTGAGAATGCTTCTGTTTAGTTTTTCTGTGAAGATGAACCCGTTTCCAACGAAATCTTCACAGAGGTCCACATATCAACTTGCAGAATCCAAAGAAAGAGAGTTTCAAAAGTGCTCCATCAACAGGATTGTTCACCTCTGTGAGTTGAATGCAGTCATCAACAGGAAACATTCTGAGAATGCTTCTGTCTAGGTTTGATGTGAAGATATACCCGTTTCGAAGGAAGGCCACAAAGTGGTCCAAATATCCACTTGCAGATTCTACAAAAAGAGTGTTTGAAAGCTGAACTATGAAAGCAAGGTTCAACTCTGTGAGTTGAATGCAAACATCACAAAGAAGTTTCTCAGAATGCTTCCGTGTAGTTCTGGGAAGTTTATCCCGTTTCCAACGAAATCCTCAGAGAGGACCAAATATCCACTTGCAGATTCCACAGAAAGTGTGTTTGGAAACTGCGCCATCTAAAGGAATGATCAGCTCTCTTAGTTCAATCCAATGATCACAAATAATTTTCTGTGAATGCTTCCGTTTGGTTTTTTGATGAAGTTATTTCCTTTACTACAGTAGGCCTCAAAGCAGTCCAAATCTCCAATCGCAGATTCTACAAAAAGATTGTTTACAACCTGCTCTATCTATAGGAATGTTCAACTCTGTGAGTCGAATGCAAACATCACAAACTAGTTTCTGAGAATGCTTCCATCTAGTTTTTATGAGAAGATTTTCCTTTTCCACCACAGGCCTCAAAGCCCTCCAAATGTCCACTTGCAGATTCTAGAAAAAGAGGGTTTCAGAGCTGCTCTGTCAAGAGGAAAGTTCAATTCTTGAAGTGGAACACAAACATCACAAAGTAGTTTCTGAGAATGCTCCTGTTTAGTTTTTCTGTGAAGATGAACCCGTTTCCAACGAAATCTTCACAGAGGTCCACATATCCACTTGCAGAATCCAAAGAAAGAGAGTTTCAAAACTGCTCCATCAACAGGATTGTTCACCTCTGTGAGTTGAATGCAGTCATCACAGGAAACATTCTGAGACTGCTCTGTCTAGGTTTGATGTGAAGATATACCCGTTTCGAAGGAAGGCCACAAAGTGGTCCAAATATCCACTTGCAGATTCTACAAAAAGAGTGTTTGAAAGCTGAACTATGAAAGCAAGGTTCAACTCTGTGAGTTGAATGCAAACATCACAAAGAAGTTTCTCAGAATGCTTTCCGTGTAGTTCTGGGAAGTTTATCCCGTTTCCAACGAAATCCTCAGAGACGTCCAAATATCCACTTGCAGATTCTACAGAAAGTGTGTTTGGAAACTGCGCCATCTAAAGCAATGTTCAGCTCTGTTAGTTCAATGCAATGATCACTAAGAATTGTCTGTGAATGCTTCCGTTTGGTTTTTAGATGAAGTTATTTCCTTTACTACAGTAGGCCTCAAAGCAGTCCAAATCTCCAATCGCAGATTCTACAAAAAGATTGTTTACAACCTGCTCTATCTATAGGAATGTTCAACTCTGTGAGTCGAATGCAATCATCACAAAGTAGTTTCTGAGAATGCTTCCATCTAGTTTTTATGTGAAGATTTTCCTTTTCCACCACAGGCCTCAAAGCCCTCCAAATGTCCACTTGCAGGTTCTAGAAAAAGAGGGTTTCAGAGCTGCTCTGTCAAGAGGAAAGTTCAATTCTTGAAGTGGAACACAAACATCACAAAGCAGTTTACTGAGAATGCTTCTGTTTAGTTTTTCTGTGAAGATGAACCCGTTTCCAACGAAATCTTCACAGAGGTCCACATATCCACTTGCAGAATCCAAAGAAAGAGAGTTTCAAAACTGCTCCATCAGCAGGATTGTTCACCTCTGTGAGTTGAATGCAGTCATCACAGGAAACATTCTGAGAATGCTTCTGTCTAGGTTTGATGTGAAGATATACCCGTTTCGAAGGAAGGCCACAAAGTGGTCCAAATATCCACTTGCAGATTCTACAAAAAGAGTGTTTGAAAGCTGAACTATGAAAGCAAGGTTCAACTCTGTGAGATGAATGCAAACATCACAAAGAAGTTTCTCAGAATGCTTCCGTGTAGATCTGGGAAGTTTATCCCGTTTCCAACGAAATCCTCAGAGAGGTCCAAATATCCACTTGCAGATTCTACAGAAAGTGTGTTTGGAAACTGCGCCATCTAAAGGAATGTTCAGCTCTGTTAGTTCAATCCAATGATCACTAAGAATTGTCTGTGAATGCTTCCGTTTGGTTTTTAGATGAAGTTATTTCCTTTACTACAGTAGGCCTCAAAGCAGTCCAAATCTCCAATCGCAGATTCTACAAAAAGATTGTTTACAACCTGCTCTATCTATAGGAATGTTCAACTCTGTGAGTCGAATGCAATCATCACAAAGTAGTTTCTGAGAATGCTTCCATCTAGTTTTTATGTGAAGATTTTCCTTTTCCACCACAGGCCTCAAAGCCCTCCAAATGTCCACTTGCAGATTCTAGAATAAGAGGTTTGCAGAGCTGCTCTGTCAAGAGGAAAGTTCAATTCCTGAAGTGGAACACAAACATCACAAAGCAGTTTCTGAGAATGCTTCTGTTAATTTTTCTGTGAAGATGAACCCATTTCCAACGAAATCTTCACAGAGGTCCACATATCCACTTGCAGAATCCAAAGAAAGAGAGTTTCAAAACTTCTCCATCAACAGGATTGTTCACCTCTGTGAGTTGAATGCAGTCATCACAGGAAACATTCTGAGAATGCTTCTGTCTAGGTTTGATGTGAAGATATACCCGTTTCGAAGGAAGGCCACAAAGTGGTCCAAATATCCACTTGCAGATTCTACAAAAAGAGTGTTTGAAAGCTGAACTATGAAAGCAAGGTTCAACTCTGTGAGTTGAATGCAAACATCACAAAGAAGTTTCTCAGAATGCTTCCGTGTAGTTCTGGGAAGTTTATCCCGTTTCCAACGAAATCCTCAGAGAAGTCCAAATATCCACTTGCAGATTCTACAGAAAGTGTGTTTGGAAACTGCTCCATCTAAAGGAATGTTCAGCTCTGTTAGTTCAATCCAATGATCACTAAGAATTGTCTGTGAATGCTTCCGTTTGGTTTTTAGATGAAGTTATTTCCTTTACTACAGTAGGCCTCAAAGCAGTCCAAATCTCCAATCGCAGATTCTACAAAAAGATTGTTTACAACCTGCTCTATGTATAGGAATGTTCAACTCTGTGAGTCGAATGCAATCATCACAAAGTAGTTTCTGAGAATGCTTCCATCTAGTTTTTATGTGAAGATTTTCCTTTTCCACCACAGGCCTCAAAGCCCTCCAAATGTCCACTTGCAGATTCTAGAAAAAGAGGGTTTCAGAGCTGCTCTGTCAAGAGGAAAGTTCAATTCTTGAAGTGGAACACAAACATCACAAAGCAGTTTCTGAGAATGCTCCTGTTTAGTTTTTCTGTGAAGATGAACCCGTTTCCAACGAAATCTTCACAGAGGTCCACATATCCACTTGCAGAATCCAAAGAAAGAGAGTTTCAAAACTGCTCCATCAGCAGGATTGTTCAACCCTGTGAGTTGAATTCAGTCATCACAGGAAACATTCTGAGAATGCTTCTGTCTAGGTTTGATGTGAAGATATACCCGTTTCGAAGGAAGGCCACAAAGTGGTCCAAATATCCACTTGCAGATTCTACAAAAAGAGTGTTTGAAAGCTGAACTATGAAAGCAAGGTTCAACTCTGTGAGTTGAATGCAAACATCACAAAGAAGTTTCTCAGAATGCTTCCGTGTAGTTCTGGGAAGTTTATCCCGTTTCCAACGAAATCCTCAGAGAGGTCCAAATATCCACTTGCAGATTCTACAGAAAGTGTGTTTGGAAACTGCGCCATCTAAGGGAATGTTCAGCTCTGTTAGTTCAATCCAATGATCACTAAGAATTGTCTGTGAATGCTTCCGTTTGGTTTTTAGATGAAGTTATTTCCTTTACTACAGTAGGCCTCAAAGCAGTCCAAATCTCCAATCGCAGATTCTACAAAAAGATTGTTTACAACCTGCTCTATCTATAGGAATGTTCAACTCTGTGAGTCGAATGCAATCATCACAAAGTAGTTTCTGAGAATGCTTCCATCTAGTTTTTATGTGAAGATTTTCCTTTTCCACCACAGGCCTCAAAGCCCTCCAAATGTCCACTTGCAGATTCTAGAATAAGAGGGTTTCAGAGCTGCTCTGTCAAGAGGAAAGTTCAATTCCTGAAGTGGAACACAAACATCACAAAGCAGTTTCTGAGAATGCTTCTGTTTAGTTTTTCTGTGAAGATGAACCCGTTTCCAACGAAATCTTCACAGAGGTCCACATATCCACTTGCAGAATCCAAAGAAAGAGAGTTTCAAAACTGCTCCATCAGCAGGATTGTTCACCTCTGTGAGTTGAATGCAGTCATCACAGGAAACATTCTGAGAATGCTTCTGTCTAGGTTTGATGTGAAGATATACCCGTTTCGAAGGAAGGCCACAAAGTGGTCCAAATATCCACTTGCAGATTCTACAAAAAGAGTGTTTGAAAGCTGAACTATGAAAGCAAGGTTCAACTCTGTGAGTTGAATGCAAACATCACAAAGAAGTTTCTCGCAATGCTTCCCTGTAGTTCTGAGAAGTTTATCCCGTTTCCAACGAAATCCTCAGAGAAGTCCAAATATCCACTTGCAGATTCTACAGAAAGTGGGTTTGGAAACTGCTCCATCTAAAGGAATGTTCAGCTCTGTTAGTTCAATCCAATGATCACTAAGAATTGTCTGTGAATGCTTCCATTTGGTTTTTAGATGAAGTTATTTCCTTTACTACAGTAGGCCTCAAAGCAGTCCAAATCTCCAATCGCAGATTCTACAAAAAGATTGTTTACAACCTGCTCTATCTATAGGAATGTTCAACTCTGTGAGTCGAATGCAATCATCACAAAGTAGTTCCTGAGAATGCTTCCATGTAGTTTTTATGTGAAGATTTTCCTTTTCCACCACAGGCCTCAAAGCCCTCCAAATGTCCACTTGCAGATTCTAGAAAAAGAGGGTTTCAGAGCTGCTCTGTCAAGAGGAAAGTTCAATTCTTGAAGTGGAACACAAACATCACAAAGCAGTTTCTGAGAATGCTCCTGTTTAGTTTTTCTGTGAAGATGAACCCGTTTCCAACGAAATCTTCACAGAGGTCCACATATCCACTTGCAGAATCCAAAGAAAGAGAGTTTCAAGACTGCTCCATCAGCAGGATTGTTCACCTCTGTGAGTTGAATGCAGTCATCACAGGAAACATTCTGAGAATGCTTCTGTCTAGGTTTGATGTGAAGATATACCCGTTTCGAAGGAAGGCCACAAAGTGGTCCAAATATCCACTTGCAGATTCTACAAAAAGAGTGTTTGAAAGCTGAACTATGAAAGCAAGGTTCAACTCTGTGAGTTGAATGCAAACATCACAAAGAAGTTTCTCAGAATGCTTCCATGTAGTTCTGGGAAGTTTATCCCGTTTCCAACGAAATCCTCAGAGAAGTCCAAATATCCACTTGCAGATTCTACAGAAAGTGTGTTTGGAAACTGCTCCATCTAAAGGAATGTTCAGCTCTGTTAGTTCACTCCAATGATCGCTAAGAATTGTCTGTGAATGCTTCCGTTTGGTTTTTAGATGAAGTTATTTCCTTTACTACAATAGGCCTCAAAGCAGTCCAAATCTCCAATCGCAGATTCTACAAAAAGATTGTTTACAACCTGCTCTATCTATAGGAATATTCAACTCTGTGAGTCGAATGCAATCATCACAAAGTAGTTTCTGAGAATGCTTCCATCTAGTTTTTATGTGAAGATTTTCCTTTTCCACCACAGGCCTCAAAGCCCTCCAAATGTCCACTTGCAGATTCTAGAATAAGAGGGTTTCAGAGCTGCTCTGTCAAGAGGAAAATACAATTCCTGAAGTGGAACACAAACAGCACAAAGCAGTTTCTGAGAATGCTCCTGTTTAGTTTTTCTGTGAAGATGAACACGTTTCCAACGAAATCTTCACAGAGGTCCACATATCCACTTGCAGAATCCAAAGAAAGAGAGTTTCAAAACTGCTCCATCAACAGGATTGTTCACCTCTGTGAGTTGAATGCAGTCATCAAAGGAAACATTCTGAGAATGCTTCTGTCTAGGTTTGATGTGAAGATATACCCGTTTCGAAGGAAGGCCACAAAGTGGTCCAAATATCCACTTGCAGATTCTACAAAAAGAGTGTTTGAAAGCTGAACTATGAAAGCAAGGTTCAACTCTGTGAGTTGAATGCAAACATCACAAAGAAGTTTCTCAGAATGCTTCCCTGTAGTTCTGGGAAGTTTATGCCGTTTCCAACGAAATCCTCAGAGAAGTCCAAATATCCACTTGCAGATTCTACAGAAAGTGGGTTTGGAAACTGCTCCATCTAAAGGAATGTTCAGCTCTGTTAGTTCAATCCAATGATCACTAAGAATTGTCTGTGAATGCTTCCGTTTGGTTTTTAGATGAAGTTATTTCCTTTACTACAGTAGGCCTCAAAGCAGTCCAAATCTCCAATCGCACATTCTACAAAAAGATTGTTTACAACCTGCTCTATCTATAGGAATATTCAACTCTGTGAGTCGAATGCAATCATCACAAAGTAGTTTCTGAGAATGCTTCCATCTAGTTTTTATGTGAAGATTTTCCTTTTCCACCACAGGCCTCAAAGCCCTCCAAAGGTCCACTTGCAGATTCTAGAAAAAGAGGGTTTCAGAGCTGCTCTGTCAAGAGGAAAGTTCAATTCTTGAAGTGGAACACAAACATCACAAAGCAGTTTCTGAGAATGCTTCTGTTTAGTTTTTCTGTGAAGATGAACCCGTTTCCAACGAAATCTTCACAGAGGTCCACATATCAACTTGCAGAATCCAAAGAAAGAGAGTTTTAAAACTGCTCCATCAACAGGATTGTTCACCTCTGTGAGTTGAATGCATTCATCACAGGAAACATTCTGAGAATGCTTCTGTCTAGGTTTGATGTGAAGATATACCCGTTTCGAAGGAAGGCCACAAAGTGGTCCAAATATCCACTTGCAGATTCCACAAAATGAGTGTTTGAAAGCTGAACTATGAAAGCAAGGTTCAACTCTGTGAGTTGAATGCAAACACCACAAAGAAGTTTCTCAGAATGCTTCCGTGTAGTTCTGGGAAGTTTATCCCGTTTCCAACGAAATCCTCAGAGAAGTCCAAATATCCACTTGCAGATTCTACAGAAAGTGTGTTTGGAAACTGCTCCATCTAAAGGAATGTTCAGCTCTGTTAGTTCAATCCAATAGATCACTAAGAATTGTCTGTGAATGCTTCCGTTTGGTTTTTAGATGAAGTTATTTCTTTTACTACAGTAGGCCTCAAAGCAGTCCAAATCTCCAATCGCAGATTCTACAAAAACATTGTTTACAACCTGCTCTATCTATAGGAATGTTCAACTCTGTGGGTCGAATGCAATCATCACAAAGTACTTTCTGAGAATGCTTCCATCTATTTTTTATGTGAAGATTTTCCTTTTCCACCACAGGCCTCAAAGCCCTCCAAATGTCCACTTGCAGATTCTAGAAAAAGAGGGTTTCAGAGCTGCTCTGTCAAGAGGAAAGTTCAATTCCAGAAGTGGAACACAAACATCACAGAGCAGTTTCTGAGAATGCTTCTGTTTAGTTTTTCTGTGAAGATGAACCCGTTTCCAACGAAATCTTCACAGAGGTCCACATATCCACTTGCAGAATCCAAAGAAAGAGAGTTTCAAAACTGCTCCATCAGCAGGATTGTTCACCTCTGTGAGTTGAATGCAGTCATCACAGGAAACATTCTGAGAATGCTTCTGTCTAGGTTTGATGTGAAGATATACCCTTTTCGAAGGAAGGCCACAAAGTGGTCCAAATATCCACTTGCAGATTCTACAAAAAGAGTGTTTGAAAGCTGAACTATGAAAGCAAGGTGCAAATCCTGTGAGTTGAATGCAAACATCACAAAGAAGTTTCTCAGAATGCTTTCCGTGTAGTTCTGGGAAGTTTATCCCGTTTCCAACGAAATCCTCAGAGAAGTCCAAATATCCACTTGCAGATTCTACAGAAAGTGTGTTTGGAAACTGCGCCATCTAAAGGAATGTTCAGCTCTGTTAGTTCAATGCAATGATCACTAAGAATTGTCTGTGAATGCTTCCGTTTGGTTTTTAGATGAAGTTATTTCCTTTACTACAGTAGGCCTCAAAGCAGTCCAAATCTCCAATCGCAGATTCTACAAAAAGATTGTTTACAACCTGCTCTATCTATAGGAATGTTCAACACTGTGAGTCGAATGCAATCATCAAAAGTACTTTCTGAGAATGCTTCCATCTAGTTTTTATGTGAAGATTTTCCTTTTCCACCACAGGCCTCAAAGCCCTCCAAATGTCCACTTGCAGATTCTAGAAAAAGAGGGTTTCAGAGCTGCTCTGTAAAGAGGAAAATTCAATTCTTGAAGCGGAACACAAACATCACAAAGTAGTTTCTGAGAATGCTCCTGTTTAGTTTTTCTGTGAAGATGAACCCGTTTCCAACGAAATCTTCACAGAGGTCCACATATCCACTTGCAGAATCCAAAGAAAGAGAGTTTCAAAACTGCTCCATCAGCAGGATTGTTCACCTCTGTGAGTTGAATGCAGTCATCACAGGAAACATTCTGAGAATGCTTCTGTCTAGGTTTGATGTGAAGATATACCCGTTTCGAAGGAAGGCCACAAAGTGGTCCAAATATCCACTTGCAGATTCTACAAAAAGAGTGTTTGAAAGCTGAACTATGAAAGCAAGGTTCAACTCTGTGAGTTGAATGCAAACATCACAAAGAAGTTTCTCAGAATGCTTCCGTGTAGTTCTGGGAAGTTTATCCCGTTTCCAACGAAATCCTCAGAGAGGTCCAAATATCCACTTGCAGATTCTACAGAAAGTGTGTTTGGAAACTGCGCCATCTAAAGCAATGTTCAGCTCTGTTAGTTCAATGCAATGATCACTAAGAATTGTCTGTGAATGCTTCCGTTTGGTTTTTAGATGAAGTTATTTCCTTTACTACAGTAGGCCTCAAAGCAGTCCAAATCTCCAATCGCAGATTCTACAAAAAGATTGTTTACAACCTGCTCTATCTATAGGAATGTTCAACTCTGTGAGTCGAATGCAATCATCACAAAGTAGTTTCTGATAATGCTTCCATCTAGTTTTTATGTGAAGATTTTCCTTTTCCACCACAGGCCTCAAAGCCCTCCAAATGTCCACTTGCAGATTCTAGAAAAAGAGGGTTTCAGAGCTGCTCTGTCAAGAGGAAAGTTCAATTCTTGAAGTGGAACACAAACATCACAAAGCAGTTTCTGAGAATGCTTCTGTTTAGTTTTTCTGTGAAGATGAACCCGTTTCCAACGAAATCTTCACAGAGGTCCACATATCCACTTGCAGAATCCAAAGAAAGAGAGTTTCAAAACTGCTCCATCAGCAGGATTGTTCACCTCTGTGAGTTGAATGCAGTCATCACAGGAAACATTCTGAGAATGCTTCTGTCTAGGTTTGATGTGAAGATATACCCGTTTCGAAGGAAGGCCACAAAGTGGTCCAAATATCCACTTGCAGATTCTACAAAAAGAGTGTTTGAAAGCTGAACTATGAAAGCAAGGTTCAACTCTGTGAGTTGAATGCAAACATCACAAAGAAGTTTCTCACAATGCTTCCGTGTAGTTCTGGGAAGTATAACCCATTTCCAACGAAATCCTCAGAGAAGTCCAAATATCCACTTGCAGATTCTACAGAAAGTGGGTTTGGAAACTGCTCCATCTAAAGGAATGTTCAGTTCTGTTAGTTCAATCCAATGATCACTAAGAATTGTCTGTGAATGCTTCCGTTTGGTTTTTACATGAAGTTATTTCCTTTACTACAGTAGGCCTCAAAGCAGTCCAAATCTCCAATCGCAGATTCTAAAAAAAGATTGTTTACAACCTGCTCTATCTATAGGAATGTTCAACTCTGTGAGTCGAATGCAATCATCACAAAGTAGTTTCTGAGAATGCTTCCATCTAGTTTTTATGTGAAGATTTTCCTTTTCCACCACAGGCCTCAAAGCCCTCCAAATGTCCACTTGCAGATTCTAGAATAAGAGGGTTTTAGAGCTGCTCTGTCAAGAGGAAAGTTCAATTCCTGAAGTGGAACACAAACATCACAAAGCAGTTTCTGAGAATGCTCCTGTTTAGTTTTTCTGTGAAGATGAACCCGTTTCCAGCGAAATCTTCACAGAGGTCCACATATCCACTTGCAGAATCCAAAGAAAGAGAGTTTCAAAACTGCTCCATCAGCAGGATTGTTCACCTCTGTGAGTTGAATGCAGTCATCACAGGAAACATTCTGAGAATGCTTCTGTCTAGGTTTGATGTGAAGATATACCCGTTTCGAAGGAAGGCCACAAAGTAGTCCAAATATCCACTTGCAGATTCTACAAAAAGAGTGTTTGAAAGCTGAACTATGAAAGCAAGGTTCAACTCTGTGAGTTGAATGCAAACATCACAAAGAAGTTTCTTAGAATGCTTCCGTGTAGTTCTGGGAAGTTTATCCCGTTTCCAACGAAATCCTCAGAGAAGTCCAAATATCCACTTGCAGATTCTACAGAAAGTGTGTTTGGAAACTGCTCCATCTAAAGGAATGTTCAGCTCTGTTAGTTCAATGCAATGATCTCTAAGAATTTTCTGTGAATGCTTCCGTTTGGTTTTTAGATGAAGTTATTTCCTTTACTACAGTAGGCCTCAAAGCAGTCCAAATCTCCAATCGCAGATTCTACAAAAAGATTGTTTACAACCTGCTCTATCTATAGGAATGTTCAACTCTGTGAGTCGAATGCAATCATCACAAAGTAGTTTCTGAGAATGCTTCCATCTAGTTTTTATGTGAAGATTTTCCTTTTCCACCACAGGCCTCAAAGCCCTCCAAATGTCCACTTGCAGATTCTAGAATAAGAGGGTTTCAGAGCTGCTCTGTCAAGAGGAAAGTTCAATTCCTGAAGTGGAACACAAACATCACAAAGCAGTTTCTGAGAATGCTTCTGTTTAGTTTTTCTGTGAAGATGAACCCGTTTCCAACGAAATCTTCACAGAGGTCCACATATCCACTTGCAGAATCCAAAGAAAGAGAGTTTCAAAACTGCTCCATCAGCAGGATTGTTCACCTCTGTGAGTTTAATGCAGTCATCACAGGAAACATTCTGAGAATGCTTCTGTCTAGGTTTGATGTGAAGATATACCCGTTTCGAAGGAAGGCCACAAAGTGGTCCAAATATCCACTTGCAGATTCTACAAAAAGAGTGTTTGAAAGCTGAACTATGAAAGCAAGGTTCAACTCTGTGTGTTGAATGCAAACATCACAAAGAAGTTTCTCCCAATGCTTCCGTGTAGTTCTGGGAAGTTTATCCCGTTTCCAACGAAATCCTCAGAGAAGTCCAAATATCCACTTGCAGTTTCTACAGAAAGTGTGTTTGGAAACTGCTCCATCTAAAGGAATGTTCAGCTCTGTTAGTTCAATCCAATGATCACTAAGAATTGTCTGTGAATGCTTCCGTTTTGTTTTTAGATGAAGTTATTTCCTTTACTACAGTAGGCCTCAAAGCAGTCCAAATCTCCAATCGCAGATTCTACAAAAAGATTGTTTACAACCTGCTCTATCTATAGGAATGTTCAACTCTGTGAGTCGAATGCAATCATCACAAAGTAGTTTCTGAGAATGCTTCCATCTAGTTTTTATGTGAAGATTTTCCTTTTCCACCACAGGCCTCAAAGCCCTCCAAATGTCCACTTGCAGATTCTAGAATAAGAGGGTTTCAGAGCTGCTCTGTCAAGAGGAAAGTTCAATTCCTGAAGTGGAACACAAACATCACAAAGCAGTTTCTGAGAATGCTTCTGTTTAGTTTTTCTGTGAAGATGAACCCGTTTCCAACGAAATCTTCACAGAGGTCCACATATCCACTTGCAGAATCCAAAGAAAGAGAGTTTCAAAACTGCTCCATCAGCAGGATTGTTCACCTCTGTGAGTTGAATGCAGTCATCACAGGAAACATTCTGAGAATGCTTCTGTCTAGGTTTGATGTGAAGATATACCCGTTTCGAAGGAAGGCCACAAAGTGGTCCAAATATCCACTTGCAGATTCTACAAAAAGAGTGTTTCAAAGCTGAACTATGAAAGCAAGGTTCAACTCTGTGAGTTGAATGCAAACATCACAAAGATGTTTCTCAGAATGCTTCCGTGTAGTTCTGGGAAGTTTATCCCTTTTCCAACGATATCCTCAGAGAGGTCCAAATATCCACTTGCAGATTCTACAGAAAGGGTGTTTGGAAACTGCGCCATCTAAAGCAATGTTCAGCTCTGTTAGTTCAATGCAATGATCACTAAGAATTGTCTGTGAATGCTTCCGTTTGGTTTTTAGATGAAGTTATTTCCTTTACTACTGTAGGCCTGAAAGCAGTCCAAATCTCCAATCGCAGATTCTACAAAAAGATTGTTTACAACCTGCTCTATCCATAGGAATGTTCAACTCTGTGAGTCGAATGCAATCATCACAAAGGAGTTTCTGAGAATGCTTCCATCTAGTTTTTATGTGAAGAAGTTTCCTTTTCCACCACAGGCCTCAAAGCCCTCCAAATGTCCACTTGCAGATTCTAGAAAAAGAGGGTTTCAGAGTTGCTCTGTCAAGAGGAAAGTTCAATTCCTGAAGTGGAACACAAACATCACAAAGCAGTTTCTGAGAAGGCTTCTGTTTAGTTTTTCTGTGAAGATGAACCCGTTTCCAACGAAATCTTCACAGAGGTCCACATATCCACTTGCAGAATCCAAAGAAAGAGAGTTTCAAAACTGCTCCATCAGCAGGATTGTTCACCTCTGTGAGTTGAATGCAGTCATCACAGGAAACATTCTGAGAATGCTTCTGTCTAGGTTTGATGTGAAGATATACCCGTTTCGAAGGAAGGCCACAAAGTGGTCCAAATATCCACTTGCAGATTCTACAAAAAGAGTGTTTGAAAGCTGAACTATGAAAGCAAGGTTCAACTCTGTGAGTTGAATGCAAACATCACAAAGAAGTTTCTCACAATGCTTCCGTGTAGTTCTGGGAAGTTTATCCCGTTTCCAACGAAATCCTCAGAGAGGTCCAAATATCCACTTGCAGATTCTACAGAAAGTGTGTTTGGAAACTGCTCCATCTAAAGGAATGTTCAGCTCTGTTAGTTCAATCCAATGATCACTAAGAATTGTCTGTGAATGCTTCCGTTTGGTTTTTAGATGAAGTTATTTCATTTACTACAGTAGGCCTCAAAGCAGTCCAAATCTCCAATCGCAGATTCTACAAAAAGATTGTTTACAACCTGCTCTATCTATAGGAATGTTCAACTCTGTGAGTCGAATGCAATCATCACAAAGTAGTTTCTGAGAATGCTTCCATCTAGTTTTTATGTGAAGATTTTCCTTTTCCACCACAGGCCTCAAAGCCCTCCAAATGTCCACTTGCAGATTCTAGAAAAAGAGGGTTTCAGAGCTGCTCTGTCAAGAGGAAAGTTCAATTCCTGAAGTGGAACACAAACATCACAAAGCAGTTTCTGAGAATGCTTCTGTTTAGTTTTTCTGTGAAGATGAACCCGTTTCTAACTAAATCTTCACAGAGGTCCACATATCCACTTGCAGAATCCAAAGAAAGAGAGTTTCAAAACTACTCCATCAGCAGGATTGTTCACCTCTGTGAGTTGAATGCAGTCATCACAGGAAACATTCTGAGAATGCTTCTGTCTAGGTTTGATGTGAAGATATACCCGTTTCGAAGGAAGGCCACAAAGTGTTCCAAACATCCACTTGCAGATTCTACAAAAAGAGTGTTTGAAAGCTGAACTATGAAAGCAAGGTTCAACTCTGTGAGTTGAATGCAAACATCACAAAGAAGTTTCTCAGCATGCTTCCCGTGTAGTTCTGGGAAGTTTATCCCGTTTCCAACGAAATCCTCAGAGAAGTCCAAATATCCACTTGCAGATTCTACAGAAAGTGGGTTTGGAAACTGCTCCATCTAAAGGAATGTTCAGCTCTGTTAGTTCAATGCAATGATCACTAAGAATTGTCTGTGAATGCTTTCCGTTTGGTTTTTAGATGAAGTTATTTCCTTTACTACAGTAGGCCTCAAAGCAGTCCAAATCTCCAATCGCAGATTCTACAAAAAGATTGTTTACAACCTGCTCTATCTATAGGAATGTTCAACTCTGTGAGTCGAATGCAATCATCACAAAGAAGTTTCTGAGAATGCTTCCATCAAGTTTTTATGTGAAGATTTTCCTTTTCCACCACAGGCCTCAAAGCCCTCCAAATGTCCACTTGCAGATTCTAGAAAAAGAGGGTTTCAGAGCTGCTCTGTCAAGAGGAAAGTTCAATTCTTGAAGTGGAACACAAACATCACAAAGCAGTTTCCTGAGAATGCTCCTGTTTAGTTTTTCTGTGAAGATGAACACGTTTCCAACGAAATCTTCACAGAGGTCCACATATCCACTTGCAGAATCCAAAGAAAGAGAGTTTCAAAACTGCTCCATCAGCAGGATTGTTCACCTCTGTGAGTTGAATGCAGTCATCACAGGAAACATTACTGAGAATGCTTCTGTCTAGGTTTGATGTGAAGATATACCCGTTTCGAAGGAAGGCCACAAAGTGGTCCAAATATCCACTTGCCGATTCTACAAAAAGAGTGTTTGAAAGCTGAACTATGAAAGCAAGGTTCAACTCTGTGAGTTGAATGCAAACATCACAAAGAAGTTTCTCAGAATGCTTCCGTGTAGTTCTGGGAAATTTAGCCCGTTTCCAACGAAATCCTCAGAGAGGTCCAAATATCCACTTGCAGATTCTACAGAAAGTGTGTTTGGAAACTGCTCCATCTAAAGGAATGTTCAGCTCTGTTAGTTAAATCCAATGATCACTAAGAATTGTCTGTGAATGCTTCCGTTTGGTTTTTAGATGAAGTTATTTCCTTTACTACAGTAGGCCTCAAAGCAGTCCAAATCTCCAATCGCAGATTCTACAAAAAGATTGTTTACAACCTGCTCTATCTATAGGAATGTTCAACTCTGTGAGTCGAATGCAATCATCACAAAGTAGTTTCTGAGAATGCTTCCATCTAGTTTTTATGTGAAGATTTTCCTTTTCCACCACAGGCCTCAAAGCCCTCCAAATGTCCACTTGCAGATTCTAGAAAAAGAGGGTTTCAGAGCTGCTCTGTCAAGAGGAAAGTTCATTTCTTGAAGAGGAACACAAACATCACAAAGCAGTTTCTGAGAATGCTCCTGTTTAGTTTTTCTGTGAAGATGAACCCGTTTCCAACGAAATCTTCACAGAGGTCCACATATCCACTTGCAGAATCCAAAGGAAGAGAGTTTCAAAACTGCTCCATCAGCAGGATTGTTCACCTCTGTGAGTTGAATGCAGTCATCACAGGAAACATTCTGAGAATGCTTCTGTCTAGGTTTGATGTGAAGATATAACCGTTTCGAAGGAAGGCCACAAAGTGGTCCAAATATCCCCTTGCAGATTCTACAAAAAGAGTGTTTGAAAGCTGAACTATGAAAGCAAGGTTCAACTCTGTGAGTTGAATGCAAACATCACAAAGAAGTTTCTCAGAATGCTTCCGTGTAGTTCTGGGAAGTTTATCCCGTTTCCAACGAAATCCTCAGAGAGGTCCAAATATCCACTTGCAGATTCTACAGAAAGTGTGTTTGGAAACTGCTCCATCTAAAGGAATGTTCAGCTCTGTTAGTTCAATCCAATGATCACTAAGAATTGTCTGTGAATGCTTCCGTTTGGTTTTTAGATGAAGTTATTTCCTTTACTACAGTAGGTCTCAAAACAGTCCAAATATCCAATCGCAGATTCTACAAAAAGATTGTTTACAACCTGCTCTATCTATAGGAATGTTCAACTCTGTGAGTCGAATGCAATCATCACAAAGTAGTTTCTGAGAATGCTTCCATCTAGTTTTTATGTGAAGATTTTCCTTTTCCACCACAGACCTCAAAGCCCTCCAAATGTCCACTTGCAGATTCTAGAAAAAGAGGGTTTCAGAGCTGCTCTGTCAAGAGGAAAGTTCAATTCTTGAAGTGGAACACAAACATCACAAAGCAGTTTCTGAGAATGCTTCTGTTTAGTTTTTCTGTGAAGATGAACCCGTTTCCAACGAAATCTTCACAGAGGTCCACATATCCACTTGCAGAATCCAAAGAAAGAGAGTTTCAAAACTGCTCCATCAGCAGGATTGTTCACCTCTGTGAGTTGAATGCAGTCATCACAGGAAACATTCTGAGAATGCTTCTGTCTAGGTTTGATGTGAAGATACACCCTTTTCAAAGGAAGGCCACAAAGTGGTCCAAATATCCACTTGCAGATTCTACAAAAAGAGTGTTTGAAAGCTGAACTATGAAAGCAAGGTTCAACTCTGTGAGTTGAATGCAAACATCACAAAGAAGTTTCTCACAATGCTTCCGTGTAGTTCTGGGAAGTTTATCCCGTTTCCAACGAAATCCAAAGAGAGGTCCAAATATCCACTTGCAGATTCTACAGAAAGTGTGTTTGGAAACTGCGCCATCTAAAGGAATGTTCAGCTCTGTTAGTTCAATGCAATGATCACTAAGAATTGTCTGTGTTTGCTTCCGTTTGGTTTTTAGATGAAGTTATTTCCTTTACTACAGTAGGCCTCAAAGCAGTCCAAATCTCCAATCGCAGATTCTACAAAAAGATTGTTTACAACCTGCTCTATCTATAGGAATGTTCAACTCTGTGAGTCGAATGCAATCATCACAAAGTAGTTTCTGAGAATGCTTCCATCCAGTTTTTATGTGAAGATTTTCCTTTTCCACCACAGGCCTCAAAGCCCTCCAAATGTCCACTTTCAGATTCTAGAAAAAGAGGGTTTCTGAGCTGCTCTGTCAAGAGGAAATTTCAATTCTTGATGTGGAACACAAACATCACAAAGCAGTTTCTGAGAATGCTTCTGTTTAGTTTTTCTGTGAAGATGAACCCGTTTCCAACGAAATCTTCACAGAGGTCCACATATCCACTTGCAGAATCCAAAGAAAGAGAGTTTCAAAACTGCTCCATCAACAGGATTGTTCACCTCTGTGAGTTGAATGCAGTCATCACAGGAAACATTCTGAGAATGCTTCTGTCTAGGTTTGATGTGAAGATATACCCGTTTCAAAGGAAGGCCACAAAGTCGTCCAAATATCCACTTGTAGATTCTACAAAAAGAGTGTTTGAAAGCTGAACTATGAAAGCGAGGTTCAACTCTGTGAGTTGAATGAAAACATCACAAAGAAGTTTCTCAGAATGCTTCCGTGTAGTTCTGGGAAGTTTATCCCGTTTCCAACGAAATCCTCAGAGAGGTCCAAATATCCACTTGCAGATTCTACAGAAAGTGTGTTTGGAAACTGCTCCATCTAAAGGAATGTTCAGCTCTGTTAGTTCAATGCAATGATCACTAAGAATTGTCTGTGAATGCTTCCGTTTGGTTTTTAGATGAAGTTATTTCCTTTACTACAGTAGGCCTCAAAGCAGTCCAAATCTCCAATCGCAGATTCTACAAAAAGATTGTTTACAACCTGCTCTATCTATACGAATGTTCAACTCTGTGAGTCGAATGCAATCATTACAGAGTAGTTTCTGAGAATGCTTCCATCTAGTTTTTATGTGAAGATTTTCCTTTTCCACCACAGGCCTCAAAGCCCTCCAAATGTCCACTTGCAGATTCTAGAATAAGAGGGTTTCAGAGCTGCTCTGTCAAGAGGAAAGTTCAATTCCTGAAGTGGAACACAAACATCACAAAGCAGTTTCTGAGAATGCTCCTGTTTAGTTTTTCTGTGAAGATGAACCCGTTTCCAACGAAATCTTCACGGAGGTCCACATATCCACTTGCAGAATCCAAAGAAAGAGAGTTTCAAAACTGCTCCATCAGCAGGATTGTTCACCTCTGTGAGTTGAATGCAGTCATCACAGGAAACATTCTGAGAATGCTTCTGTCTAGGTTTGATGTGAAGATATACCCGTTTCGAAGGAAGGCCACAAAGTGGTCCAAATATCCACTTGCAGATTCTACAAAAAGAGTGTTTGAAAGCTGAACTATGAAAGCAAGGTTCAACTCTGTGAGTTGAATGCAAACATCACAAAGAAGTTTCTCAGAATGCTTCCGTGTAGTTCTGGGAAGTTTATCCCGTTTCCAACGAAATCCTCAGAGAAGTCCAAATATCCACCTGCAGATTCTACAGAAAGTGGGTTTGGAAACTGCTCCATCTAAAGGAATGTTCAGCTCTGTTAGTTGAATCCAATGATCACTAAGAATTGTCTGTGAATGCTTCCGTTTGGTTTTTAGATGAAGTTATTTCCTTTACTACAGTAGGCCTCAAAGCAGTCCAAATCTCCAATCGCAGATTCTACAAAAAGATTGTTTACAACCTGCTCTATCTATAGGAATGTTCAACTCTGTGAGTCGAATGCAATCATCACAAAGTAGTTTCTGAGAATGCTTCCATCTAGTTTTTATGTGAAGATTTTCCTTTTCCACCACAGGCCTCAAAGCCCTCCAAATGTCCACTTGCAGATTCTAGAAAAAGAGGGTTTCAGAGCTGCTCTGTCAAGAGGAATGTTCAATTCTTGAAGTGGAACACAAACATCACAAAGCAGTTTCTGAGAATGCTTCTGTTTAGTTTTTCTGTGAAAATGAACCCGTTTCCAACGAAATCTTCACAGAGGTCCACATATCCACTTGCAGAATCCAAAGAAAGAGAGATTCAAAACTGCTCCATCAACAGGATTGTTCACCTCTGTGAGTTGAATGCAGTCATCACAGGAAATATTCTGAGAATGCTTCTGTCTAGGTTTGATGTGAAGATATACCCGTTTCGAAGGAAGGCCACAAAATGGTCCAAATATCCACTTGCAGATTCTACAAAAAGAGTGTTTGAAAGCTGAACTATGAAAGCAAGGTTCAACTCTGTGAGTTGAATGAAAACATCACAAAGAAGTTTCTCAGAATGCTTCCGTGTAGTTCTGGGAAGTTTATCCCGTTTCCAACGAAATCCTCAGAGAGGTCCAAATATCCACTTTCAGATTCTACAGAAAGTGTGTTTGGAAACTGCTCCATCTAAAGGAATGTTCAGCTCTGTTAGTTCAATGCAATGATCACTAAGAATTGTCTGTGAATGCTTCCGTTTGGTTTTTAGATAAAGTTATTTCCTTTACTACAGTAGGCCTCAAAGCAGTCCAAATCTCCAATCGCAGATTCTACAAAAAGATTGTTTACAACCTACTCTATCTATAGGAATGTTCAACTCTGTGAGTCGAATGCAATCATCACAAAGTAGTTTCTGAGAATGCTTCCATCTAGTTTTTATGGGAACATTTTCCTTTTCCACCACAGGCCTCAAAGCCCTCCAAATGTCCACTTGCAGATTCTAGAAAAAGAGGGTTTCAGAGCTGCTCTGTCAAGAGGAAAGTTGAATTCTTGAAGTGGAACACAAACATCACAAAGCAGTTTCTGAGAATGCTCCTGTTTAGTTTTTCTGTGAAGATGAACCCGTTTCCAACGAAATCTTCAAAGAGTTCCACATATCCACTTGCAGAATCCAAAGAAAGGGAGTTTCAAAACTGCTCCATCAACAGGATTGTTCACCTCTGTGAGTTTAATGCAGTCATCACAGGAAACATTCTGAGAATGCTTCTGTCTAGGTTTCATGTGAAGATATACCCGTTTCGAAGGAAGGCCACAAAGTGGTCCACATATCCACTTGCAGATTCTACAAAAAGAGTCTTTGAAAGCTGAACTATGAAAGCAAGGTTCAACTCTGTGAGTTGAATGCAAACATCACAAAGAAGTTTCTCAGAATGCTTCCGTGTAGTTCTGGGAAGTTTATCCCGTTTCCATCGAAATCCTCAGAGAGGTCCAAATATCCACTTGCAGATTCTACAGAAAGTGTGTTTGGAAACTGCGCCATCTAAAGGAATGTTCAGCTCTGTTAGTTCAATGCAATGATCACTAAGAATTGTCTGTGAATGCTTCCGTTTGGTTTTTAGATGAAGTTATTTCCTTTACTACAGTAGGCCTCAAAGCAGTCCAAATCTCCAATCGCAGATTCTACAAAAAGATTGTTTACAACCTGCTCTATGTATAGGAATGTTCAACTCTGTGAGTCGAATGCAATCATCACAAAGTAGTTTCTGAGAATGCTTCCATCTAGTTTTTATGTGAAGATTTTCCTTTTCCACCACAGGCCTCAAAGCCCTCCAAATGTCCACTTGCAGATTCTAGAAAAAGAGGGTTTCAGAGCTGCTCTGTCAAGAGGAAAGTTCAATTCCTGAAGTGGAACACAAACATCACAAAGCAGTTTCTGAGAATGCTCCTGTTTAGTTTTTCTGTGAAGATGAACCCGTTTCCAACGAAATCTTCACAGAGGTCCACATATCCACTTGCAGAATCCAAAGAAAGAGAGTTTCAAAACTGCTCCATCAGCAGGATTTTTCACCTCTGTGAGTTGAATGCAGTCATCACAGGAAACATTCCGAGAATGCTCCGTCTAGGTTTGATGTGAAGATATACCCGTTTCGAAGGAAGGCCACAAAGTGGTCCAAATATCCACTTGCAGATTCTACAAAAAGAGTGTTTGAAAGCTGAACTATGAAAGCAAGGTTCAACTCTGTGAGTTGAATGCAAACATCACAAAGAAGTTTCTCAGAATGCTTCCCTGTAGTTCTGGGAAGTTTATCCCGTTTCCAACGAAATCCTCAGAGAAGTCCAAATATCCACTTGCAGATTCTACAGAAAGTGTGTTTGGAAACTGCTCCATCTAAAGGAATGTTCAGCTCTGTTAGTTCAATCCAATGATCACTAAGAATTGTCTGTGAATGCTTCCGTTTGGTTTTTAGATGAAGTTATTTCCTTTACTACAGTAGGCCTCAAAGCAGTCCAAATCTCCAATCGCAGATTCTACAAAAAGATTGTTTACAACCTGCTCTATCTATAGGAATGTTCAACTCTGTGAGTCGAATGCAATCATCACAAAGTAGTTTCTGAGAATGCTTCCATCTAGTTTTTATGTGAAGATTTTCCTTTTCCACCACAGGCCTCAAAGCCCTCCAAATGTCCACTTGCAGATTCTAGAAAAAGAGGGTTTCAGAGCTGCTCTGTCAAGAGGAAAGTTCAATTCTTGAAGTGGAACACAAACATCACAGAGCAGTTTCTGAGAATGCTTCTGTTTAGTTTTTCTGTGAAGATGAACCCGTTTCCAACGAAATCTTCACAGAGGTCCACATATCCACTTGCAGAATCCAAAGAAAGAGAGTTTCAAAACTGCTCCATCAGCAGCATTGTTCACCTCTGTGAGTTGAATGCAGTCATCACAGGAAACATTCTGAGAATGCTTCTGTCT
Source organism: Homo sapiens (assembly GCF_000001405.40). Classification (NCBI taxonomy): domain Eukaryota; kingdom Metazoa; phylum Chordata; class Mammalia; order Primates; family Hominidae; genus Homo; species Homo sapiens. The sequence continues at coordinate 53,805,206 of NC_000011.10, read as the reverse complement.
AGGTTTGATGTGAAGATATACCCGTTTCGAAGGAAGGCCAGAAAGTGGTCCAAATATCCACTTGCAGATTCTACAAAAAGAGTGTTTGAAAGCTGAACTATGAAAGCAAGGTTCAACTCTGTGAGTTGAATGCAAACATCACAAAGAAGTTTCTCAGAATGCTTCCGTGTAGTTCTGGGAAGTTTATCCCGTTTCCAACGAAATCCTCAGAGAGGTCCAAATATCCACTTGCAGATTCTACAGAAAGTGTGTTTGGAAACTGCTCCATCTAAAGGAATGTTCAGCTCTGTTAGTTCAATCCAATGATCACTAAGAATTGTCTGTGAATGCTTCCGTTTGATTTTTAGATGAAGTTATTTCCTTTACTACAGTAGGCCTCAAAGCAGTCCAAATCTCCAATCGCAGATTCTACAAAAAGATTGTTTTCAACCTGCTCTATCTATAGGAATGTTCAACTCTGTGAGTCGAATGCAATCATCACAAAGTAGTTTCTGAGAACGCTTCCATCTAGTTTTTATGTGAAGATTTTCCTTTTCCACCACAGGCCTCAAAGCCCTCCAAATGTCCACTTGCAGATTCTAGAAAAAGAGGGTTTCAGAGCTGCTCTGTCAAGAGGAAAGTTCAATTCTTGAAGTGGAACACAAACATCACAAAGCAGTTTCTGAGAATGTTTCTGTTTAGTTTTTCTGTGAAGATGAACCCGTTTCCAACGAAATCTTCACAGAGGTCCACATATCCACTTGCAGAATCCAAAGAAAGAGAGTTTCAAAACTGCTCCATCAGCAGGATTGTTCACCTCTGTGAGTTGAATGCAGTCATCACAGGAAACATTCTGAGAATGCTTCTGTCTAGGTTTGATGTGAAGATATACCCTTTTCAAAGGAAGGCCACAAAGTGGTCCAAATATCCACTTGCAGATTCTACAAAAAGAGTGTTTGAAAGCTGAACTATGAAAGCAAGGTTCAACTCTGTGAGTTGAATGCAAACATCACAAAGAAGTTTCTCACAATGCTTCCCTGTAGTTCTGGGAAGTTTATCCCGTTTCCAACGAAATCCTCAGAGAAGTCCAAATATCCACTTGCAGATTCTACAGAAAGTGTGTTTGGAAACTGCTCCATCTAAAGGAATGTTCAGCTCTGTTAGTTCAATCCAATGATCACTAAGAATTGTCTGTGAATGCTTCCGTTTGGTTTTTAGGTGAAGTTATTTCCTTTACTACAGTAGGCCTCAAAGCAGTCCAAATCTCCAATCGCAGATTCTACAAAAAGATTGTTTACAACCTGCTCTATCTATAGGAATGTTCAACTCTGTGAGTCGAATGCAATCATCACAAAGTAGTTTCTGAGAATGCTTCCATCTAGTTTTTATGTGAAGATTTCCTTTTCCACCACAGGACCCAAAACCCTCCAAATGTCCACTTGCAGATTCTAGAAAAAGAGGGTTTCAGAGCTGCTCTATCAAGAGGAAAGTTCAATTCCTGAAGTGGAACACAAACATCACAAAGCAGTTTCTGAGAATGCTCCTGTTTAGTTTTTCTGTGAAGATGAACGCGTTTCCAACGAAATCTTCACAGAGGTTCACATATCCACTTGCAGAATCCAAAGAAAGAGAGTTTCAAAACTGCTCCATCAGCAGGATTGTTCACCTCTGTGAGTTGAATGCAGTCATCACAGGAAACATTCTGAGAATGCTTCTGTCTAGGTTTGATGTGAAGATATACCCGTTTCGAAGGAAGGCCACAAAGTGGTCCAAATATCCACTTGCAGATTCTACAAAAAGAGTGTTTGAAAGCTGAACTATGAAAGCAAGGTTCAACTCTGTGAGTTGAATGCAAACATCACAAAGAAGTTTCTCAGAATGCTTCCGTGCAGTTCTGGGAAGTTTATCCCGTTTCCAACGAAATCCTCAGAGAGGTCCAAATATCCACTTGCAGATTCTACAGAAAGTGTGTTTGGAAACTGCGCCATCTAAAGGAATGTTCAGCTCTGTTAGTTCAATGCAATGATCCACTAAGAATTGTCTGTGAATGCTTCCGTTTGGTTTTTAGATGAAATTATTTCCTTTACTACAGTAGGCCTCAAAGCAGTCCAAATCTCCAATCGCAGATTCTACAAAAAGATTGTTTACAACCTGCTCTATCTATAGGAAAGTTCAACTCTGTGAGTCGAATGCAATCATCAGAAAGTAGTTTCTGAGAATGCTTCCATCTAGTTTTTATGTGAAGATTTTCCTTTTCCACCACAGGCCTCAAAGCCCTCCAAATGTCCACTTGCAGATTCTAGAAAAAGAGGGTTTCAGAGCTGCTCTGTCAAGAGGAAAGTTCAATTCTTGAAGTGGAACAAAAACATCACAAAGCAGTTTCTGAGAATGCTTCTGTTTAGTTTTTCTGTGAAGATGAACCCGTTTCCAACGAAATCTTCACAGAGGTCCACATATCCACTTGCAGAATCCAAAGAAAGAGAGTTTCAAAACTGCTCCATCAGCAGGATTGTTCACCTCTGTGAGTTGAATGCAGTCATCACAGGAAACATTCTGAGAATGCTTCTGTCTAGGTTTGATGTGAAGATATACCCGTTTCGAAGGAAGGCCACAAAGTGGTCCAAATATCCACTTGCAGATTCTACAAAAAGAGTGTTTGAAAGCTGAACTATGAAAGCAAGGTTCAACTCTGTGAGTTGAATGCAAACATCACAAAGAAGTTTCTCAGAATACTTCCGTGTAGTTCTGGGAAGTTTATCCTGTTTCCAACGAAATCCTCAGAGAGGTCCAAATATCCACTTGCAGATTCTACAGAAAGAATGTTTGGAAACTCCTCCATCTAAAGGAATGTTCAGCTCTGTTAGTTCAAACCAATGATCACTAAGAATTGTCTGTGAATGCTTCCGTTTGGTTTTTAGATGAAGTTATTTCCTTTACTACAGTAGGCCTCAAAGCAGTCCAAATCTCCAATCGCAGATTCTACAAAAAGATTGTTTACAACCTGCTCTATCTATAGGAATGTTCAACTCTGTGAGTCGAATGCAATCATCACAAAGTAGATTCTGAGAATGCTTCCATCTAGTTTTTATGTGAAGATTTTCCTTTTCCACCACAGGCCTCAAAGCCCTCCAAATGTCCACTTGCAGATTCTAGAATAAGAGGGTTTCAGAACTGCTCTGTCAAGAGGAAATTTCAATTCCTGAAGTGGAACACAAACATCACAAAGCAGTTTCTGAGAATGCTTCTGTTTAGTTTTTCTGTGAAGATGAACCCGTTTCCAACGAAATCTTCACAGAGGTCCACATATCCACTTGCAGAATCCAAAGAAAGAGAGTTTCAAAACTGCTCCATTAGCAGGATTGTTCACCTCTGTGAGTTGAATGCAGTCATCACAGGAAACATTCTGAGAATGCTTCTGTCTAGGTTTGATGTGAAGATATACCCGTTTCGAAGGAAGGCCACAAAGTGGTCCAAATATCCACTTGCAGATTCTACAAAAAGAGTGTTTGAAAGCTGAACTAAGAAAGCAAGGTTCAACTCTGTGAGTTGAATGCAAACATCACAAAGAAGTTTCTCAGAATGCTTCCGTGTAGTTCTGGGAAGTTTATCCCGTTTCCAACGAAATCCTCAGAGAGGTCCAAATATCCACTTGCAGATTCTACAGAAAGTGTGTTTGGAAACTGCTCCGTCTAAAGGAATGTTCAGCTCTGTTGGTTCTATCCAATGATCACTAAGAATTGTCTGTGAATGCTTCCTTTTGGTTTTTAGTTGAAGTTATTTCCTTTACTACAGTAGGCCTCAAAGCAGTCCAAATCTCCAATCGCAGATTCTACAAAAAGATTGTTTACAACCTGCTCTATCTATAGGAATGTTCAACTCTGTGAGTCGAATGCAATCATCACAAAGTAGTTTCTGAGAATGCTTCCATCTAGTTTTTATGTGAAGATTTTCCTTTTGCACCACAGGCCTAAAAGCCCTCCAAATGTCCACTTGCAGATTCTAGAAAAAGAGGGTTTCAGAGCTGCTCTGTCAAGAGGAAAGTTCAATTCTTGAAGTGGAACACAAACATCACAGAGCAGTTTCTGAGAATGCTCCTGTTTAGTTTTTCTGTGAAGATGAACCCGTTTCCAACGAAATCTTCACAGAGGTCCACATATCCACTTGCAGAATCCAAAGAAAGAGAGTTTCAAAACTGCTCCATCAGCAGGATTGTTCACCTCTGTGAGTTGAATGCAGTCATCACAGGAAACATTCTGAGAATGCTTCTGTCTAGGTTTGATGTGAAGATATACCCGTTTCGAAGGAAGGCCACAAAGTGGTCCAAATATCCACTTGCAGATTCTACAAAAAGAGTGTTTGAAAGCTGAACTATGAAAGCAAGGTTCAACTCTGTGAGTTGAATGCAAACATCACAAAGAAGTTTCTCACAATGCTTCCGTGTAGTTCTGGGAAGTTTATCCCGTTTCCAACGAAATCCTCAGAGAAGTCCAAATATCCAGTTGCAGATTCTACAGAAAGTGTGTTTGGAAACTGCTCCATCTAAAGGAATGTTCAGCTCTGTTAGTTCAATCCAATGATCACTAAGAATTGTCTGTGAATGCTTCCATTTGGTTTTTAGATGAAGTTTTTTCCTTTACTACAGTAGACCCCAAAGCACTCCAAATCTCCAATCGCAGATTCTACAAAAAGATTGTTTACCACCTGCTCTATCTATAGGAATGTTCAACTCTGTGAGTCGAATGCAATCATCACAAAGTAGTTTCTGAGAATGCTTCCATCTAGTTTTTATGTGAAGATTTTCCTTTTCCACCACAGGCCTCAAAGCCCTCCAAATGTCCACTTGCAGATTCTAGAATAAGAGGGTTTCAGAGCTGCTCTGTTAAGAGGAAAGTTCAATTCCTGAAGTGGAACACAAACATCACAAAGCAGTTTCTGAGAATGCTCCTGTTTAGTTTTCCTGTGAAGATGAACCCGTTTCCAACGAAATCTTCACAGAGGTCCACATATCCACTTGCAGAATCCAAAGAAAAAGAGTTTCAAAACTTCTCCATCAACAGGATTGTTCACCTCTATGAGTTGAATGCAGTCATCACAGGAAACATTCTGAGAATGCTCCTGTCTAGGTTTGATGTGAAGATATACCCGTTTTGAAGGAAGGCCACAAAGTGGTCCCAATATCCACTTGCAGATTCTACAAAAAGAGTGTTTGAAAGCTGAACTATGAAAGCAAGGTTTAACTCTGTGAGTTGAATGCAAATATCACAAAGAAGTTTCTCAGAATGCTTCCGTGTAGTTCTGGGAAGTTTATCCGGTTTCCAACCGAAATCCTCAGAGAAGTCCAAATATCCACTTGCAGATTCTACAGAAAGTGTGTTTGGAAACTGCTCCATCTAAAGGAATGTTCAGCTCTGTTAGTTCAATCCAATGATCACTAAGAATTGTCTGTGAATGCTTCCGTTTGGTTTTTAGATGAAGTTATTTCCTTTACTACAGTAGGCCTCAAAGCAGTCCAAATCTCCAATCGCAGATTCTACAAAAAGATTGTTTACAACCTGCTCTATCTATAGGAATGTTCAACTCTGTGAGTCGAATGCAATCATCACAAAGTAGTTTCTGAGAATGCTTCCATCTAGTTTTTATGGGAAGATTTTCCTTTTCCACCACAGGCCTGAAAGCCCTCCAAATGTCCACTTGCAGATTCTAGAAAAAGAGGGTTTCAGAGCTGCTCTGTCAAGAGGAAAGTTCAATTCTTGAAGTGGAACACAAACATCACAAAGCAGTTTCTGAGAATGCTTCTGTTTAATTTTTCTGTGAAGATGAACCCGTTTCCAACGAAATCTTCACAGAGGTCCACATATCCACTTGCAGAATCCGAAGAAAGAGAGTTTCAAAACTGCTCCATCAACAGGATTGTTCACCTCTGTGAGTTGAATGCAGTCATCACAGGAAACATTCTGAGAATGCTTCTGTCTAGGTTTGATGTGAAGATATACCCGTTTCGAAGGAAGGCCACAAAGTGGTCCAAATATCCACTTGCAGAATCTACAAAAAGAGTGTTTGAAAGCTGAACTATGAAAGCAAGGTTAAACTCTGTGAGTTGAATGCAAACATCACAAAGAAGTTTCTCAGAATGCTTCCCTGTAGTTCTGGGAAGTTTATCCCGTTTCCAACGAAATCCTCAGAGAAGTCCAAATATCCACTTGCAGATTCTACAGAAAGTGGGTTTGGAAACCGCTCCATCTAAAGGAATGTTCAGCTCTGTTAGTTCAATCCAATGATCACTAAGAATTGTCTGTGAATGCTTCCGTTTGGTTTTTAGATGAAGTTATTTCCTTTACTACAGTAGGCCTCAAAGCAGTCCAAATCTCCAATCGCAGATTCTACAAAAAGATTGTTTACAACCTGCTCTATGTATAGGAATGTTCAACTCTGTGAGTCGAATGCAATCATCACAAAGTAGTTTCTGAGAATGCTTCCATCTAGTTTTTATGTGAAGATTTTCCTTTTGCACCACAGGCCTCAAAGCCCTCCAAATGTCCACTTGCAGATTCTAGAAAAAGAGGGTATCAGAGCTGCTCTGTCAAGAGGAAAGTTCAGTTCTTGATGTGGAACACAAACATCACAAAGCAGTTTCTGAGAATGCTTCTGTTTAGTTTTTCTGTGAAGATGAACCCGTTTCCAACGAAATCTTCACAGAGGTCCACATATCCACTTGCAGAATCCAAAGAAAGAGAGTTTCAAAACTGCTCCATCAGCAGGATTGTTCACCTCTGTGAGTTGAATGCAGTCATCACAGGAAACATTCTGAGAATGCTTCTGTCTAGGTATGATGTGAAGATATACCCGTTTCGAAGGAAGGCCACAAAGTGGTCCAAATATCCACTTGCAGATTCTACAAAAAGAGTGTTTGAAAGCTGAACTATGAAAGCAAGGTTCAACTCTGTGAGTTGAATGCAAACATCACAAAGAAGTTTCTCACAATGCTTCCGTGTAGTTCTGGGAAGTTTATCCCGTTTCCAACGAAATCCTCAGAGAGGTCCAAATATCCACTTGCAGATTCTACAGAAAGTGTGTTTGGAAACTGCTCCATCTAAAGGAATGTTCAGCTCTGTTAGTTCAATCCAATGATCACTAAGAATTGTCTGTGAATGCTTCCGTTTGGTTTTTAGATGAAGTTATTTCCTTTACTACAGTAGGCCTCAAAGCAGTCCAAATCTCCAATCGCAGATTCTACAAAAAGATTGTTTACAACCTGCTCTATGTATAGGAATGTTCAACTCTGTGAGTCGAATGCAATCATCACAAAGTAGTTTCTGAGAATGCTTCCATCTAGTTTTTATGTGAAGAGTTTTCCTTTTCGACCACAGGCCTCAAAGCCCTCCAAATGTCCACTTGCAGATTCTAGAAAAAGAGGGTTTCAGAGCTGCTCTGTCAAGAGGAATGTTGAATTCTTGAAGTGGAACACAAACATCACAAAGCAGTTTCTGAGAATGCTTCTGTTTAGTTTTTCTGTGAAGATGAACCCGTTTCCAACGAAATCTTCACAGAGGTCCACATATCCACTTGCACAATCCAAAGAAAGAGAGTTTCAAAACTGCTCCATCAGCAGGATTGTTCACCTCTGTGAGTTGAATGCAGTCATCACAGGAAACATTCTGAGAATGCTTCTGTCTAGGTTTGATGTGAAGATATACCCGTTTCGAAGGAAGGCCACAAAGTGGTCCAAATATCCACTTGCAGATTCTACAAAAAGAGTGTTTGAAAGCTGAACTATGAAAGCAAGGTTCAACTCTGTGAGTTGAATGCAAACATCACAAAGAAGTTTCTCACAATGCTTCCGTGTAGTTCTGGGAAGTTTATCCCGTTTCCAACGAAATCCTCAGAGAAGTCCAAATATCCACTTGCAGATTCTACAGAAAGTGTGTTTGGAAACTGCGCCATCTAAAGGAATGTTCAGCTCTGTTAGTTCAATGCAATGATCACTAAGAATTGTCTGTGAATGCTTCCGTTTGGTTTTTAGATGAAGTTATTTAATTTACTACAGTAGGCCTCAAAGCAGTCTAAATCTCCAATCGCAGATTCTACAAAAAGATTGTTTACAACCTGCTCTATCTATAGGAATGTTGAACTCTGTGAGTCGAATGCAATCATCACAAAGTAGTTTCTGAGAATGCTTCCATCTAGTTTTTATGTGAAGATTTTCCTTTTCCACCACAGGCCTCAAAGCCCTCCAAATGTCCACTTGCAGATTCTAGAAAAAGAGGGTTTCAGAGCTGCTCTGTCAAGAGGAAAGTTCAATTCTTGAAGTGGAACACAAACATCACAAAGCAGTTTCTGAGAATGCTCCTGTTTAGTTTTTCTGTGAAGATGAACCCGTTTCCAACGAAATCTTCACAGAGGTCCACATATCCACTTGCAGAATCCAAAGAAAGAGAGTTTCAAAACTGCTCCATCAGCAGGATTGTTCACCTCTGTGAGTTGAATGCAGTCATCACAGGAAACATTCTGAGAATGCTTCTGTCTAGGTTTGATGTGAAGATATACCCGTTTCGAAGGAAGGCCACAAAGTGGTCCAAATATCCACTTGCAGATTCTACAAAAAGAGTGTTTGAAAGCTGAACTATGAAAGCAAGGTTCAACTCTGTGAGTTGAATGCAAACATCACAAAGAAGTTTCTCAGAATGCTTCCGTGTAGTTCTGGGAAGTTTATCCCGTTTCCAACGAAATCCTCAGAGAAGTCCAAATATCCACTTGCAGATTCTACAGAAAGTGTGTTTGGAAACTGCGCCATCTAAAGGAATGTTCAGCTCTGTTAGTTCAATGCAATGATCACTAAGAATTGTCTGTGAATGCTTCCGTTTGGTTTTTAAATGAAGTTATTTCCTTTACTACAGTAGGCCTCAAAGCAGTCCAAATCTCCAATCGCAGATTCTACAAAAAGATTGTTTACAACCTGCTCTATCTATAGGAATGTTCAACTCTGTGAGTCGAATGCAATCATCACAAAGTAGTTTCTGAGAATGCTTCCATCTAGTTTTTATGTGAAGATTTTCCTTTTCCACCACAGGCCTCAAAGCTCTCCAAATGTCCACTTGCAGATTCTAGAAAAAGAGGGTTTCAGAGCTGCTCTGTCAAGAGGAAAGTTCAATTCCTGAAGTGGAACACAAACATCACAAAGCAGTTTGTGAGAATGCTTCTGTTTAGTTTTTCTGTGAAGATGAACCCGTTTCCAACGAAATCTTCACAGAGGTCCACATATCCACTTGCAGAATCCAAAGAAAGAGAGTTTCAAAACTGCTCCATCAGCAGGATTGTTCACCTCTGTGAGTTGAATGCAGTCATCACAGGAAACATTCTGAGAATGCTTCTGTCTAGGTTTGATGTGAAGATATACCCGTTTCGAAGGAAGGCCACAAAGTGGTCCAAATATCCACTTGCAGATTCTACAAAAAGAGTGTTTGAAAGCTGAACTATGAAAGCAAGGTTCAACTCTGTGAGTTGAATGCAAACATCACAAAGAAGTTTCTCAGAATGCTTTCGTGTACTTCTGGGAAGTTTATCCCGTTTCCAACGAAATCCTCAGAGAGGTCCAAATATCCACTTGAAGATTCTACAGAAAGTGTGTTTGGAAACTGCGCCATCTAAAGGAATGTTCAGCTCTGTTAGTTCAATGCAATGATCACTAAGAATTGTCTGTGAATGCTTCCGTTTGGTTTTTAGATGAAGTTATTTCCTTTACTACAGTAGGCCTCAAAGCAGTCGAAATCTCCAATCGCAGATTCTACAAAAAGATTGTTTACAACCTGCTCTATCTATAGGAATGTTCAACTCTGTGAGTCGAATGCAATCATCACAAAGTAGTTTGTGAGAATGCTTCCATCTAGTTTTTACGTGAAGATTTTCCTTTTCCACCACAGGCCTCAAAGCCCTCCAAATGTCCACTTGCATATTCTAGAATAAGAGGGTTTCAGAGCTGCTCTGTCAAGAGGAAAGTTCAATTCTTGAAGTGGAACACAAACATCACAAAGCAGTTTCTGAGAATGCTCCTGTTTAGTTTTTCTGTGAAGATGAACCCGTTTCCAACGAAATCTTCACAGAGGTCCACATATCCACTTGCAGAATCCAAAGAAAGAGAGTTTCAAAACTGCTCCATCAGCAGGATTGTTCACCTCTGTGAGTTGAATGCAGTCATCACAGGAAACATTCTGAGAATGCTCTGTCTAGGTTTGATGTGAAGATATACCCGTTTCGAAGGAAGGCCACAAAGTGGTCCAAATATCCACTTGCAGATTCTACAAAAAGAGTGTTTGAAAGCTGAACTATGAAAGCAAGGTTCAACTCTGTGAGTTGAATGCAAACATCACAAAGAAGTTTCTCAGAATGCTTTCCGTGTAGTTCTGGGAAGTTTATCCCGTTTCCAAAGAAATCCTCAGAGAGGTCCAAATATCCACTTGCAGATTCTACAGAAAGTGGGTTTGGAAACTGCTCCATCTAAAGGAATGTTCAGCTCTGTTAGTTCAATCCAATGATCACTAAGCATTGTCTGTGAATGCTTCCGTTTGGTTTTTAGATGAAGTTATTTCCTTTACTACAGTAGGCCTCAAAGCAGTCCAAATCTCCAATCGCAGATTCTACAAAAAGATTGTTTACAACCTGCTCTATCTATAGGAATGTTCAACTCTGTGAGTCGAATGCAATCATCACAAAGTAGTTTCTGAGAATGCTTCCATCTAGTTTTTATGTGAAGATTTTCCTTTTCCACCACAGGCCTCAAAGCCCTCCAAATGTCCACTTGCAGATTCTAGAAAAAGAGGGTTTCAGAGCTGCTCTGTCAAGAGGAAAGTTCAATTCTTGAAGTGGAACACAAACATCACAAAGCAGTTTCTGAGAATGCTTCTGTTTAGTTTTTCTGTGAAGATGAACCCGTTTCCAACGAAATCTTCACAGAGGTCCACATATCAACTTGCAGAATCCAAAGAAAGAGAGTTTCAAAAGTGCTTCATCAACAGGATTGTTCACCTCTGTGAGTTGAATGCAGTCATCACAGGAAACATTCTGAGAATGCTTCTGTCTAGGTTTGATGTGAAGATATACCCGTTTCGAAGGAAGGCCACAAAGTGGTCCAAATATCCACTTGCAGATTCTACAAAAAGAGTGTTTGAAAGCTGAACTATGAAAGCAAGGTTCAACTCTGTGAGTGGAATGCAAACATCACAAAGAAGTTTCTCAGCATGCTTCCGTGTAGTTCTGGGAAGTTTATCCCGTTTCCAACGAAATCCTCAGAGAGGTCCAAATATCCACTTGCAGATTCTACAGAAAGTGTGTTTGGAAACTGCTCCATCTAAAGGAATGTTCAGCTCTGTTAGTTCAATCCAATGATCACTAAGAATTGTCTGTGAATGCTTCCGTTTGGTTTTTAGATGAAGTTATTTCCTTTACTACAGTAGGCCTCAAAGCAGTCCAAATCTCCAATCGCAGATTCTACAAAAAGATTGTTTACAACCTGCTCTATCTATAGGAGTGTTCAACTCTGTGAGTCGAATGCAATCATCACAAAGTAGTTTCTGAGAATGCTTCCATCTAGTTTTTATGTGAAGATTTTCCTTTTCCACCACAGGCCTCAAAGCCCTCCAAATGTCCACTTGCAGATTCTAGAAAAAGAGGGTTTCAGAGCTGCTCTGTCAAGAGGAAAGTTCAATTCTTGAAGTGGAACACAAACATCACAAAGCAGTTTCTGAGAATGCTTCTGTTTAGTTTTTCTGTGAAGATGAACCCGTTTCCAACGAAATCTTCACAGAAGGTCCACATATCCACTTGCAGAATCCAAAGAAAGAGAGTTTCAAAACTGCTCCATCAGCAGGATTGTTCACCTCTGTGAGTTGAATGCAGTCATCACAGGAAACATTCTGAGAATGCTTCTGTCTAGGTTTGATGTGAAGATATACCCCTTTCGAAGGAAGGCCACAAAGTGGTCCAAATATCCACTTGCAGATTCTACAAAAAGAGTGTTTGAAAGCTGAACTATGAAAGCAAGGTTCAACTCTGTGAGTTGAATGCAAACATCACAAAGAAGTTTCTCAGAATGCTTCCGTGTAGTTCTGGGAAGTTTATCCCGTTTCCAACGAAATCCTCAGAGAAGTCCAAATATCCCCTTGCAGATTCTACAGAAAGTGTGTTTGGAAACTGCGCCATCTAAAGGAATGTTCAGCTCTGTTAGTTCAATCCAATGATCACTAGGAATTGTCTGTGAATGCTTCCGTTTGGTTTTTAGATGAAGTTATTTCCTTTACTACAGTAGGCCTCAAAGCAGTCCAAATCTCCAATCGCAGATTCTACAAAAAGATTGTTTACAACCTGTTCTATCTATAGGAATGTTCAACTCTGTGAGTCTAATGCAATCATCACAAAGTAGTTTCTGAGAATGCTTCCATCTAGTTTTTATGTGAAGATTTTCCTTTTCCACCACAGGCCTCAAAGCCCTCCAAATGTCCACTTGCAGATTCTAGAAAAAGAGGGTTTCAGAGCTGCTCTGTCAAGAGGAAAGTTCAATTCTTGAAGTGGAACACAAACATCACAAAGCAGTTTCTGAGAATGCTCCTGTTTAGTTTTTCTGTGAAGATGAACCCGTTTCCAACGAAATCTTCACAGAGGTCCACATATCCACTTGCAGAATCCAAAGAAAGAGAGTTTCAAAACTGCTCCATCAACAGGATTGTTCACATCTGTGAGTTGAATGCTGTCATCACAGGAAACATTCTGAGAATCCTTCTGTCTAGGTTTGATGTGAAGATATACCCGTTTCGAAGGAAGGCCACAAAGTGGTCCAAATATCCACTTGCAGATTCTACAAAAAGAGTGTTTGAAAGCTGAACTATGAAAGCAAGGTTCAACTCTGTGAGTTGAATGCAAACATCACAAAGAAGTTTCTCAGAATGTTTCCGTGTAGTTCTGGGAAGTTTATCCCGTTTCCAACGAAATCCTCAGAGAAGTCCAAATATCCACTTGCAGATTCTACAGAAAGTGTGTTTGGAAACTGCTCCATCTAAATGAATGTTCAGCTCTGTTAGTTCAATCCAATGATCACTAAGAATTGTCTGTGAATGCTTCCGTTTGGTTTTTAGATGAAGTTATTTCCTTTACTACAGTAGGCCTCAAAGCAGTCCAAATCTCCAATCGCAGATTCTACAAAAAGATTGTTTACAACCTGCTCTATCTATAGGAATGTTCAACTCTGTGAGTCGAATGCAATCATCACAAAGTAGTTTCTGAGAATGCTTCCATCTAGTTTTTATGTGAAGATTTTCCTTTTCCACCACAGGCCTCAAAGCCCTCCAAATGTCCACTTGCAGACTCTAGTAAAAGAGGGTTTCAGAGCTGCTCTGTCAAGAGGAAAGTTCAATTCTTGAAGTGGAACACAAACATCACAAAGCAGTTTCTGAGAATGCTCCTGTTTAGTTTTTCTGTGAAGATGAACCCGTTTCCAACGAAATCTACACAGAGGTCCACATATCCACTTGCAGAATCCAAAGAAAGAGAGTTTCAAAACTGCTCCATCAGCAGGATTGTTCACCTCTGTGAGTTGAATGCAGTCATCACAGGAAACATTCTGAGAATGCTTCTGTCTAGGTTTGATGTGAAGATATACCCGTTTCGAAGGAAGGCCACAAAGTGGTCCAAATATCCACTTGCAGATTCTACAAAAAGAGTGTTTGAAAGCTGAACTATGAAAGCAAGGTTCAACTCTGTGAGTTGAATGCAAACATCACAAAGAAGTTTCTCACAATGCTTCCGTGTAGTTCTGGGAAGTTTATCCCGTTTCCAACGAAATCCTCAGAGAAGTCCAAATATCCACTTGCAGATTCTACAGAAAGTGTGTTTGGAAACTGCTCCATCTAAAGGAATGTTCAGCTCTGTTAGTTCAATCCAATGATCACTAAGAATTGTCTGTGAATGCTTCCGTTTGGTTTTTAGATGAAGTTATTTCCTTTACTACAGTAGGCCTCAAAGCAGTCCAAATCTCCAATCGCAGATTCTACAAAAAGATTGTTTACAACCTGCTCTATCTATAGGAATGTTCAACTCTGTGAGTCGAATGCAATCATCACAAAGTAGTTTCTGAGAATGCTTCCATCTAGTTTTTATGTGAAGATTTTCCTTTTCCACCACAGGCCTCAAAGCCCTCCAAATGTCCACTTGCAGATTCTAGAATAAGAGGGTTTCAGAGCTGCTCTGTCAAGAGGAAAGTTCAATTCTTGAAGTGGAACACAAACATTCACAAAGCAGTTTCTGAGAATGCTCCTGTTTAGTTTTTCTGTGAAGATGAACCCGTTTCCAACGAAATCTTCACAGAGGTCCACATATCCACTTGCAGAATCCAAAGAAAGAGAGTTTCAAAACTGCTCCATCAGCAGGATTGTTCACCTCTGTGAGTTGAATGCAGTCATCACAGGAAACATTCTGAGAATGCTTCTGTCTAGGTTTGATGTGAAGATATAGCCGTTTCGAAGGAAGGCCACAAAGTGGTCCAAATATCCACTTGCAGATTCTACAAAAAGAGTGTTTGAAAGCTGAACTATGAAAGCAAGGTTCAACTCTGTGAGTTGAATGCAAACATCACAAAGAAGTTTCTCACAATGCTTCCGTGTAGTTCTAGGAAGTTTATCCCGTTTCCAACGAAATCCTCAGAGAGGTCCAAATATCCACTTGCAGATTCTACAGAAAGTGTGTTTGGAAACTGCTCCATCTAAAGGAATGTTCAGCTCTGTTAGTTCAATCCAATGATCACTAAGAATTGTCTGTGAATGCTTCCGTTTGGTTTTTAGATGAAGTTATTTCCTTTACTACAGTAGGCCTCAAAGCAGTCCAAATCTCCAATCGCAGATTCTACAAAAACATTGTTTACAACCTGCTCTATCTATAGGAATGTTCAACTCTGTGAGTCGAATGCAATCATCACAAAGTAGTTTCTGAGAATGCTTCCATCTAGTTTTTATGGGAAGATTTTCCTTTTCCACCACAGGCCTCAAAGCCCTCCAAATGTCCACTTGCAGATTCTAGAAAAAGAGGGTTTCAGAGCTGCTCTGTCAAGAGGAAAGTTCAATTCTTGAAGTGGAACACAAACATCACAAAGCAGTTTCTGAGAATGCTCCTGTTTAGTTTTTCTGTGAAGATGAACCCGTTTCCAACGAAATCTTCACAGAGGTCCACATATCCACCTGCAGAATCCAAAGAAAGAGAGTTTCAAAACTGCTCCATCAGCAGGATTGTTCACCTCTGTGAGTTGAATGCAGTCATCACAGGAAACATTCTGAGAATGCTTCTGTCTAGGTTTGATGTGAAGATATACCCGTTTCGAAGGAAGGCCACAAAGTGGTCCAAATATCCACTTGCAGATTCTATAAAAAGAGTGTTTGAAAGCTGAACTATGAAAGCAAGGTTCAACTCTGTGAGTTGAATGCAAACATCACAAAGAAGTTTCTCACAATGCTTCCGTGTAGTTCTGGGAAGTTTATCCCGTTTCCAACGAAATCCTCAGAGAGGTCCAAATATCCACTTGCAGATTCTACAGAAAGTGTGTTTGGAAAGTGCTCCATCTAAAGGAATGTTCAGCTCTGTTAGTTCAATGCAATGATCACTAAGAATTGTCTGTGAATGCTTCCGTTTGGTTTTTAGATGAAGTTATTTCCTTTACTACAGTAGGCCTCAAAGCAGTCCAAATCTCCAATCGCAGATTCTACAAAAAGATTGTTTACAACCTGCTCTATCTATAGGAATGTTCAACTCTGTGAGTCGAATGCAATCATCACAAAGTAGTTTCTGAGAATGCTTCCATCTAGTTTTTATGTGAAGATTTTCCTTTTCCACCACAGGCCTCACAGCCCTCCAAATGTCCACTTGCAGATTGTAGAATAAGAGGGTTTCAGAGCTGCTCTGTCAAGAGGAAAGTTCAATTCCTGAAGTGGAACACAAACATCACAAAGCAGTTTCTGAGAATGTTCCTGTTTAGTTTTTCTGTGAAGATGAACCCGTTTCCAACGAAATCTTCAAAGAGGTTCACATATCCACTTGCAGAATCCAAAGAAAGAGAGTTTCAAAACTGCTCCATCAGCAGGATTGTTCACCTCTGTGAGTTGAATGCAGTCATCACAGGAAACATTCTGAGAATGCTTCTGTCTAGGTTTGATGTGAAGACATACCCGTTTCGAAGGAAGGCCACAAAGTGGTCCAAATATCCACTTGCAGATTCTACAAAAAGAGTGTTTGAAAGCTGAACTATGAAAGCAAGATTCAACTCTGTGAGTTGAATGCAAACATCACAAAGAAGTTTCTCAGAATACTTCCCTGTAGTTCTGGGAAGTTTATCCCGTTTCCAACGAAATCCTCAGAGAAGTCCAAATATCCACTTGCAGATTCTACAGAAAGTGGGTTTGGAAACTGCTCCATCTAAAGGAATGTTCAGCTCTGTTAGTTCAATCCAATGATCACTAAGAATTGTCTGTAAATGCTTCCGTTTGGTTTTTAGATGAAGTTATTTCCTTTACTACAGTAGGCCTCAAAGCAGTCCAAATCTCCAATCGCAGATTCTACAAAAAGATTGTTTACAACCTGCTCTATCTATAGGAATGTTCAACTCTGTGAGTCGAATGCAATCATCACAAAGTAGTTTCTGAGAATGCTTCCATCTAGTTTTTATGTGAAGATTTTCCTTTTCCACCACAGGCCTCAAAGCCCTCCAAATGTCCACTTGCAGATTCTAGAAAAAGAGGGTTTCAGAGCTGCTCTGTCAAGAGGAAAGTTCAATTCTTGAAGTGGAACACAAACATCACAAAGCAGTTTCTGAGAATGCTCCTGTTTAGTTTTTCTGTGAAGATGAACCCCTTTCCAACGAAATCTTCACAGAGGTCCACATATCCACTTGCAGAATCCAAAGAAAGAGAGTTTCAAAACTGCTCCATCAGCAGGATTGTTCACCTCTCTGAGTTGAATGCAGTCATCACAGGAAACATTCTGAGAATGCTTCTGTCTAGGTTTGATGTGAAGATATACCCGTTTCGAAGGAAGGCCACAAAGTGGTCCAAATATCCACTTGCAGATTCTACAAAAAGAGTGTTTGAAAGCTGAACTATGAAAGCAAGGTTCAACTCTGTGAGTTGAATGCAAACATCACAAAGAAGTTTCTCAGAATGCTTCCGTGTAGTTCTGGGAATTTTATCCCTTTTCCAACGAAATCCTCAGAGAAGTCCAAATATCCACTTGCAGATTCTACAGAAAGTGTGTTTGGAAACTGCGCCATCTAAAGGAATGTTCAGCTCTGTTAGTTCAATGCAATGATCACTAAGAATTGTCTGTGAATGCTTCCGTTTGGTTTTTAGATGAAGTTATTTCCTTCACTACAGTAGGCCTCAAAGCAGTCCAAATCTCCAATCGCAGATTCTACAAAAAGATTGTTTACAACCTGCTCTATCTATAGGAATGTTCAACTCTGTGAGTCGAATGCAATCATCACAAAGTAGTTTCTGAGAATGCTTCCATAAAGTTTTTATGTGAAGATTTCCCTTTTCCACCACAGGCCTCAAAGCCCTCCAAATGTCCACTTGCAGATTCTAGAAAAAGAGGGTTTCAGAGCTGCTCTGTCAAGAGGAAAGTTCAATTCTTGAAGTGGAACACAAACATCACAAAGTAGTTTCTGAGAATGCTCCTGTTTAGTTTTTCTGTGAAGATGAACCCGTTTCCAACGAAATCTTCACAGAGGTCCACATATCCACTTGCAGAATCCAAAGAAAGAGAGTTTCAAAACTGCTCCATCAGCAGGATTGTTCACCTCTGTGAGTTGAATGCAGTCATCACAGGAAACATTCTGAGAATGCTTCTGTCTAGGTTTGATGTGAAGATATACCCGTTTCGAAGGAAGGCCACAAAGTGGTCCAAATATCCACTTGCAGATTCTACAAAAAGAGTGTTTGAAAGCTGAACTATGAAAGCAAGGTTCAACTCTGTGAGTTGAATGCAAACATCACAAAGAAGTTTCTCACAATGCTTCCGTGTAGTTCTGGGAACTTTATCCCGTTTCCAACGAAATCCTCAGAGAGGTCCAAATATCCACTTGCAGATTCTACAGAAAGTGTGTTTGGAAACTCCTCCATCTAAAGGAATGTTCAGCTCTGTTAGTTCAATCCAATGATCACTAAGAATTGTCTGTGAATGCTTCCGTTTGGTTTTTAGATGAAGTTATTTCCTTTACTACAGTAGGCCTCAAAGCAGTCCAAATCTCCAATCGCATATTCTACAAAAAGATGGTTTACAACCTGCTCTATCTATAGGAATGTTCAACTCTTTGAGTCGAATGCAATCATCACAAAGTAGTTTCTGAGAATGATTCCATCTAGTTCTTATGTGAAGATTTTCCTTTTCCACCACAGGCCTCAAAGCCCTCCAAATGTCCACTTGCAGATTCTGGAAAAAGAGGGTTTCAGAGCTGCTCTGTCAAGAGGAAAGTGCAATTCTTGAAGTGGAACACAAACATCACAAAGCAGTTTCTGAGAATGCTTCTGTTTAGTTTTTCTGTGAAGATGAACCCCTTTCCAACGAAATCTTCACAGAGGTCCACATATCAACTTGCAGAATCCAAAGAAAGAGAGTTACAAAAGTGCTCCATCAACAGGATTGTTCACCTCTGTGAGTTGAATGCAGTCATCACAGGAAACATTCTGAGAATGCTTCTGTCTAGGTTTGATGTGAAGATATACCCGTTTCGAAGGAAGGCCACAAAGTGGTCCAAATATGCACTTGCAGATTCTACAAAAAGAGTGTTTTAAAGCTGAACTATGAAAACAAGGTTCAAGTCTGTGAGTTGAATGCAAACATCACAAAGAAGTTTCTCACAATGCTTTCCGTGTAGTTCTGGGAAGTTTATCCCGTTTCCAACGAAATCCTCAGAGAAGTCCAAATATCCACTTGCAGATTCTACAGAAAGTGTGTTTGGAAACTGCTCCATCTAAAGGAATGTTCAGCTGTGTTAGTTCAATCCATTGATCACTAAGAATTGTCTGTGAATGCTTCCGTTTGGTTTTTAGATGAAGTTATTTCCTTTACTACAGTAGGCCTCAAAGCAGTCCAAATCTCCAATCGCAGATTCTACAAAAAGATTGTTTACAACCTGCTCTATCTATAGGAATGTTCAACTCTGTGAGTCGAATGCAATCATCACAAAGTAGTTTCTGAGAATGCTTCCATCTAGTTTTTATGTGAAGATTTTCCTTTTCCACCACAGGCCTCAAAGCCCTCCAAATGTCCACTTGCAGATTCTAGAAAAAGAGGGTTTCAGAGCTGCTCTGTCAAGAGGAAAGTTCAATTCTTGAAGTGGAACACAAACATCACAAAGTAGTTTCTGAGAATGCTTCTGTTTAGTTTTTCTGTGAAGATGAACCCGTTTCCAACGAAATCTTCACAGAGGTCCGCATATCAACTTGCAGAATCCAAAGAAAGAGAGTTTCAAAACTGCTCCATCAGCAGGATTGTTCACCTCTGTGAGTTGAATGCAGTCATCACAGAAAACATCCTGAGAATGCTTCTGTCTAGGTTTGATGTGAAGATATACCCGTTTCAAAGGAAGGCCACAAAGTGGTCCAAATATCCACTTGCAGATTCTACAAAAAGAGTGTTTGAAAGCTGAACTATGAAAGCAAGGTTCAACTCTGTGAGTTGAATGCAAACATCACAAAGAAGTTTCTCACAATGCTTCCGTGTAGTTCTGGGAAGTTTATCCCGTTTCCAACGAAATCCTCAGAGAGGTCCAAATATCCACTTGCAGATTCTACAGAAAGTGTGTTTGGAAACTGCTCCATCTAAAGGAATGTTCAGCTCTGTTAGTTCAATCCAATGATCACTAAGAATTGTCTGTGAATGCTTCCGTTTGGTTTTTAGATGAAGTTATTTCCTTTACTACAGTAGGCCTCAAAGCAGTCCAAATCTCCAATCGCAGATTCTACAAAAAGATTGTTTACAACCTGCTCTATCTATAGGAATGTTCAACTCTGTGAGTCGAATGCAATCATCACAAAGTAGTTTCTGAGAATGCTTCCATCTAGTTTTTATGTGAAGATTTTCCTTTTCCACCACAGGCCTCAAAGCCCTCCAAATGTCCACTTGCAGATTCTAGAATAAGAGGGTTTTAGAGCTGCTCTGTCAAGAGGAAAGTTCAATTCCTGAAGTGGAACACAAACATCACAAAGCAGTTTCTGAGAATGCTCCTGTTTAGTTTTTCTGTGAAGATGAACACGTTTCCAACGAAATCTTCACAGAGGTCCACATATCCACTTGCAGAATCCAAAGAAAGAGAGTTTCAAAACTGCTCCATCAGCAGGATTGTTCACCTCTGTGAGTTGAATGCAGTCATCACAGGAAACATTCTGAGAATGCTTCTGTCTAGGTTTGATGTGAAGATATACCCGTTTCGAAGGAAGGCCACAAAGTGGTCCAAATATCCACTTGCAGATTCTACAAAAAGAGGGTTTGAAAGCTGAACTATGAAATCAAGGTTCAACTCTGTGAGTTGAATGCAAACATCACAAAGAAGTTTCTCAGAATGCTTCCGTGTAGTTCTGGGAAGTTTATCCCGTTTCCAACGAAATCCTCAGAGAAGTCCAAATATCCACTTGCAGATTCTACAGAAATTGTGTTTGGAAACTGCTCCATCTAAAGGAATGTTCAGCTCTGTTAGTTCAATCCAATGATCACTAAGAATTGTCTGTGAATGCTTCCGTTTGGTTTTTAGATGAAGTTATTTCCTTTACTACAGTAGGCCTCAAAGCAGTCCAAATCTCCAATCGCAGATTCTACAAAAAGATTGTTTACAACCTGCTCTATCTATAGGAATGTTCAACTCTGTGAGTCGAATGCAATCATCACAAAGTAGTTTCTGAGAATGCTTCCATCTAGTTTTTATGTGAAGATTTTCCTTTTCCACCACAGGCCTCAAAGCCCTCCAAATGTCCACTTGCAGATTCTAGAATAAGAGGGTTTCAGAGCTGCTCTGTCAAGAGGAAAGTTCAATTCCTGAAGTGGAACACAAACATCACAAAGCAGTTTCTGAGAATGCTCCTGTTTAGTTTTTCTGTGAAGATGAACCCGTTTCCAACGAAATCTTCACAGAGGTCCACATATCCACTTGCAGAATCCAAAGAAAGAGAGTTTCAAAACTGCTCCATCAACAGGATTGTTCACCTCTGTGAGTTGAATGCAGTCATCACAGGAAACATTCTGAGAATGCTTCTGTCTAGGTTTGATGTGAAGATATACCCGTTTCGAAGGAAGGCCACAAAGTGGTCCAAATATCCACTTGCCGAATCTACAAAAAGAGTGTTTGAAAGCTGTACTATGAAAGCAAGGTTCAACTCTGTGAGTTGAATGCAAACATCACAAAGAAGTTTCTCAGAATGCTTCCGTGTAGTTCTGGGAAGTTTATCCCGTTTCCAACGAAATCCTCAGAGAAGTCCAAATATCCACTTGCAGATTCTACAGAAAGTGTGTTTGGAAACTGCTCCATCTAAAGGAATGTTCAGCTCTGTTAGTTCAATCCAATGATCACTAAGAATTGTCTGTGAATGCTTCCGTTTGGTTTTTAGATGCAGTTATTTCCTTTACTACAGTAGGCCTCAAAGCAGTCCAAATCTCCAATCGCAGATTCTAGAAAACGATTGTTTACAACCTGCTCTATCTATAGGAATGTTCAACTCTGTGAGTCAAATGCAATCATCACAAAGTAGTTTCTGAGAATGCTTCCATCTAGTTTTTATGTGAAGATTTTCCTTTTCCACCACAGGCCTCAAAGCCCTCCAAATGTCCACTTGCAGATTCTAGAATAAGAGGGTTTCAGAGCTGCTCTGTCAAGAGGAAAGTTCAATTCCTGAAGTGGAACACAAACATCACAAAGCAGTTTCTGAGAATGCTCCTGTTTAGTTTTTCTGTGAAGATGAACCCGTCTCCAACGAAATCTTCAAAGAGGTCCACATATCCACTTGCAGAATCCAAAGAAAGAGAGTTTCAAAACTGCTCCATCAGCAGGATTGTTCACCTCTGTGAGTTGAATGCAGTCATCACAGGAAAACATTCTGAGAATGCTTCTGTCTAGGTTTGATGTGAAGATATACCCGTTTCGAAGGAAGGCCACAAAGTGGTCCAAATATCCACTTGCAGATTCTACAAAAAGAGTGTTTGAAAGCTGAACTATGAAAGCAAGGTTCAACTCTGTGAGTTGAATGCAAACATCACAAAGAAGTTTCTCACAATGCTTCCGTGTAGTTCTGGGAAGTTTAGCCCGTTTCCAACGAAATCCTCAGAGAGGTCCAAATATCCAGTGGCAGATTCTACAGAAAGTGTGTTTGGAAACTGCGCCATCTAAAGGAATGTTCAGCTCTGTTAGTTCAATCCAATGATCACTAAGAATTGTCTGTGAATGCTTCCGTTTGGTTTTTAGATGAAGTTATTTCCTTTACTACAGTAGGCCTCAAAGCAGTCCAAATCTCCAATCGCAGATTCTACAAAAAGATTGTTTACAACGTGCTCTATCTATAGGAATGTTCAACTCTGTGAGTCGAATGCAATCATCACAAAGTAGTTTCTGAGAATGCTTCCATCTAGTTTTTATGTGAAGATTTTCCTTTTCCACCACAGGCCTCAAAGCCCTCCAAATGTCCACTTGCAGATTCTAGAAAAAGAGGGTTTCAGAGCTGCTCTGTCAAGAGGAAAGTTCAATTCTTGAAGTGGAACACAAACATCACAAAGCTGTTTCTGAGAATGCTCCTGTTTAGTTTTTCTGTGAAGATGAACCCGTTTCCAACGAAATCTTCACAGAGGTCCACATATCCACTTGCAGAATCCAAAGAAAGAGAGTTTCAAGACTGCTCCATCAGCAGGATTGTTCACCTCTGTGAGTTGAATGCAGTCATCACAGGAAACATTCTGAGAATGCTTCTGTCTAGGTTTGATGTGAAGATATACCCGTTTCGAAGGAAGGCCACAAAGTGGTCCAAATATCCACTTGCAGATTCCACAAAAAGAGTGTTTGAAAGCTGAACTATGAAAGCAAGGTTCAACTCTGTGAGTTGAATGCAAACATCACAAAGAAGTTTCTCACAATGCTTCCGTGTAGTTCTGGGAAGTTTATCCCGTTTCCAACGAAATCCTCAGAGAGGTCCAAATATCCACTTGCAGATTCTACAGAAAGTGTGTTTGGAAACTGCGCCATCTAAAGGAATGTTCAGCTGCTGTTAGTTCAATCCAATGATCACTAAGAATTGTCTGTGAATGCTTCCGTTTGGTTTTTAGATGAAGTTATTTCCTTTACTACAGTAGGCCTCAAAGCAGTCCAAATCTCCAATCGCAGATTCTACAAAAAGATTGTTTACAACCTGCTCTATCTATAGGAATGTTCAACTCTGTGAGTCGAATGCAATCATCACAAAGTAGTTTCTGAGAATGCTTCCATCTAGTTTTTATGTGAAGATTTTCCTTTTCCACCACAGGCCTCAAAGCCCTCCAAATGTCCACTTGCAGATTCTAGAAAAAGAGGGTTTCAGAGCTGCTCTGTCAAGAGGAAAGTTTAATTCTTGAAGTGGAATACAAACATCACAAAGCAGTTTCTGAGAATGCTTCTGTTTAGTTTTTCTGTGAAGATGAACCCGTTTCCAACGAAATCTTCACAGAGGTCCACATATCAACTAGCAGAATCCAAAGAAAGAGAGTTTCAAAAGTGCTCCATCAACAGGATTGTTCACCTCTGTGAGTTGAATGCAGTCATCACAGGAAACATTCTGAGAATGCTTCTGTCTAGGTTTGATGTGAAGATATACCCGTTTCGAAGGAAGGCCACAAAGTGGTCCAAATATCCACTTGCAGATTCTACAAAAAGAGTGTTTGAAAGCTGAACTATGAAAGCTAGCTTCAACTCTGTGAGTTGAATGCAAACATCACAAAGAAGTTTCTCAGAATGCTTCCCTGTAGTTCTGGGAAGTTTATCCCGTTTCCAACGAAATCCTCAGAGAAGTCCAAATATCCACTTGCAGATTCTACAGAAAGTGTGTTTGGAAACTGCGCCATCTAAAGGAATGTTCAGCTCTGTTAGTTCAATGCAATGATCACTAAGAATTGTCTGTGAATGCTTCCGTTTGGTTTTTAGATGAAGTTATTTCCTTTACTACAGTAGGCCTCAAAGCAGTCCAAATTTCCAATCGCAGATTCTACAAAAAGATTGTTTACAACCTGCTCTATCTATAGGAATGTTCAACTCTGTGAGTCGAATGCAATCATCACAAAGTAGTTTCTGAGAATGCTTCCATCTAGTTTTTATGTGAAGATTTTCCTTTTCCACCACAGGCCTCAAAGCCCTCCAAATGTCCACTTGCAGATTCTAGGAAAACAGGGTTTCAGAGCTGCTCTGTCAAGAGGAAAGTTCAATTCTTGAAGTGGAACACAAACATCACAAAGCAGTTTCTGAGAATGCTCCTGTTTAGTTTTTCTGTGAAGATGAACCGGTTTCCAACGAAATCTTCACAGAGGTCCACATATCCACTTGCAGAATCCAAAGAAAGAGAGTTTCAAAACTGCTCCATCAGCAGGATTGTTCACCTCTGTGAGTTGAATGCAGTCATCACAGGAAACATTCTCAGAATGCTTCTGTCTAGGTTTGATGTGAAGATATACCCGTTTCGAAGGAAGGCCCCAAAGTGGTCCAAATATCCACTTGCATATTCTACAAAAAGAGTGTTTGAAAGCTGAACTATGAAAGCAAGGTTCAACTCTGTGAGTTGAATGCAAACAACACAAAGAATTTTCTCAGAATGCTTCCGTGTAGTTCTGGGAAGTTTATCCCGTTTCCAACGAAATCCTCAGAGAGGTCCAAATATCCACTTGCAGATTCTACAGAAAGTGTGTTTGGAAACTGCTCCATCTAAAGGAATGTTCAGCTCTGTTAGTTCAATCCAATGATCACTAAGAATTGTCTGTGAATGCTTCCGTTTGGTTTTTAGATGAAGTTATTTCGTTTACTACAGTAGGCCTCAAAGCAGTCCAAATCTCCAATCGCAGATTCTACAAAAAGATTGTTTACAACCTGCTCTATCTATAGGAATGTTCAACTCTGTGAGTCGAATGCAATCATCACAAAGTAGTTTCTGAGAATGCTTCCATCTAGTTTTTATGTGAAGATTTTCCTTTTCCACCACAGGCCTCAAAGCCCTCCAAATGTCCACTTGCAGATTCTAGAATAAGAGGGTTTCAGAGCTGCTCTGTCAATAGGAAAGTACAATTCCTGAAGTGGAACACAAACATCACAAAGCAGTTTCTGATAATGCTCCTGTTTAGTTTTTCTGTGAAGATCAACCCGTTTCCAACGAAATCTTCACAGAGGTCCACATATCCACCTGCAGAATCCAAAGAAAGAGAGTTTCAAAACTGCTCCATCAGCAGGATTGTTCACCTCTGTGAGTTGAATGCAGTCATCACAGGAAACATTCTGAGAATGCTTCTGTCTAGGTTTGATGTGAAGATATACCCGTTTCGAAGGAAGGCCACAAAGTGGTCCAAATATCCACTTGCAGATTCTACAAAAAGAGTGTTTGAAAGCTGAACTATGAAAGCAAGGTTCAACTCTGTGAGTTGAATGCAAACATCACAAAGAAGTTTCTCAGAATGCTTCCGTGTAGTTCTGGGAAGTATATCCCGTTTCCAACGAAATCCTCAGAGAAGTCCAAATATCCACTTGCAGATTCTACAGAAAGTGTGTTTGGAAACTGCTCCATCTAAAGGAATGTTCAGCTCTGTTAGTTCAATCCAATGATCACTAAGAATTGTCTGTGAATGCTTCCGTTTGGTTTTTAGATGAAGTTATTTCCTTTACTACAGTAGGCCTCAAAGCAGTCCAAATCTCCAATCGCAGATTCTACAAAAAGATTGTTTACAACCTGCTCTATGTATAGGAATGTTCAACTCTGTGAGTCGAATGCAATCATCACAAAGTAGTTTCTGAGAATGCTTCCATCTAGTTTTTATGTGAAGATTCTCCTTTTCCACCACAGGCCTCAAAGCCCTCCAAATGTCCACTTGCAGATTCTAGAATAAGAGGGTTTCAGAGCTGCTCTGTCAAGAGGAAAGTTCAATTCCTGAAGTGGAACACAAACATCACAAAGCAGTTTCTGAGAATGCTTCTGTTTAGTTTTTCTGTGAAGATGAACCCGTTTCCAACGAAATCTTCACAGAGGTCCACATATCCACTTGCAGAATCCAAAGAAAGAGAGTTTCAAAACTGCTCCATCAACAGGATTGTTCACCTCTGTGAGTTGAATGCAGTCATCACAGGAAACATTCTGAGAATGCTTCTGTCTAGGTTTGATGTGAAGATATACCCGTTTCGAAGGAAGGCCACAAAGTGGTCCAAATATCCAATTGCAGATTCTACAAAAAGAGTGTTTGAAAGCTGAACTATGAAAGCAAGGTTCAACTCTGTGAGTTGAATGCAAACATCACAAAGAAGTTTCTCTGAATGCTTCCGTGTAGTTCTGGGAAGTTTATCCCGTTTCCAACGAAATCCTCAGAGAGGTCCAAATATCCACTTGCAGATTCTACAGAAAGTGTGTTTGGAAACTGCGCCATCTAAAGGAATGTTCAGCTCTGTTACTTCAATCCAATGATCACTAAGAATTGTCTGTGAATGCTTCCGTTTGGTTTTTAGATGAAGTTATTTCCTTTACTACAGTAGGCCTCAAAGCAGTCCAAATCTCCAATCGCATATTCTACAAAAAGATGGTTTACAACCTGCTCTATCTATAGGAATGTTCAACTCTTTGAGTCGAATGCAATCATCACAAAGTAGTTTCTGAGAATGATTCCATCTAGTTCTTATGTGAAGATTTTCCTTTTCCACCACAGGCCTCAAAGCCCTCCAAATGTCCACTTGCAGATTCTGGAAAAAGAGGGTTTCAGAGCTGCTCTGTCAAGAGGAAAGTGCAATTCTTGAAGTGGAACACAAACATCACAAAGCAGTTTCTGAGAATGCTCCTGTTTAATTTTTCTGTGAAGATGAACCCGTTTCCAAGGAAATCTTCACAGAGGTCCACATATCCACTTGCAGAATCCAAAGAAAGAGAGTTTCAAAACTGCTCCATCAGCAGGATTGTTCACCTCTGTGAGTTGAATGCAGTCATCACAGGAAACATTCTGAGAATGCTTCTGTCTAGGTTTGATGTGAAGATATACCCGTTTCGAAGGAAGGCCAGAAAGTGGTCCAAATATCCACTTGCAGATTCTACAAAAAGAGTGTTTGAAAGCTGAACTATGAAAGCAAGGTTCAACTCTGTGAGTTGAATGCAAACATCACAAAGAAGTTTCTCAGAATGCTTCCGTGTAGTTCTGGGAAGTTTATCCCGTTTCCAACGAAATCCTCAGAGAGGTCCAAATATCCACTTGCAGATGCTACAGAAAGTGTGTTTGGAAACTGCGCCATCTAAAGGAATGTTCAGCTCTGTTAGTTCAATGCAATGATCACTAAGAATTGTCTGTGAATGCTTCCGTTTGGTTTTCAGATGAAGTTATTTCCTTTACTACAGTAGGCCTCAAAGCAGTCCAAATCTCCAATCGCAGATTCTACAAAAAGATTGTTTACAACCTGCTCTATCTATAGGAATGTTCAACTCTGTGAGTCGAATGCAATCATCACAAAGTAGTTTCTGAGAATGCTTCCATCTAGTTTTTATGTGAAGATTTTCCTTTTCCACCACAGGCCTCAAAGCCCTCCAAATGTCCACTTGCAGATTCTAGAAAAAGAGGGTTTCAGAGCTGCTCTGTCAAGAGGAAAGTTCAATTCTTGAAGTGGAACACAAACATCACAAAGTAGTTTCTGAGAATGCTTCTGTTTAGTTTTTCTGTGAAGATGAACCCGTTTCCAACGAAATCTTCACAGAGGTCCACATATCCACTTGCAGAATCCAAAGAAAGAGAGTTTCAAAACTGCTCCATCAGCAGGATTGTTCACCTCTGTGAGTTGAATGCAGTCATCACAGGAAACATTCTGAGAATGCTTCTGTCTAGGTTTGATGTGAAGATATACCCGTTTCGAAGGAAGGCCACAAAGTGGTCCAAATATCCACTTGCAGATTCTACAAAAAGAGTGTTTGAAAGCTGAACTATGAAAGCAAGGTTCACCTCTGTGAGTTGAATGCAAACATCACAAAGAAGTTTCTCAGAATGCTTTCCGTGTAGTTCTGGGAAGTTTATCCCGTTTCCAACGAATTCCTCAGAGAGGTCCAAATATCCACTTGCAGATTCTACAGAAAGTGTGTTTGGAAACTACGCCATCTAAAGGAATGTTCAGCTCTGTTAGATCAATGCAATGATCACTAAGAATTGTCTGTGAATGCTTCCGTTTGGTTTTTAGATGAAGTTATTTCCTTTACTACAGTAGGCCTCAAAGCAGTCCAAATCTCCAATCGCAGATTCTACAAAAAGATTGTTTACAACCTGCTCTATCTATAGGAATGTTCAACTCTGTGAGTCGAATGCAATCATCACAAAGCAGTTTCTGAGAATGCTTCCATCTAGTTTTTATGTGAAGATTTTCCTTTTCCACCACAGGCCTCAAAGCCCTCCAAATGTCCACTTGCAGATTCTAGAAAAAGAGGGTTTCAGAGCTGCTCTGTCAAGAGGAAAGTTCAATTCTTGAAGTGGAACACAAACATCACAAAGCAGTTTCTGAGAATGCTTCTGTTTAGTTTTTCTGTGAAGATGAACCCGTTTCCAACGAAATCCTCAGAGAAGTCCAAATATCCACTTGCAGATTCTACAGAATGTGGGTTTGGAAACTGCTCCATCTAAAGGAATGTTCAGCTCTGTTAGTTCAATCCAATGATCTCTAAGAATTGTCTGTGGATGCTTCCGTTTGGTTTTTAGATGAAGTTATTTGCTTTACTACAGTAGGCCTCAAAGCAGTCCAAATCTCCATGATCGCAGATTCTACAAAAAGATTGTTTACAACCTGCTCTATCTATAGGAATGTTCAACTCTGTGAGTCGAATGCAATCATCACAAAGTAGTTTCTGAGAATGCTTCCGTGTAGTTCTGTGAAGTTTATCCCGTTTCCAACGAAATCCTCAGAGAAGTCCAAATATCCACTTGCAGATTCTACAGAAAGTGGGTTTGGAAACTGCTCCATCTAAAGGAATGTTCAGCTCTGTTAGTTCAATGCAATGATCACTAAGAATTGTCTGTGAATGCTTCCGTTTGGTTTTTAGATGAAGTTATTTCCTTTACTACAGTAGGCCTCAAAGCAGTCCAAATCTCCAATCGCATATTCTACAAAAAGATTGTTTACATCCTGCTCTATCTATAGGAATGTTCAACCCTGTGAGTCGAATGCAGTCATCACAAAGTAGTTTCTGAGTATGCTTCCATCTAGTTTTTATGTGAAGATTTTCCTTTTCCACCACAGGCCTCAAAGCCCTCCAAATGTCCACTTGCAGATTCTAGAAAAAGAGGGTTTCAGAGCTGCTCTGTCAAGAGGAAAGTTCAATTCTTGAAGTGGAACACAAACATCACAAAGCAGTTTCTGAGAATGCTTCTGTTTAGTTTTTCTGTGAAGATGAACCCGTTTCCAACGAAATCTTCACAGAGGTCCACATATCAACTTGCAGAATCCAAAGAAAGAGAGTTTCAAAACTGCTCCATCAACAGGATTGTTCACCTCTGTGAGTTGAATGCAGTCATCACAGGAAACATTCTGAGAATGCTTCTGTCTAGGTTTGATGTGAAGATATACCCGTTTCGAAGGAAGGCCACAAAGTGGTCCAAATATCCACTTGCAGATTCTACAAAAAGAGTGTTTGAAAGCTGAACTATGAAAGCAAGTTTCAACTCTGTGAGTTGAATGCAAACATCACAAAGAAGTTTCTCACAATGCTTCCGTGTAGTTCTGGGAAGTATATCCCGTTTCCAACGAAATCCTCCGAGAAGTCCAAATATCCACTTGCAGATTCTACAGAAAGTGGGTTTGGAAACTGCTCCATCTAAAGGAATGTTCAGCTCTGTTAGATCAATCCAATGATCACTAAGAATTGTCTGTGAATGCTTCCGTTTGGTTTTTAGATGAAGTTATTTCCTTTACTACAGTAGGCCTCAAAGCAGTCCAAATCTCCAATCGCAGATTCTACAAAAAGATTGTTTACAACCTGCTCTATCTATAGGAATGTTCAACTCTGTGAGTCGAATGCAATCATCACAAAGTAGTTTCTGAGAATGCTTCCATCCAGTTTTTATGTGAAGATTTTCCTTTTCCACCACAGGCCTCAAAGCCCTCCAAATGTCCACTTGCAGATTCTAGAAAAAGAGGGTTTCAGAGCTGCTCTGTCAAGAGGAAATTTCAATTATTGAAGTGGAACACAAACATCACAAAGCAGTTTCTGAGAATGCTTCTGTTTAGTTTTTCTGTGAAGATGAACCCGTTTCCAACGAAATCTTCACAGAGGTCCACATATCAACTTGCAGAATCCAAAGAAAGAGAGTTTCAAAACTGCTCCATCAACAGGATTGTTCACCTCTGTGAGTTGAATGCAGTCATCACAGGAAACATTCTGAGAATGCTTCTGTCTAGGTTTGATGTGAAGATATACCCGTTTCGAAGAAAGGCCACAAAGTGGTCCAAATATCCACTTGCAGATTCTACAAAAAGAGTGTTTGAAAGCTGAACTATGAAAGCAAGGTTCAACTCTGTGAGTTGAATGCAAACATCACAAAGAAGTTTCTCAGCATGCTTCCGTGTAGTTCTGGGAAGTTTAGCCCTTTTCCAACGAAATCCTCAGAGAGGTCCAAATATCCACTTGCAGATTCTACAGAAAGTGTGTTTGGAAACTGTGCCATCTAAAGGAATGTTCAGCTCTGTTAGTTCAATCCAATGATCACTAAGAATTTTCTGTGAATGCTTCCGTTTGGTTTTTAGATGAAGTTATTTCCTTTACTACAGTAGGCCTCAAAGCAGTCCAAATCTCCAATCGCAGATTCTACAAAAAGATTGTTTACAACCTGCTCTATCTATAGGAATGTTCAACTCTGTGAGTCGAATGCAATCATCACAAAGTAGTTTCTGAGAATGCTTCCATCTAGTTTTTATGTGAAGATTTTCCTTTTCCACCACAGGCCTCAAAGCCCTCCAAATGTCCACTTGCAGATTCTAGAAAAAGAGGGTTTCAGAGCTACTCTGTCAAGAGGAAAGTTCAATTCCTGAAGTGGAACGCAAACATCACAAAGCAGTTTCTGAGAATTCTCCTGTTTAGTTTTCCTGTGAAGATGAACCCGTTTCCAACGAAATCTTCACAGGAGGTCCACATATCCACTTGCAGAATCCAAAGAAAGAGAGTTCCAAAACTGCTCCATCAGCAGGATTGTTCACCTCTGTGAGTTGAATGCAGTCATCACAGGAAACATTCTGAGAATGCTTCTGTCTAGGTTTGATGTGAAGATATACCCGTTTCGAAGGAAGGCCACAAAGTGGTCCAAATATCCACTTGCAGATTCTACAAAAAGAGTGTTTGAAAGCTGAACTATGAAAGCAAGGTTCAACTCTGTGAGTTGAATGCAAACATCACAAAGAAGTTTCTCAGAATGCTTCCGTGTAGTTCTGGGAAGTTTATCCCGTTTCCAACGAAATCCTCAGAGAGGTCCAAATATCCACTTGCAGATTCTACAGAAAGTGTGTTTGGAAACTGCGCCATCTAAAGGAATGTTCATCTCTGTTAGTTCAATGCAATGATCACTAAGAATTGTCTGTGAATGCTTCCGTTTGGTTTTTAGATGAAGTTATTGCCTTTACTACAGTAGGCCTCAAAGCAGTCCAAATCTCCAATCGCAGATTCTACAAAAAGATTGTTTACAACCTGCTCTATCTATAGGAATGTTCAACTCTGTGAGTCGAATGCAATCATCACAAAGTAGTTTCTGAGAATGCTTCCATCTAGTTTTTATGTGAAGATTTTCCTTTTCCACCACAGGCCTCAAAGCCCTCCAAATGTCCACTTGCAGATTCTAGAAAAAGAGGGTTTCAGAGCTGCTCTGTCAAGAGGAAAGTTCAATTCTTGAAGTGGAACACAAACATCACAAAGCAGTTTCTGAGAATGCTCCTGTTTAGTTTTTCTGTGAAGATGAACCCGTTTCCAACGAAATCTTCACAGAGGTCCACATATCCACTTGCAGAATCCAAAGAAAGAGAGTTTCAAAACTGCTCCATCAGCAGGATTGTTCACCTATGTGAGTTGAATGCAGTCATCACAGGAAACATTCTGAGAATGCTTCTGTCTAGGTTTGATGTGAAGATATACCCGTTTCGAAGGAAGGCCACAAAGTGGTCCAAATATCCACTTGCAGATTCTACAAAAAGAGTGTTTGAAAGCTGAACTGTGAAAGCAAGGTTCAACTCTGTGAGTTGAATGCAAACATCACAAAGAAGTTTCTCAGAATGCTTCCGTGTAGTTCTGGGAAGTTTATCCCGTTTCCAAAGAAATCCTCAGAGAGGTCCAAATATCCACTTGCAGATTCTACAGAAAGTGTGTTTGGAAACTGCTCCATCTAAAGGAATGTTCAGCTCTGTTAGTTCAATCCAATGATCACTAAGAATTTTCTGTGAATGCTTCCGTTTGGTTTTTAGATGAAGTTATTTCCTTTACTACAGTAGGCCTCAAAGCAGTCCAAATCTCCAATCGCAGATTCTACAAAAAGATTGTTTACAACCTGCTCTATGTATAGGAATGTTCAACTCTGTGAGTCGAATGCAATCATCACAAAGTAGTTTCTGAGAATGCTTCCATCTAGTTTTTATGGGAAGATTTTCCTTTTCCACCACAGGCCTCAAAGCCCTCCAAATGTCCACTTGCAGATTCTAGAAAAAGAGGGTTTCAGAGCTGCTCTGTCAAGGGGAAAGTTCAATTCTTGAAGTGGAACACAAACATCACAAAGCAGTTTCTGAGAATGCTCCTGTTTAGTTTTTCTGTGAAGATGAACCCGTTTCCAACGAAATCTTCACAGAGGTCCACATATCAACTTGCAGAATCCAAAGAAAGAGAGTTTCAAAACTACTCCATCAACAGGATTGTTCACCTCTGTGAGTTGAATGCAGTCATCACAGGAAACATTCTGAGAATGCTTCTGTCTAGGTTTGATGTGAAGATATACCCGTTTCGAAGGAAGGCCACAAAGTGGTCCAAATATCCACTTGCAGATTCTACAAAAAGAGTGTTTGAAAGCTGAACTATGAAAGCAAGGTTCAACTCTGTGAGTTGAATGCAAATATCACAAAGAAGTTTCTCACAATGCTTCCGTGTAGTTCTGGGAAGTTTATCCCGTTTCCAACGAAATCCTCAGAGAAGTCCAAATATCCACTTGCAGATTCTACAGAAAGTGTGTTTGGAAACTGCTCCATCTAAAGGAATGTTCAGCTCTGTTAGTTCAATCCAATGATCACTAAGAATTGTGTGTGAATGCTTCCGTTTGGTTTTTAGATGAAGTTATTTCCTTTACTACAGTAGGCCTCAAAGCAGTCCAAATCTCCAATCGCAGATGCTAAAAAAAGATTGTTTACAACCTGCTCTATCTATAGGAATGTTCAACTCTGTGAGTCGAATGCAATCATCACAAAGTAGTTTCTGAGAATGCTTCCATCTAGTTTTTATGTGAAGATTTTCCTTTTCCACCACAGGCCTCAAAGCCCTCCAAATGTCCACTTGCAGATTCTAGAAAAAGAGGGTTTCAGAGCTGCTCTGTCAAGAGGAAAGTTCAATTCTTGAAGTGGAACACAAACATCACAAAGTAGTTTCTGAGAATGCTCCTGTTTAGTTTTTCTGTGAAGATGAACCCGTTTCCAACGAAATCTTCACAGAGGTCCACATATCCACTTGCAGAATCCAAAGAAAGAGAGTTTCAAAACTGCTCCATCAGCAGGATTGTTCACCTCTGTGAGTTGAATGCAGTCATCACAGGAAACATTCTGAGAATGCTTCTGTCTAGGTTTGATGTGAAGATATACCCGTTTCGAAGGAAGGCCACAAAGGGGTCCAAATATGTACTTGCAGATTCTACAAAAAGAGTGTTTGAAAGCTGAACTATGAAAGCAAAGTTCAACTCTGTGAGTTGAATGCAAACATCACAAAGAAGTTTCTCAGAATGCTTCCGTGTAGTTCTGGGAAGTTTATCCCTTTTCCAACGAAATCCTCAGAGAGGTCCAAATATCCACTTGCAGATTCTACAGAAAGTGTGTTTGGAAACTGCGCCATCTAAAGGAATGTTCAGCTCTGTTAGTTCAATCCAATGATCTCTAAGAATTGTCTGTGAATGCTTCCCGTTTGGTTTTTAGATGAAGTTATTTCCTTTACTACAGTAGGCCTCAAAGCAGTCCAAATCTCCAATCGCAGATTCTACAAAAAGATTGTTTACAACCTGCTCTATCTATAGGAATGTTCAACTCTGTGAGTCGAATGCAATCATCACAAAGTAATTTCTGAGAATGCTTCCATCTAGTTTTTATGGGAAGATTTTCCTTTTCCACCACAGGCCTCAAAGCCCTCCAAATGTCCACTTGCAGATTCTAGAAAAAGAGGGTTTCAGAGCTGCTCTGTCAAGAGGAAAGTTCAATTCTTGAAGTGGAACACAAACATCACAAAGCAGTTTCTGAGAATGCTTCTGTTTAGTTTTTCTGTGAAGATGAACCCGTTTCCAACGAAATCTTCACAGAGGTCCACATATCCACTTGCAGAATCCAAAGAAAGAGAGTTTCAAAACTGCTCCATCAGCAGGATTGTTCACCTCTGTGAGTTGAATGCAGTCATCACAGGAAACATTCTGAGAATGCTTCTGTCTAGGTTTGATGTGAAGATATACCCGTTTCGAAGGAAGGCCACAAAGTGGTCCAAATATCCACTTGCAGATTCTACAAAAAGAGTGTTTGAAAGCTGAACTATGAAAGCAAGGTTCAACTCTGTGAGTTGAATGCAAACATCACAAAGAAGTTTCTCAGCATGCTTCCGTGTAGATCTGGGAAGTTTATCCCGTTTCCAACGAAATCCTCAGAGAGGTCCAAATATCCACTTGCAGATTCTACAGAAAGTGTGTTTGGAAACTGCGCCATCTAAAAGAATGTTCAGCTCTGTTAGTTCAATGCAATGATCACTAAGAATTGTCTGTGAATGCTTCCGTTTGGTTTTTAGATGAAGTTATTTCCTTTACTACAGTAGGCCTCAAAGCAGTCCAAATCTCCAATCGCAGATTCTACAAAAAGATTGTTTACAACCTGCTCTATCTATAGGAATGTTCAACTCTGTGAGTCGAATGCAATCATCACAAAGTAGTTTCTGAGAATGCTTCCATCTAGTTTTTATGTGAAGATTTTCCTTTTCCACCACAGGCCTCAAAGCCCTCCAAATGTCCACTTGCAGATTCTAGAAAAAGAGGGTTTCAGAGCTGCTCTGTCAAGAGGAAAGTTCAATTCTTGAAGAGGAACACAAACATCACGAAGCAGTTTCTGAGAATGCTCCTGTTTAGTTTTTCTGTGAAGATGAACCCGTTTCCAACGAAATCTTCACAGAGGTCCACATATCCACTTGCAGAATCCAAAGAAAGAGAGTTTCAAAACTGCTCCATCAGCAGGATTGTTCACCTCTGTGAGTTGAATGCAGTCATCACAGGAAACATTCTGAGAATGCTTCTGTCTAGGTTTGATGTGAAGATATACCCGTTTCGAAGGAAGGCCACAAAGTGGTCCAAATATCCACTTGCAGATTCTACAAAAAGAGTGTTTGAAAGCTGAACTATGAAAGCAAGGTTCAACTCTGTGAGTTGAATGCAAACATCACAAAGAAGTTTCTCACAATGCTTCCGTGTAGTTCTGGGAAGTTTATCCCGTTTCCAACGAAATCCTCAGAGAAGTCCAAATATCCACTTGCAGATTCTACAGAAAGTGTGTTTGGAAACTGCGCCATCTAAAGGAATGTTCAGCTCTGTTAGTTCAATGCAATGATCACTAAGAATTGTCTGTGAATGCTTCCGTTTGGTTTTTAGATGAAGTTATTTCCTTTACTACAGTAGGCCTCAAAGCAGTCCAAATCTCCAATCGCAGATTCTACAAAAAGATTGTTTACAACCTGCTCTATGTATAGGAATGTTCAACTCTGTGAGTCGAATGCAATCATCACAAAGTAGTTTCTGAGAATGCTTCCATCTAGTTTTTATGTGAAGATTTTCCTTTTCCACCACAGGCCTCAAAGCCCTCCAAATGTCCACTTGCAGATTCTAGAATAAGAGGGTTTCAGAGCTGCTCTGTCAAGAGGAAAGTTCAATTCCTGAAGTCGAACACAGACATCACACAGCAGTTTCTGAGAATGCTTCTGTTAATTTTTCTGTGAAGATGAACCCGTTTCCAACGAAATCTTCACAGAGGTCCACATATCCACTTCCAGAATCCAAAGAAGGAGAGTTTCAAAACTGCTCCATCAGCAGAATTGTTCACCTCTGTGAGTTGAATGCAGTCATCACAGGAAACATTCTGAGAATGCTTCTGTCTAGGTTTGATGTGAAGATATACCCGTTTCGAAGGAAGGCCACAAAGTGGTCCAAATATCCACTTGCAGATTCTACAAAAAGAGTGTTTGAAAGCTGAACTATGAAAGCAAGGTTCAACTCTGTGAGTTGAATGCAAACATCACAAAGAAGTTTCTCAGAATGCTTCCGTGTAGTTCTGGGAATTTTATCCCGTTTCCATGGAAATCCTCAGAGAAGTCCAAATATCCACTTGCAGATTCTACAGAAAGTGTGTTTGGAAACTGCTCCATCTAAAGGAGTGTTCAGCTCTGTTACTTCAATCCAATGATCACTAAGAATTGTCTGTGAATGCTTCCGTTTGGTTTTTAGATGAAGTTATTTCCTTTACTACAGTAGGCCTCAAAGCAGTCCAAATCTCCAATCGCAGATTCTACAAAAAGATTGTTTACAACCTGCTCTATCTATAGGAATGTTCAACTCTGTGAGTCGAATGCAATCATCACAAAGTAGTTTCTGAGAATGCTTCCATCTAGTTTTTATGTGAAGATTTTCCTTTTCCACCACAGGCCTCAAAGCCCTCCAAATGTCCACTTGCAGATTCTAGAAAAAGAGGGTTTCAGAGCTGCTCTGTCAAGAGGAAAGTTCAATTCCTGAAGTGGAACACAAACCTCACAAAGCAGTTTGTGAGAATGCTCCTGTTTAGTTTTTCTGTGAAGATGAACCCGTTTCCAACGAAATCTTCACAGAGGTCCACATATCCACTTGCAGAATCCAAAGAAAGACAGTTTCAAAACTGCTCCATCAGCAGGATTGTTCACCTCTGTGAGTTGAATGCAGTCATCACAGGAAACATTCTGAGAATGCTTCTGTCTAGGTTTGATGTGAAGATATACCCTTTTCAAAGGAAGGCCACAAAGTGGTCCAAATATCCACTTGCAGATTCTACAAAAAGAGTGTTTGAAAGCTGAACTATGAAAGCAAGGTTCAACTCTGTGAGTTGAATGCAAACATCACAAAGAAGTTTCTCAAAATGCTTCCGTGTAGTTCTGGGAAGTTTATCCCGTTTCCAACGAAATCCTCAGAGAGGTCCAAATATCCACTTGCAGATTCTACAGAAAGTGTGTTTGGAAACTGCGCCATCTAAAGGAATGTTCAGCTCTGTTAGTTCAATGCAATGATCACTAAGGATTGTCTGTGAATGCTTCCGTTTGGTTTTTAGATGAAGTTATTTCCTTTACTACAGTAGGCCTCAATGCAGTCCAAATCTCCAATCGCAGATTCTACAAAAAGATTGTTTACAACCTGCTCTATCTATAGGAATGTTTAACTCTGTGAGTCGAATGCAATCATCACAAAGTAGTTTCTGAGAATGCTTCCATCTAGTTTTTATGTGAAGATTTTCCTTTTCCACCACAGGCCTCAAAGCCCTCCAAATGTCCACTTGCAGATTCTAGAAAAAGAGGGTTTCAGAGCTGCTCTGTCAAGAGGAAAGTTCAATTCTTGAAGTGGAACACAAACATCACAAAGCAGTTTCTGAGAATGTTTCTGTTTAGTTTTTCTGTGAAGATGAACCCGTTTCCAACCAAATCTTCACAGAGGTCCACATATCCACTTGCAGAATCCAAAGAAAGAGAGTTTCAAAACTGCTCCAACAACAGGATTGTTCTCCTCTGTGAGTTGAATGCAGTCATCACAGGAAACATTCTGAGAATGCTTCTGTCTAGGTTTGATGTGAAGATATACCCGTTTCGAAGGAAGGCCACAAAGTGGTCCAAATATCCACTTGCAGATTGTACAAAAAGAGTGTTTGAAAGCTGAACTATGAAAGCAAGGTTCAACTCTGTGAGTTGAATGCAAACATCACAAAGAAGTTTCTCAGAATGCTTCCCTGTAGTTATGGGAAGTTTATCCCGTTTCCAACGAAATATTCAGAGAAGTCCAAATATCCACTTGCAGATTCTACAGAAAGTGGGTTTGGAAACTGCTCCATCTAAAGGAATGTTCAGCTCTGTTAGTTCAATCCAATGATCACTAAGAATTGTCTGTGAATGCTTCCGTTTGGTTTTTAGATGAAGTTATTTCCTTTACTACAGTAGGCCTCAAAGCAGTCCAAATCTCCAATCGCAGATTCTACAAAAAGATTGTTTACAACCTGCTCTATCTATAGGAATGTTCAACTCTGTGAGTCGAATGCAATCATCACAAAGTAGTTTCTGAGAATGCTTCCATCTAGTTTTTATGTGAAGATTTTCCTTTTCCACCACAGGCCTCAAAGCCCTCCAAATGTCCACTTGCAGATTCTAGAATAAGAGGGTTTTAGAGCTGCTCTGTCAAGAGGAAAGTTCAATTCCTGAAGTGGAACACAAACATCACAAAGCAGTTTCTGAGAATGCTCCTGTTTAGTTTTTCTGTGAAGATGAACCCGTTTCCAACGAAATCTTCACAGAGGTCCACATATCCACTTGCAGAATCCAAAGAAAGAGAGTTTCAAAACTGCTCCATCAGCAGGATTGTTCACCTCTGTGAGTTGAATGCAGTCATCACAGGAAACATTCTGAGAATGCTTCTGTCTAGGTTTGATGTGAAGATATACCCGTTTCGAAGGAAGGCCACAAAGTGGTCCAAATATCCACTTGCAGATTCTACAAAAAGAGTGTTTGAAAGCTGAACTATGAAAGCAAGGTTCAACTCTGTGAGTTGAATGCAAACATCACAAAGAAGTTTCTCAGAATGCTTCCGTGTAGTTCTGGGAAGTTTATCCCGTTTCCAACGAAATCCTCAGAGAGGTCCAAATATCCACTTGCAGATTCTACAGAAAGTGTGTTTGGAAACTGCTCCATCTAATGGAATGTTCAGCTCTGTTAGTTCAATCCAATGATCATTAAGAATTGTCTGTGAATGCTTCCGTTTGGTTTTTAGATGAAGTTATTTCCTTTACTACAGTAGGCCTCAAAGCAGTCCAAATCTCCAATCGCAGATTCTACAAAAAGATTGTTTACAACCTGCTCTATCTATAGGAATGTGCAACTCTGTGAGTCGAATGCAATCATCACAAAGTAGTTTCTGAGAATGCTTCCATCTAGTTTTTATGTGAAGATTTTCCTTTTCCACCACAGGCCTCAAAGCCCTCCAAATGTCCACTTGCAGATTCTAGAAAAAGAGGGTTTCAGAGCTGCTCTGTCAAGAGGAAAGTTCAATTCTTGAAGTGGAACAGAAACATCACAAAGCAGTTTCTGGGAATGCTTCTGTTTAGTTTTTCTGTGAAGATGAACCCGTTTCCAACGAAATCTTCACAGAGGTCCACATATCCACTTGCAGAATCCAAAGAAAGAGAGTTTCAAAACTGCTCCATTAGCCGGATTGTTCACCTCTGTGAGTTGAATGCAGTCATCACAGGAAACATTCTGAGAATGCTTCTGTCTAGGTTTGATGTGAAGATATACCCGTTTCGAAGGAAGGCCACAAAGTGGTCCAAATATCCACTTGCAGATTCCACAAAAAGAGTGTTTGAAAGCTGAACTATGAAAGCAAGGTTCCACTCTGTGAGTTGAATGCAAACATCACAAAGAAGTTTCTCAGCATGCTTCCGTGTAGTTCTGGGAAGTTTATCCCGTTTCCAACGAAATCCTCAGAGAAGTCCAAATATCCACTTGCAGATTCTACAGAAAGTGTGTTTGGAAAATGCTCCATCTAAAGGAATGTTCAGCTCTGTTAGTTCAATGCAATGATCACTAAGAATTGTCTGTGAATGCTTCCGTTTGGTTTTTAGATGAAGTTATTTCCTTTACTACAGTAGGCCTCAAAGCAATCCAAATCTCCAATCGCAGATTCTACAAAAACATTGTTTACAACCTGCTCTATCTATAGGAATGTTCAACTCTGTGAGTCGAATGCAATCATCACAAAGTAGTTTCTGAGAATGCTTCCATCTAGTTTTTATGTGAAGATTTTCCTTTTCCACCACAGGCCTCAAAGCCCTCCAAATGTCCACTTGCAGATTCTAGAAAAAGAGGGTTTCAGAGCTGCTCTGTCAAGAGGAAAGTTCAATTCTTGAAGTGGAACACAAACATCACAAAGCAGTTTCTTAGAATACTCCTGTTTAGTTTTTCTGTGAAGATGAACCCGTTTCCAACGAAATCTTCACAGAGGTCCACATATCCACTTGCAGAATCCAAAGAAAGAGAGTTTCAAAACTGCTCCATCAGCAGGATTGTTCACCTCTGTGAGTTGAATGCAGTCATCACAGGAAACATTCTGAGAATGCTTCTGTCTAGGTTTGATGTGAAGATATACCCGTTTCGAAGGAAGGCCACAAAGTGGTCCAAATATCCACTTGCAGATTCTACAAAAAGAGTGTTTGAAAGCTGAACTATGAAACCAAGGTTCAACTCTGTGAGTTGAATGCAAACTTCACAAAGAATTTTCTCAGAATGCTTCCGTGTAGTTCTGGGAAGTTTATCCCGTTTCCAACGAAATCCTCAGAGAGGTCCAAATATCCACTTGCAGATTCTACAGAAAGTGTGTTTGGAAACTGCGCCATCTAAAGGAATGTTCAGCTCTTTTAGTTCAATGCAATGATCACTAAGAATTGTCTGTGAATGCTTCCGTTTGGTTTTTAGATGAAGTTATTTCCTTTACTACAGTAGGCCTCAAAGCAGTCCAAATCTCCAATCGCAGATTCTACAAAAAGATTGTTTACAACCTGCTCTATCTATAGGAATGTTCAACTCTGTGAGTCGAATGCAATCATCACAAAGTAGTTTCTGAGAATGCTTCCATCTAGTTTTTATGTGAAGATTTTCCTTTTCCACCACAGGCCTCAAAGCCCTCCAAATGTCCACTTGCAGATTCTAGAAAAAGAGGGTTTCAGAGCTGCTCTGTCAAGAGGAAAGTTCAATTCTTGAAGTGGAACACAAACATCACAAAGTAGTTTCTGAGAATGCTTCTGTTTAGTTTTTCTGTGAAGATGAACCCGTTTCCAACGAAATCTTCACAGAGGTCCACATATCAACTTGCAGAATACAAAGAAAGAGAGTTTCAAAAGTGCTCCATCAACAGGATTGTTCACCTCTGTGAGTTGAATGCAGTCATCACAGGAAACATTCTGAGAATGCTTCTGTCTAGGTTTGATGTGAAGATATACCCGTTTCGAAAGAAGGCCACAAAGTGGTCCAAATATCCACTTGCAGATTCTACAAAAAGAGTGTTTGAAAGCTGAACTATGAAAACAAGGTTCAACTCTGTGAGTTGAATGCAAACATCACAAAGAAGTTTCTCAGAATGCTTCCGTGTAGTTCTGGGAAGTTTATCCCGTTTCCAACGAAATCCTCAGAGAGGTCCAAATATCCACTTGCAGATTCTACAGAAAGTGTGTTTGGAAACTGCGCCATCTAAAGGAATGTTCAGCTCTGTTAGTTCAATGCAATGATCACTAAGGATTGTCTGTGAATGCTTCCGTTTGGTTTTTAGATGAAGTTATTTCCTTTACTACAGTAGGCCTCAAAGCAATCCAAATCTCCAATCGCAGATTCTACAAAAACATTGTTTACAACCTGCTCTATCTATAGGAATGTTCAACTCTGTGAGTCGAATGCAATCATCACAAAGTAGTTTCTGAGAATGCTTCCATCTAATTTTTATGTGAAGATTTTCCTTTTCCACCACAGGCCTCAAAGCCCTCCAAATGTCCACTTGCAGATTCTAGAAAAAGAGGGTTTCAGAGCTGCTCTGTCAAGAGGAAAGTTCAATTCTTGAAGTGGAACACAAACATAACAAAGCAGTTTCTGAGAATGCTCCTGTTTAGTTTTTCTGTGAAGATGAACACGTTTCCAACGAAATCTTCACAGAGGTCCACATATCCACTTGCAGAATCCATAGAAAGAGAGTTTCAAAACTGCTCCATCAGCAGGATTGTTCACCTCTGTGAGTTGAATGCAGTCATCACAGGAAACATTCTGAGAATGCTTCTGTCTAGGTTTGATGTGAAGATATACCCGTTTCGAAGGAAGGCCACAAAGTGGTCCAAATATCCACTTGCAGATTCTACAAAAAGAGTGTTTGAAAGCTGAACTATGAAAGCAAGGTTCAACTCTGTGAGTTGAATGCAAACATCACAAAGAAGTTTCTCAGAATGCTTCCGTGTAGTTCTGGGAAGTTTATCCCGTTTCCAACGAAATCCTCAGAGAGGTCCAAATATCCAGTTGCAGATTCTACCGAAAGTGTGTTTGGAATCTGCTCCATCTAAAGGAATGTTCAGCTCTGTTAGTTCAATCCAATGATCACTAAGAATTGTCTGTGAATGCTTCCGTTTGGTTTTTAGATGAAGTTATTTCCTTTACTACAGTAGGCCTCAAAGCAGTCCAAATCTCCAATCGCACATTCTACAAAAAGATTGTTTACAACCTGCTCTATCTATAGGAATATTCAACTCTGTGAGTCGAATGCAATCATCACAAAGTAGTTTCTGAGAATGCTTCCATCTAGTTTTTATGTGAAGATTTTCCTTTTCCACCACAGGCCTCAAAGCCCTCCAAATGTCCACTTGCAGATTCTAGAAAAAGAGGGTTTCAGAGCTGCTCTGTCAAGAGGAAAGTTCAATTCTTGAAGTGGAACACAAACATCACAAAGCAGTTTCTGAGAATGCTCCTGTTTAGTTTTTCTGTGAAGATGAACCCGTTTCCAACGAAATCTTCACAGAGGTCCACATATCCACTTGCAGAATCCAAAGAAAGAGAGTTTCAAAACTGCTCCATCAGCAGGATTGTTCACCTCTGTGAGTTGAATGCAGTCATCACAGGAAACATTCTGAGAATGCTCTGTCTAGGTTTGATGTGAAGATATACCCGTTTCGAAGGAAGGCCACAAAGTGGTCCAAATATCCACTTGCAGATTCTACAAAAAGAGTGTTTGAAAGCTGAACTATGAAAGCAAGGTTCAACTCTGTGAGTTGAATGCAAACATCACAAAGAAGTTTCTCAGAATGCTTTCCGTGTAGTTCTGGGAAGTTTATCCCGTTTCCAACGAAATCCTCAGAGAAGTCCAAATATCCACTTGCAGATTCTACAGAAAGTGTGTTTGGAAACTGCGCCATCTAAAGGAATGTTCAGCTCTGTTAGTTCAATGCAATGATCACTAAGAATTGTCTGTGAATGCTTCCGTTTGGTTTTTAGATGAAGTTATTTCCTTTACTACAGTAGGCCTCAAAGCAGTCCAAATCTCCAATCGCAGATTCTACAAAAACATTGTTTACAACCTGCTCTATCTATAGGAATGTTCAACTCTGTGAGTCGAATGCAATCATCACAAAGTAGTTTCTGAGAATGCTTCCATCTAGTTTTTATGTGAAGATTTTCCTTTTCCACCACAGGCCTCAAAGCCCTCCAAATGTCCACTTGCAGATTCTAGAATAAGAGGGTTTTAGAGCTGCTCTGTCAAGAGGAAAGTTCAATTCCTGAAGTGGAACAC
This sequence comes from Homo sapiens, assembly GCF_000001405.40. Classification (NCBI taxonomy): domain Eukaryota; kingdom Metazoa; phylum Chordata; class Mammalia; order Primates; family Hominidae; genus Homo; species Homo sapiens. The sequence continues at coordinate 53,761,202 of NC_000011.10, read as the reverse complement.
AAACATCACAAAGCAGTTTCTGAGAATGCTTCTGTTTAGTTTTTCTGTGAAGATGAACCCGTTTCCAACGAAATCTTCACAGAGGTCCACATATCAACTTGCAGAATCCAAAGAAAGAGAGTTTCAAAAGTGCTCCATCAACAGGATTGTTCACCTCTGTGAGTTGAATGCAGTCATCACAGGAAACATTCTGAGAATGCTTCTGTCTAGGTTTGATGTGAAGATATACCCGTTTCGAAGGAAGGCCACAAAGTGGTCCAAATATCCACTTGCAGATTCTACAAAAAGAGTGTTTGAAAGCTGAACTATGAAAGCAAGGTTCAACTCTGTGAGTTGAATGCAAACATCACAAAGAAGTTTCTCAGAATGCTTCCCTGTAGTTCTGGGAAGTTTATCCCGTTTCCAACGAAATCCTCAGAGAAGTCCAAATATCCACTTGCAGATTCTACAGAAAGTGTGTTTGGAAACTGCTCCATCTAAAGGAAGGTTCAGCTCTGTTAGTTCAATCCAATGATCACTAAGAATTGTCTGTGAATGCTTCCGTTTGGTTTTTAGATGAAGTTATTTCCTTTACTACAGTAGGCCTCAAAGCAGTCCAAATCTCCAATCGCAGATTCTACAAAAAGATTGTTTACAACCTGCTCTATCTATAGGAATGTTCAACTCTGTGAGTCGAATGCAATCATCACAAAGTAGTTTCTGAGAATGCTTCCATCTAGTTTTTATGTGAAGATTTTCCTTTTCCACCACAGGCCTCAAAGCCCTCCAAATGTCCACTTGCAGATTCTAGAAAAAGAGGGTTTCAGAGCTGCTCTGTCAAGAGGAAAGTTCAATTCTTGAAGTGGAACACAAACATCACAAAGTAGTTTCTGAGAATGCTCCTGTTTAGTTTTTCTGTGAAGATGAACCCGTTTCCAACGAAATCTACACAGAGGTCCACATATCCACTTGCAGAATCCAAAGAAAGAGAGTTTCAAAACTGCTCCATCAGCAGGATTGTTCACCTCTGTGAGTTGAATGCAGTCATCACAGGAAACATTCTGAGAATGCTTCTGTCTAGGTTTGATGTGAAGATATACCCGTTTCGAAGGAAGGCCACAAAGTGGTCCAAATATCCACTTGCAGATTCTACAAAAAGAGTGTTTGAAAGCTGAACTATGAAAGCAAGGTTCAACTCTGTGAGTTGAATGCAAACATCACAAAGAAGTTTCTCACAATGCTTCCGTGTAGTTCTGGGAAGTTTATCCCGTTTCCAACGAAATCCTCAGAGAGGTCCAAATATCCACTTGCAGATTCTACAGAAAGTGTGTTTGGAAACTGCGCCATCTAAAGGAATGTTCAGCTCTGTTAGTTCAATGCACTGATCACTAAGAATTGTCTGTGAATGCTTCCGTTTGGTTTTTAGATGAAGTTATTTCCTTTACTACAGTATGCCTCAAAGCAGTCCAAATCTCCAATCGCAGATTCTACAAAAAGATTGTTTACAACCTGCTCTATCTATAGGAATGTTCAACTCTGTGAGTCGAATGCAATCATCACAAAGTAGTTTCTGAGAATGCTTCCATCTAGTTTTTATGTGAAGATTTTCCTTTTCCACCACAGGCCTCAAAGCCCTCCAAATGTCCACTTGCAGATTCTAGAAAAAGAGGGTTTCAGAGCTGCTCTGTCAAGAGGAAAGTTCAATTCTTGAAGTGGAACAGAAACATCACAAAGCAGTTTCTGGGAATGCTTCTGTTTAGTTTTTCTGTGAAGATGAACCCGTTTCCAACGAAATCTTCACAGAGGTCCACATATCCACTTGCAGAATCCAAAGAAAGAGAGTTTCAAAACTGCTCCTTCAGCAGGATTGTTCACCTCTGTGAGTTGAATGCAGTCATCACAGGAAACATTCTGAGAATGCTTCTGTCTAGGTTTGATGTGAAGATATACCCGTTTCGAAGGAAGGCCACAAATGGTCCAAATATCCACTTGCAGATTCTACAAAAAGAGTGTTTGAAAGCTGAACTATGAAAGCAAGGTTCAACTCTGTGAGTTGAATGCAAACATCACAAAGAAGTTTCTCAGAATGCTTCCCTGTAGTTCTGGGAAGTTTATCCCGTTTCCAACGAAATCCTCAGAGAAGTCCAAATATCCACTTGCAGATTCTACAGAAAGTGTGTTTGGAAACTGCTCCATCTAAAGGAATGTTCAGCTCTGTTAGTTCAATCCAATGATCACTAAGAATTGTCTGTGAATGCTTCCGTTTGGTTTTTAGATGAAGTTATTTCCTTTACTACAGTAGGGCTCAAAGCAGTCCAAATCTCCAATCGCAGATTCTACAAAAAGATTGTTTACAACCTGCTCTATCTATAGGAATGTTCAACTCTGTGAGTCGAATGCAATCATCACAAAGTAGTTTCTGAGAATGTTTCCATCTAGTTTTTATGTGAAGATTTTCCTTTTCCACCACAGGCCTCAAAGCCCTCCAAATGTCCACTTGCAGACTCTAGAAAAAGAGGGTTTCAGAGCTGCTCTCTCAAGAGGAAAGTTCAATTCTTGAAGTGGAACACAAACATCACAAAGTAGTTTCTGAGAATGCTTCTGTTTAGTTTTTCTGTGAAGATGAACCCGTTTCCAACGAAATCTTCACACAGGTCCACATATCTACTTGCAGAATCCAAAGAAAGAGAGTTTCAAAAGTGCTCCATCAACAGGATTGTTCACCTCTGTGAGTTGAATGCAGTCATCACAGGAAACATTCTGAGAATGCTTCTGTCTAGGTTTGATGTGAAGATATACCCGTTTGGAAGGAAGGCCACAAAGTGGTCCAAATATCCACTTGTAGATTCTACAAAAAGAGTGTTTGAAAGCTGAACTATGAAAGCAAGGTTCAACACTGTGAGTTGAATGCAAACATCCAAAGAAGTTTCTCACAATGCTTCCGTGTAGTACTGGGAAGTTTATCCCGTTTCCAACGAAATCCTCAGAGAGGTCCAAATATCCACTTGCAGATTCTACAGAAAGTGTGTTTGGAAACTGCGCCATCTACAGGAATGTTCAGCTCTGTTAGTTCAATGCAATGATCACTAAGAATTGTCTGTGAATGCTTCCGTTTGGTTTTTAGATGAAGTTATTTCCTTTACTACAGTAGGCCTCAAAGCAGTCCAAATCTCCAATCGCAGATTCTACAAAAAGATTGTTTACAACCTGCTCTATCTATAGGAATGTTCAACTCTGTGAGTCGAATGCAATCATCACAAAGTAGTTTCTGAGAATGCTTCCATCTAGTTTTTATGTGAAGATTTTCCTTTTGCACCACAGGCCTAAAAGCCCTCCAAATGTCCACTTGCAGATTCTAGAAAAAGAGGGTTTCAGAGCTGCTCTGTCAAGAGGAAAGTTCAATTCTTGAAGTGGAACACAAACATCACAGAGCAGTTTCTGAGAATGCTTCTGTTTAGTTTTTCTGTGAAGATGAACCCGTTTCCAACGAAATCTTCACAGAGGTCCACATATCCACTTGCAGAATCCAAAGAAAGAGAGTTTCAAAACTGCTCCATCAGCAGCATTGTTCACCTCTGTGAGTTGAATGCAGTCATCACAGGAAACATTCTGAGAATGCTTCTGTCTAGGTTTGATGTGAAGATATACCCGTTTCGAAGGAAGGCCACAAAGTGGTCCAAATATCCACTTGCAGATTCTACAAAAAGAGTGTTTGAAAGCTGAACTATGAAAGCAAGGTTCAACTCTGTGAGTTGAATGCAAACATCACAAAGAAGTTTCTCAGAATGCTTCCGTGTAGTTCTGGGAAGTTTATCCCGTTTCCAACGAACTCCTCAGAGAGGTCCAAATATCCACTTGCAGATTCTACAGAAAGTGTGTTTGGAAACTGCTCCATCTAAAGGAATGTTCAGCTCTGTTAGTTCAATCCAATGATCACTAAGAATTGTCTGTGAATGCTTCCGTTTGGTTTTTAGATGAAGTTATTTCCTTTACTACAGTAGGCCTCAAAGCAGTCCAAATCTCCAATCGCAGATTCTACAAAAAGATTGTTTACAACCTGCTCTATCTATAGGAATGTTCAACTCTGTGAGTCGAATGCAATCATCACAAAGTAGTTTCTGAGAATGCTTCCATCTAGTTTTTATGTGAAGATTTTCCTTTTCCACCACAGGCCTCAAAGCCCTCCAAATGTTCACTTGCAGATTCTAGAAAAAGAGGGTTTCAGAGCTGCTCTGTCAAGAGGAAAGTTCAATTCCTGAAGTGGAACACAAACATCACAAAGCAGTTTCTGAGAATGCTTCTGTTTAGTTTTTCTGTGAAGATGAACCCGTTTCCAACGAAATCTTCACAGAGGTCCACATATCAACTTGCAGAATCCAAAGAAAGAGAGTTTCAAAACTGCTCCATCAACAGGATTGTTCACCTCTGTGAGTTGAATGCAGTCATCACAGGAAACATTCTGAGAATGCTTCTGTCTAGGTTTGATGTGAAGATATACCCGTTTCGAAGGAAGGCCACAAAGTTGTCCAAATATCCACTTGCAGATTCTACAAAAAGAGTGTTTGAAAGCTGAACTATGAAAGCAAGGTTCAACTCTGTGAGTTGAATGCAAACATCACAAAGAAGTTTCTCAGCATGCTTCCGTGTAGTTCTGGGAAGTTTATCCCGTTTCCAACGAAATCCTCAGAGAGGTCCAAATATCCACTTGCAGATTCTACAGAAAGTGGGTTTGGAAACTGCGCCATCTAAAGCAATGTTCAGCTCTGTTAGTTCAATGCAATGATCACTAAGAATTGTCTGTGAATGCTTCCGTTTGGTTTTTAGATGAAGTTATTTCCTTTACTACAGTAGGCCTCAAAGCAGTCCAAATCTCCAATCGCAGATTCTACAAAAAGATTGTTTACAACCTGGTCTATCTATAGGAATTTTCAACTCTGTGAGTCGAATGCAATCATCACAAAGTAGTTTCTGAGAATGCTTCCATGTAGATTTTATGTGAAGATTTTCCTTTTTCACCACAGGCCTCAAAGCTCTCCAAATGTCCACTTGCAGATTCTACAAAAAGAGGGTTTCAGAGCTGCTCTGTCAAGAGGAAAGTTCAATTCCTGAAGTGGAACACAAACATCACAAAGCAGTTTCTGAGAATGCTCCTGTTTAGTTTTTCTGTGAAGATGAACCCGTTTCCAACGAAATCTTCACAGAGGTCCACATATCCACTTGCAGAATCCAAAGAAAGAGAGTTTCAAAACTGCTCCATCAGCAGGATTGTTCACCTCTGTGAGTTGAATGCAGTCATCACAGGAAACATTATGAGAATGCTTCTGTCTAGGTTTGATGTGAAGATATACCCGTTTCGAAGGAAGGCCACAAAGTGGTCCAAATATCCACTTGCAGATTCTACAAAAAGAGTGTTTGAAAGCTGAACTATGAAAGCAAGGTTCAACTCTGTGAGTTGAATGCAAACATCACAAAGAAGTTTCTCACAATGCTTCCGTGTAGTTCTGGGAAGTTTATCCCGTTTCCAACGAAATCCTCAGAGAGGTCCAAATATCCACTTGCAGATTCTACAGAAAGTGTGTTTGGAAACTGCGCCATCTAAAGGAATGTTCAGCTCTGTTAGTTCAATGCCATGATCACTAAGAATTGTCTGTGAATGCTTCCGTTTGGTTTTTAGATGAAGTTATTTTCTTTACTACAGTAGGCCTCAAAGCAGTCCAATTCTCCAATCGCAGATTCTACAAAAAGATTGTTTACAACCTGCTCTATCTATAGGAATGTTCAACTTTGTGAGTCGAATGCAATCATCACAAAGTAGTTTCTGAGAATGCTTCCATCTAGTTTGTATGTGAAGATTTTCCTTTTCCACCACAGGCCTCAAAGCCCTCCAAATGTCCACTTGCAGATTCTAGAATAAGAGGGTTTCAGAGCTGCTCTGTCAAGAGGAAAGTTCAATTCTTTAAGTGGAACACAAACATCACAAAGCAGTTTCTGAGAATGCTCCTGTTTAGTTTTTCTGTGAAGATGAACCCGTTTCCAACGAAATCTTCACAGAGGTCCAAATATCCACTTGCAGAATCCAAAGAAAGAGAGTTTCAAAACTGCTCCATCAACAGGATTGTTCACCTCTGTGAGTTGAATGCAGTCATCACAGGAAACATTCTGAGAATGCTTCTGTCTAGGTTTGATGTGAAGATATACCCGTTTCGAAGGAAGGCCACAAAGTGGTCCAAATATCCACTTGCAGATTCTACAAAAAGAGTGTTTGAAATCTGAACTATGAAAGCAAGGTTCAACTCTGTGAGTTGAATGCAAACATCACAAAGAAATTTCTCACAATGCTTCCGTGTAGTTCTGGGAAGTTTATCCCGTTTCCAAAGAAATCCTCAGAGAAGTCCAAATATCCACTTGCAGATTCTACAGAAAGTGTGTTTGGAAACTGCTCCATCTAAAGGAATGTTCAGCTCTGTTAGTTCAATGCAATGATCACTAAGAATTGTCTGTGAATGCTTCCCTTTGGTTTTTAGATGAAGTTATTTCCTTTACTACAGTAGGCCTCAAAGCAGTCCAAATCTCCAATCGCAGATTCTACAAAAAGATTGTTTACAACCTGCTCTATCTATAGGAATGTTCAACTCTGTGAGTCGAATGCAATCATCACAAAGTAGTTTCTGAGAATGCTTCCATCTAGTTTTTATGTGAAGATTTTCCTTTTCCACCACAGGCCTCCAAGCCCTCCAAATGTCCACTTGCAGATTCTAGAAAAAGAGGGTTTCAGAGCTGCTCTGTCAAGAGGAAAGTTCAATTCTTGAAGTGGAACACAAACATCACAAAGTAGTTTCTGAGAATGCTTCTGTTTAGTTTTTCTGTGAAGATGAACCCGTTTCCAACGAAATCTTCACAGAGGTCCACATATCCACTTGCAGAATCCAAAGAAGAGAGTTTCAAAAGTGCTCCATCAGCAGGATTGTTCACCTCTGTGATTTGAATGCAGTCATCACAGGAAACATTCTGAGAGTGCTTCTGTCTAGGTTTGATGTGAAGATATACCCGTTTCGAAGGAAGGCCACAAAGTGGTCCAAATATCCACTTGCAGATTCTACAAAAAGAGTGTTTGAAAGCTGAACTATGAAAGCAAGGTTCAACTCTGTGAGTTGAATGCAAACATCACAAAGAAGTTTCTCACAATGCTTCCGTGTAGTTCTGGGAAGTTTATCCCGTTTCCAACGAAATCGTCAGAGAGGTCCAAATATCCACTTGCAGATTCTAAAGAAAGTGTGTTTGGAAACTGCGCCATCTAAAGGAATGTTCAGCTCTGTTAGTTCAATCCAATGATCACTAAGAATTGTCTGTGAATGCTTCCGTTTGGTTTTTAGATGAACTTATTTCCTTTACTACAGTAGGCCTCAAAGCAGTCCAAATCTCCAATCGCAGATTCTACAAAAAGATTGTTTACAACCTGCTCTATCTATAGGAATGTTCAACTCTGTGAGTCGAATGCAATCATCACAAAGTAGTTTCTGAGAATGCTTCCATCTAGTTTTTATGTGAAGATTTTCCTTTTCCACCACAGGCCTCAAAGCCCTCCAAATGTCCACTTGCAGATTCTAGAAAAAGAGGGTTTCAGAGCTGCTCTGTCAAGAGGAAAGTTAAATTCTTGAAGTGGAACACAAACATCACAAAGCAGTTTCTGGGAATGCTCCTGTTTAGTTTTTCTGTGAAGATGAACCCGGTTCCAACAAAATGATCACAAAGCTCCACATATCCACTTGCAGAATCCAAAGAAAGAGAGTTTCAAAACTGCTCCATCAGCAGGATTTTTCACCTCTGTGAGTTGAATGCAGTCATCACAGGAAACATTCTGAGAATGCTTCTGTCTAGGTTTGATGTGAAGATATACCCGTTTCGAAGGAAGGCCAGAAAGTGGTCCAAATATCCACTTGCAGATTCTACAAAAAGAGTGTTTGAAAGCTGAACTATGAAAGCAAGGTTCAACTCTGTGAGTTGAATGCAAACATCACAAAGAAGTTTCTCAGAATGCTTCCGTGTAGTTCTGGGAAGTTTATCCCTTTTCCAACGAAATCCTCAGAGAGGTCCAAATATCCACTTGCAGATTCTACAGAAAGTGTGTTTGGAAACTGCTCCATCTAAAGGAATGTTCAGCTCTGTTAGTTCAATGCAATGATCACTAAGAATTGTCTGTGAATGCTTCCGTTTGGTTTTTAGATGAAGTTATTTCCTTTACTACAGTAGGCCTCAAAGCAGTCCAAATCTCCAATCGCAGATTCTACAAAAAGATTGTTTACAACCTGCTCTATCGATAGGAATGTACAACTCTGTGAGTCGAATGCAATCATCACAGAGTAGTTTCTGAGAATGCTTCCATCTAGTTTTTATGTGAAGATTTTCCTTTTCCACCACAGTCCTCAAAGCCCTCCAAATGTCCACTTACAGATTCTAGAAAAAGAGGGTTTCAGAGCTGCTCTGTCAAGAGCAAAGGTCAATTCTTGAAGTGGAACACAAACATCACAAAGCAGTTTCTGAGAATGCTCCTGTTTAGTTTTTCTGTGAAGATGAACCCGTTTCCAACGAAATCTTCACAGAGGTCCACATATCCACTTGCAGAATCCAAAGAAAGAGAGTTTCAAAACTGCTCCATCAGCAGGATTGTTCACCTCTGTGAGTTGAATGCAGTCATCACAGGAAACATTCTGAGAATGCTTCTGTCTAGGTTTGATGTGAAGATATACCCGTTTCGAAGGAAGGCCACAAAGTGGTCCAAATATCCACTTGCAGATTCTACAAAAAGAGTGTTTGAAAGCTGAACTATGAAAGCAAGGTTCAACTCTGTGAGTTGAATGCAAACATCACAAAGAAGTTTCTCAGAATGCTTCCTTGTAGTTCTGGGAAGTTTATCCCGTTTCCAACTAAATCCTCAGAGAGGTCCAAATATCCACTTGCAGATTCTACAGAAAGTGTGTTTGGAAACTGCGCCATCTAAAGGAATGTTCAGCTCTGTTAGTTCAATCCAATGATCACTAAGAATTGTCTGTGAATGCTTCCGTTTGGTTTTTAGATGAAGTTATTTCCTTTACTACAGTAGGCCTCAAAGCAGTCCAAATCTGCAATCGCAGATTCTACAAAAAGATTGTTTACAACCTGCTCTATCTATAGGAATGTTCAACTCTTTGAGTCGAATGCAATCATCACAAAGTAGTTTCTGAGAATGCTTCCATCTAGTTTTTATGTGAAGATTTTCCTTTTCCACCACAGGCCTCAAAGCCCTCCAAATGTCCACTTGCAGATTCTAGAAAAAGAGGGTTTCAGAGCTGCTCTGTCAAGAGGAAAGTTCAATTCCTGAAGTGGAACACAAACATCACAAAGCAGTTTCTGAGAATGCTTCTGTTTAGTTTTTCTGTGAAGATGAACCCGTTTCCAACGAAATCTTCACAGAGGTCCACATATCCACTTGCAGAATCCAAAGAAAGAGAGTTTCAAAACTGCTCCATCAGCAGGATTGTTCACCTCTGTGAGTTGAATGCAGTCATCACAGGAAACATTCTGAGAATGCTTCTGTCTAGGTTTGATGTGAAGATATACCCGTTTCGAAGGAAGGCCACAAAGTGGTCCAAATATCCACTTGCAGATTCTACAAAAAGAGTGTTTGAAAGCTGAACTATGAAAGCAAGGTTCAACTCTGTGAGTTGAATGCAAACATCACAAAGAAGTTTCTCAGAATGCTTCCGTGTAGTTCTGGGAAGTTTATCCCGTTTCCAACGAAATCCTCAGAGAAGTCCAAATATCCACTTGCAGATTCTACAGAAAGTGTGTTTGGAAAATGCTCCATCTAAAGGAATGTTCAGCTCTGTTAGTTCAATCCAATGATCACTAAGAATTGTCTGTGAATGCTTCCGTTTGGTTTTTAGATGAAGTTATTTCCTTTACTACAGTAGGCCTCAAAGCAGTCCAAATCTCCAATCGCAGATTCTACAAAAACATTGTTTACAACCTGCTCTATCTATAGGAATGTTCAACTCTGTGAGTCGAATGCAATCATCACAAAGTAGTTTCTGAGAATGCTTCCATCTAGTTTTTATGTGAAGATTTTCCTTTTCCACCACAGGCCTCAAATCCCTACAAATGTCCACTTGCAGATTCTAGAATAAGAGGGTTTCAGAGCTGCTCTGTCAAGAGGAAAGTTCAATTCCTGAAGTGGAACACAAACATCACAAAGCAGTTTCTGAGAATGCTCCTGTTTAGTTTTTCTGTGAAGATGAACCCGTTTCCAACGAAATCTTCACAGAGGTCCACATATCCACTTGCAGAATCCAAAGAAAGAGAGTTTCAAAACTGCTCCATCAGCAGGATTGTTCACCTCTGTGAGTTGAATGCAGTCATCACAGGAAACATTCTGAGAATGCTTCTGTCTAGGTTTGATGTGAAGATATACCCGTTTCCAAGGAAGGCCACAAAGTGGTCCAAATATCCACTTGCAGATTCTACAAAAGGAGTGTTTGAAAGCTGAACTATGAAAGCAAGGTTCAACTCTGTGAGTTGAATGCAAACATCACAAAGAAGTTTCTCACAATGCTTCCGTGTAGTTCTGGGAAGTTTATCCCGTTTCCAACGAAATCCTCAGAGAAGTCCAAATATCCACTTGCAGATTCTACAGAAAGTGTGTTTGGAAACTGCTCCATCTAAAGGAATGTTCAGCTCTGTTAGTTCAATCCAATGATCACTAAGAATTGTCTGTGAATGCTTCCGTTTGGTTTTTAGATGAAGTTATTTCCTTTACTACAGTAGGCCTCAAAGCAGTCCAAATCTCCAATCGCAGATTCTACAAAAAGATTGTTTACAACCTGCTCTATCTATAGGAATGTTCAACTCTGTGAGTCGAATGCAATCATCACAAAGTAGTTTCTGAGAATGCTTCCATCTAGTTTTTATGTGAAGATTTTTCCTTTTCCACCACAGGCCTCAAATCCCTCCAAATGTCCACTTGCAGATTCTAGAAAAAGAGGGTTTCAGAGCTGCTCTGTCAAGAGGAAATTTCAATTCTTGAAGTGGAACACAAACATCACAAAGCAGTTTCTGAGAATGCTCCTGTTTAGTTTTTCTGTGAAGATGAACCCGTTTCCAACGAAATCTTCACAGAGCTCCACATATCCACTTGCAGAATCCAAAGAAAGAGAGTTTCAAAACTGCTCCATCAGCAGGATTGTTCACCTCTGTGAGTTGAATGCAGTCATCACAGGAAACATTCTGAGAATGCTTCTGTCTAGGTTTGATGTGAAGATATACCCGTTTCGAAGGAAGGCCACAAAGTGGTCCAAATATCCACTTGCAGATTCTACAATAAGAGTGTTTGAAAGCTGAACTATGAAAGCAAGGTTCAACTCTGTGAGTTGAATGCAAACATCCCAAAGAAGTTTCTCAGAATACTTCCGTGTAGTTCTAGGAAGTTTATCCCGTTTCCAACGAAATCCTCAGAGAGGTCCAAATATCCACTTGCAGATTCTACAGAAAGTGTGTTTGGAAACTGCTCCATCTAAAGGAATGTTCAGCTCTGTTAGTTCAATCCAATGATCACTAAGAATTGTCTGTGAATGCTTCCGTTTGGTTTTTAGATGAAGTTATTTCCTTTACTACAGTAGGCCTCAAAGCAGTCCAAATCTCCAATCGCAGATTCTACAAAAAGATTGTTTACAACCTGCTCTATCTATAGGAATGTTCAACTCTGTGGGTCGAATGCAATCATCACAAAGTAGTTTCTGAGAATGCTTCCATGTAGTTTTTATGTGAAGATTTTCCTTTTCCACCACAGGCCTCAAAGCCCTCCAAATGTCCACTTGCAGATTCTAGAAAAAGAGGGTTTCAGAGCTGCTCTGTCAAGAGGAAAGTTCAATTCTTGAAGTGGAACACAAACATCACAAAGCAGTTTCTGAGAATGCTTCTGTTTAGTTTTTCTGTGAAGATGAACCCGTTTCCAACGAAATCTTCACAGAGGTCCACATATCCACTTGCAGAATCCAAAGAAAGAGAGTTTCAAAACTGCTCCATCAGCAGGATTGTTCACCTCTGTGAGTTGAATGCAGTCATCACAGGAAACATTCTGAGAATGCTTCTGTCTAGGTTTGATGTGAAGATATACCCGTTTCGAAGGAAGGCCACAAAGTGGTCCAAATATCCACTTGCAGATTCTACAAAGAGTGTTTGAAAGCTGAACTATGAAAGCAAGGTTCAACTCTGTGAGTTGAATGAAAACATCACAAAGAAGTTTCTCAGAATGCTTCCGTGTAGTTCTGGGAAGTTTATCCCGTTTCCAACGAAATCCTCAGAGAAGTCCAAATATCCACTTGCAGATTCTACAGAAAGTGTGTTTGGAAACTGCGCCATCTAAAGGAATGTTCAGCTCTGTTAGTTCAATGCAATGATCACTAAGAATTGTCTGTGAATGCTTCCGTTTGTTTTTTAGATGAAGTTATTTCCTTTACTACAGTAGGCCTCAAAGCAGTCCAAATCTCCAATCGCAGATTCTACAAAAAGATTGTTTACAACCTGCTCTATCTATAGGAATGTCCAACTCTGTGAGTCGAATGCAATCATCACAAAGTAGTTTCTGAGAATGCTTCCATCTAGTTTTTATGTGAAGATTTTCCTTTTCCACCACAGGCCTCAAAGCCCTCCAAATGTCCACTTGCAGATTCTAGATTAAGAGGGTTTCAGAGCTGCTCTGTGAAGAGGAAAGTTCAATTCCTGAAGTGGAACACAAACATCACAAAGCAGTTTCTGAGAATGCTCCTGTTTAGTTTTTCTGTGAAGATGAACCCGTTTCCAACGAAATCTTCACAGAGGTCCACATATCCACTTGCAGAATCCAAAGAAAGAGAGTTTCAAAACTGCTCCATCAGCAGGATTGTTCACCTCTGTGAGTTGAATGCAGTCATCACAGGAAACATTCTGAGAATGCTTCTGTCTAGGTTTGATGTGAAGATATACCCGTTTCGAAGGAAGGCCACAAAGTGGTCCAAATATCCACTTGCAGATTCTACAAAAAGAGTGTTTGAAAGCTGAACTATGAAAGCAAGGTTCAACTCTGTGAGTTGAATGCAAACATCACAAAGAAGTTTCTCAGAATGCTTCCGTGTAGTTCTGGGAAGTTTATCCCGTTTCCAACGAAATCCTCAGAGAAGTCCAAATATCCACTTGCAGATTCTACAGAAAGTGTGTTTGGAAACAGCGCCATCTAAAGGAGTGTTCAGCTCTGTTAGTTCAATCCAATGATCACTAAGAATTGTCTGTGAATGCTTCCGTTTGGTTTTTAGATGAAGTTATTTCCTTTACAACAGTAGGCCTCAAAGCAGTCCAAATCTCCAATCGCAGATTCTACAAAAAGATTTCTTACAACCTGCTCTATCTATAGGAATGTTCAACTCTGTGAGTCGAATGCAATCATCACAAAGTAGTTTCTGAGAATGCTTCCATCTAGTTTTTATGTGAAGAGTTTCCTTTTCCACCACAGGCCTCAAAGCCCTCCAAATGTCCACTTGCAGATTCTAGAAAAAGAGGGTTTCAGAGCTGCTCTGTCAAGAGGAAAGTTCAATTCCTGAAGTGGAACACAAACATCACAAAGCAGTTTATGAGAATGCTTCTGTTTAGTTTTTCTGTGAAGATGAACCCGTTTCCAACGAAATCTTCACAGAGGTCCACATATCCACTTGCAGAATCCAAAGAAAGAGAGTTTCAAAACTGCTCCATCAGCAGGATTGATCACCTCTGTGAGTTGAATGCAGTCATCACAGGAAACATTCTGAGAATGCTTCTGTCTAGATTTGATGTGAAGATATACCCGTTTCGAAGGAAGGCCACAAAGTGGTCCAAATATCCACTTGCAGATTCTACAAAAAGAGGGTTTGAAAGCTGAACTATGAAAGCAAGGTTCAACTCTCTGAGTTGAAAGCAAACATCACAAAGAAGTTTCTCAGAATGCTTTCCGTGTAGTTCTGGGAAGTTTATCCCGTTTCCAACGAAATCCTCAGAGAAGTCCAAATATCCACTTGCAGATTCTACAGAAAGTGTGTTTGGAAACAGCGCCATCTAAAGGAGTGTTCAGCTCTGTTAGTTCAATCCAATGATCACTAAGAATTGTCTGTGAATGCTTCCGTTTGGTTTTTAGATGAAGTTATTTCCTTTACTACAGTAGGCCTCAAAGCAGTCCAAATTTCCAATCGCAGATTCTACAAAAAGATTGTTTACAACCTGCTCTATCTATAGGAATGTTCAACTCTGTGAGTCGAATGCAATCATCACAAAGTAGTTTCTGAGAATGCTTCCATCTAGTTTTTATGTGAGGATTTTCCTTTTCCACCACAGGCCTCAAAGCCCTCCAAATGTCCACTTGCAGATTCTAGAAAAAGAGGGTTTCAGAGCTGCTCTGTCAAGAGGAAAGTTCAATTCCTGAAGTCGAACACAAACATCACACAGCAGTTTCTGAGAATGCTTCTGTTTAGTTTTTCTGTGAAGATGAACCCGTTTCCAACGAAATCTTCACAGAGGTCCACATATCCACTTGCAGAATCCAAAGAAAGAGAGTTTCAAAACTGCTCCATCAGCAGGATTGTTCACCTCTGTGAGTTGAATGCAGTCATCACAGGAAACATTCTGAGAATGCTTCTGTCTAGGTTTGATGTGAAGATATACCCGTTTCGAAGGAAGGCCACAAAGTGGTCCAAGTATCCACTTGCAGATTCTACAAAAAGAGTGTTTGAAAGCTGAACTATGAAAGCAAGGTTCAACTCTGTGAGTTGAATGCAAACATCCAAAGAAGTTTCTCAGAATGCTTCCGTGTAGTTCTGGGAAGTTTATCCCGTTTCCAACGAAATCCTCAGAGAGGTCCAAATATCCACTTGCAGATTCTACAGAAAGTGTGTTTGGAAACTGCGCCATCTAAAGGAATGTTCAGCTCTGTTAGTTCAATGCAATGATCACTAAGAATTGTCTGTGAATGCTTCCGTTTGGTTTTTAGATGAAGTTATTTCCGTTACTACAGTAGGCCTCAATGCAGTCCAAATCTCCAATCGCAGATTCTACAAAAAGATTGTTTACAACCTGCTCTATCTATAGGAATGTTCAACTCTGTGAGTCGAATGCAATCATCACAAAGTAGTTTCTGAGAATGCTTCCATCTAGTTTTTATGTGAAGATTTTCCTTTTCCACCACAGGCCTCAAAGCCCTCCAAATGTCCACTTGCAGATTCTAGAATAAGAGGGTTTCAGAGCTGCTCTGTCAAGAGGAAAGTTCAATTCCTGAAGTGGAACACAAACATCACAAAGCAGTTTCTGAGAATGCTTCTGTTTAGTTTTTCTGTGAAGATGAACCCGTTTCCAACGAAATCTTCACAGAGGTCCACATATCCACTTGCAGAATCCAAAGAAAGAGAGTTTCAAAACTGCTCCATCAGCAGGATTGTTCACCTCTGTGAGTTGAATGCAGTCATCACAGGAAACATTCTGAGAATGCTTCTGTCTAGGTTTGATGTGAAGATATACCCGTTTCGAAGGAAGGCCACAAAGTGGTCCAAATATCCACTTGCAGATTCTACAAAAAGAGTGTTTGAAAGCTGAACTATGAAAGCAAGGTTCAACTCTGTGAGTTGAATGCAAACATCACAAAGAAGTTTCTCCCAATGCTTCCGTGTAGTTCTGGGAAGTTTATCCCGTTTCCAACGAAATCCTCAGAGAAGTCCAAATATCCACTTGCAGATTCTACAGAAAGTGTGTTTGGAAACTGCTCCATCTAAAGGAATGTTCAGCTCTGTTAGTTCAATCCAATGATCACCAAGAATTGTCTGTGAATGCTTCCGTTTGGTTTTTAGATGAAGTTATTTCCTTTACTACAGTAGGCCTCAAAGCAGTCCAAATCTCCAATCGCAGATTCTACAAAAAGATTGTTTACAACCTGCTCTATCTAAAGGAATGTTCAACTCTGTGAGTCGAATGCAATCATCACAAAGTAGTTTCTGAGAATGCTTCCATCTAGTTTTTATGTGAAGATTTTCCTTTTCCACCACAAGCCTCAAAGCCCTCCAAATGCCCACTTGCAGATTCTAGAAAAAGAGGGTTTCAGAGCTGCTCTGTCAAGAGGAAAGTTCAATTCTTGAAGTGGAACACAAACATCACAAAGCAGTTTCTGAGAATGCTCCTGTTTAATTTTTCTGTGAAGATGAACCCGTTTCCAAAGAAATCTTCACAGAGGTCCACATATCCACTTGCAGAATCCAAAGAAAGAGAGTTTCAAAACTGCTCCATCAGCAGGATTGTTCACCTCTGTGAGTTGAATGCAGTCATCACAGGAAACATTCTGAGAATGCTTCTGTCTAGGGTTGATGTGAAGATATACCCGTTTCGAAGGAAGGCCACAAAGTGGTCCAAATATCCACTTGCAGATTCTACAAAAAGAGTGTTTGAAAGCTGAACTATGAAAGCAAGGTTCAACTCTGTGAGTTGAATGCAAACATCACAAAGAAGTTTCTCAGAATGCTTCCATGTAGTTCTGGGAAGTTTATCCCGTTTCCAACGAAATCCTCAGAGAAGTCCAAATATCCACTTGCAGATTCTACAGAAAGTGGGTTTGGAAACTGCTCCATCTAAAGGAATGTTCAGCTCTGTTAGTTCAATCCAATGATCACTAAGAATTGTCTGTGAATGCTTCCGTTTGGTTTTTAGATGAAGTTATTTCCTTTACTACAATAGGCCTCAAAGCAGTCCAAATCTCCAATCGCACATTCTACAAAAAGATTGTTTACAACCTGCTCTATGTATAGGAATATTCAACTCTGTGAGTCGAATGCAATCATCACAAAGTAGTTTCTGAGAATGCTTCCATCTAGTTTTTATGTGAAGATTTTCCTTTTCCACCACAGGCCTCAAAGCCCTCCAAATGTCCACTTGCAGATTCTAGAAAAAGAGGGTTTCAGAGCTGCTCTGTCAAGAGGAAAGTTCAATTCTTGAAGTGGAACACAAACATCACAAAGCAGTTTCTGAGAATGCTCCTGTTTAGTTTTTTTGTGAAGATGAACCCGTTTCCAACGAAATCTTCACAGAGGTCCACATATCCACTTGCAGAATCCAAAGAAAGAGAGTTTCAAAACTGCTCCATCAGCAGGATTGTTCACCTCTGTGAGTTGAATGCAGTCATCACAGGAAACATTCTGAGAATGCTTCTGTCTAGGTTTGATGTGAAGATATACCCGTTTCGAAGGAAGACCACAAAGTGGTCCAAATATCCACTTGCAGATTCTACAAAAAGAGTGTTTGAAAGCTTAACTATGAAAGCAAGGTTCAACTCTGTGAGTTGAATGCAAACATCACAAAGAAGTTTCTCAGAATGCTTCCGTGTAGTTCTGGGAAGTTTATCCCGTTTCCAACGAAATCCTCAGAGAAGTCCAAATATCCACTTGCAGATTCTACAGAAAGTGTGTTTGGAAACTGCTCCATCTAAAGGAATGTTCAGCTCTGTTAGTTCAATCCAATAGATCACTAAGAATTGTCTGTGAATGCTTCCGTTTGGTTTTTAGATGAAGTTATTTCCTTTACTACAGTAGGCCTCAAAGCAATCCAAATCTCCAATCGCAGATTCTACAAAAACATTGTTTACAACCTGCTCTATCTATAGGAATGTTCAACTGCTGTGAGTCGAATGCAATCATCACAAAGTAGTTTGCTGAGAATGCTTCCATCTAGTTTTTATGTGAAGATTTTCCTTTTCCACCGCAGACCTCAAAACCCTCCAAATGTCCACTTGCAGATTCTAGAAAAAGAGGGTTTCAGAGCTGCTCTGTCAAGAGGAAAGTTCAATTCTTGAAGTGGAACACAAACATCACAAAGCAGTTTCTGAGAATGCTTCTGTTTAGTTTTTCTGTGAAGATGAACCCGTTTCCAACGAAATCTTCACAGAGGTCCACATATCCACTTGCAGAATCCAAAGAAAGAGAGTTTCAAAACTGCTCCATCAGCAGGATTGTTCACCTCTGTGAGTTGAATGCAGTCATCACAGGAAACATTCTGAGAATGCTTCTGTCTAGGTTTGATGTGAAGATATACCCGTTTCGAAGGAAGGCCACAAAGTGGTCCAAATATCCACTTGCAGATTCTACAAAAAGAGTGTTTGAAAGCTGAACTATGAAAGCAAGGTTCAACTCTGTGAGTTGAATGCAAACATCACAAAGAAGTTTCTCAGAATACTTCCGTGTAGTTCTGGGAAGTTTATCCCGTTTCCAACGAAATCCTCAGAGAAGTCCAAATATCCACTTGCAGATTCTACAGAAAGTGGGTTTGGAAACTGCTCCATCTAAAGGAATGTTCAGCTCTGTTAGTTCAATCCAATGATCACTAAGTATTGTCTGTGAATGCTTCCGTTTGGTTTTTAGATGAAGTTATTTCCTTTACTACAGTAGGCCTCAAAGCAGTCCAAATCTCCAATCGCAGATTCTACAAAAAGATTGTTTACAACCTGCTCTATCTATAGGAATGTTCAACTCTGTGAGCCGAATGCAATCATCACAAAGTAGTTTCTGAGAATGCTTCTATCTAGGTTTTATGTGAAGATATTTCCTTTTCCACTGAAGGCCTCCAAGCCCTCCAAATATCCACTTGCAGATTCTAGAAAAAGAGGGTTTCAGAGCTGCTCTGTCAAGAGGAAATTTCAATTCTTGAACTGGAACACAAACATCACAAAGCAGTTTCTGAGAATGCTTCTGTTTACTTTTTATGTGAAGATGAACCCGTTTCCAAGGAAATCTTCAAAGAGGTCCACATATCCACTTGCAGAATCCAAAGAAAGAGCGTTTCAAAACTGCTCCATCAGCAGGATTGTTCAACTCTGTGAGTTGAATGCAGTCATCACAGGAAACATTCTGAGAATGTTTCTGTCTAGGTTTGATGTGAAGATATACCCGTTTCGAAGGAAGGCCACAAAGTGGTCCAAATATCCACTTGCAGATTCTACAAAAAGAGTGTTTGAAAGCTGAACTATGAAAGCAAGGTCCAACTCTGTGAGTTGAATGCAAACATCACAAAGAAGTTTCTCAGAATACTGCTTCCGTGTAGTTCTGGGAAGTTTATCCCGTTTCCAACGAAATCCTCAGAGAGGTCCAAATATCCACTTGCAGATTCTACAGAAAGTGTGTTTGGAAACTGCGCCATCTAAAGGAATGTTCAGCTCTGTTAGTTCAATGCAATGATCACTAAGAATTGTCTGTGAATGCTTCCGTTTGGTTTTTAGATGAAGTTATTTCCTTAACTACAGTAGGCCTCAAAGCAGTCCAAATCTCCAATCGCAGATTCTACAAAAAGATTGTTTACAACCTGCTCTATATATAGGAATGTTCAACTCTGTGAGTCGAATGCAATCATCACAAAGTAGTTTCTGAGAATGCTTCCATCTAGTTTTTATGTGAAGATTTTCCTTTTCCACCACAGGCCTCAAAGCCCTCCAAATGTCCACTTGCAGATTCTAGAAAAAGAGGGTTTCAGAGCTGCTCTGTCAAGAGGAAAGTTCAATTCTTGAAGTGGAACAGAAACATCACAAAGCAGTTTCTGAGAATGCTCCTGTTTAGTTTTTCTGTGAAGATGAACCCGTTTCCAACGAAATCTTCACAGAGGTCCACATATCCACTTGCAGAATCCAAAGAAAGAGAGTTTCAAAACTGCTCCATCAGCAGGATTGTTCACCTCTGTGAGTTGAATGCAGTCATCACAGGAAACATTCTGAGAATGCTTCTGTCTAGGTTTGATGTGAAGATATACCCTTTTCAAAGGAAGGCCACAAAGTGGTCCAAATATCCACTTGCAGATTCTACAAAAAGAGTGTTTGAAAGCTGAACTATGAAAGCAAGGTTCAACTCTGTGAGTTGAATGCAAACATCACAAAGAAGTTTCTCACAATGCTTCCGTGTAGTTCTGGGAAGTTTATCCCGTTTCCAACGAAATCCTCAGAGAAGTCCAAATATCCACTTGCAGATTCTACAGAAAGTGTGTTTGGAAACTGCGCCATCTAAAGGAATGTTCAGCTCTGTTAGTTCAATGCAATGATCACTAAGAATTGTCTGTGAATGCTTCCGTTTGGTTTTTAGATGAAGTTATTTCCTTTACTACAGTAGGCCTCAAAGCAGTCCAAATCTCCAATCGCAGATTCTACAAAAAGATTGTTTACAACCTGCTCTATCTATAGGAATGTTCAACTCTGTGAGTCGAATGCAATCATCACAAAGTAGTTTCTGAGAATGCTTCCATCTAGTTTTTAAGTGAAGATTTTCCTTTTCCACCACAGGCCTCAAAGCCCTCCAAATGTCCACTTGCAGATTCTAGAAAAAGAGGGTTTCAGAGCTGCTCTGTCAAGAGGAAAGTTCAATTCCTGAAGTGGAACACAAACATCACAAAGCAGTTTCTGAGAATGCTTCTGTTTAGTTTTTCTGTGAAGATGAACCCGTTTCCAACGAAATCTTCACAGAGGTCCACATATCCACTTGCAGAATCCAAAGAAAGAGACTTTCAAAACTGCTCCATCAACAGGATTGTTCACCTCTGTGAGTTGAATGCAGTCATCACAGGAAACATTCTGAGAATGCTTCTGTCTAGGTTTGATGTGAAGATATACCCGTTTCGAAGGAAGGCCACAAAGTGGTCCAAATATCCACTTGCAGATTCTACAAAAAGAGTGTTTGAAAGCTGAACTATGAAAGCAATGTTCAACTCTGTGAGTTGAATGCAAACATCACAAAGAAGTTTCTCACAATGCTTCCCTGTAGTTCTGGGAAGTTTATCCCGTTTCCAACGAAATCCTCAGAGAAGTCCAAATATCCACTTGCAGATTCTACAGAAAGTGTGTTTGGAAACTGCTCCATCTAAAGGAATGTTCAGCTCTGTTAGTTCAATCCAATGATCACTAAGAATTGTCTGTGAATGCTTCCGTTTGGTTTTTAGATGAAGTTATTTCCTTTACTACAATAGGCCTCAAAGCAGTCCAAATCTCCAATCGCAGATTCTACAAAAAGATTGTTTACAACCTGCTCTATCTATAGGAATGTTCAACTCTGTGAGTCGAATGCAATCATCACAAAGTAGTTTCTGAGAATGCTTCCATAAAGTTTTTATGTGAAGATTTTCCTTTTCCACCACAGGCCTCAAAGCCTTCCAAATGTCCACTTGCAGATTCTAGAAAAAGAGGGTTTCAGAGCTGCTCTGTCAAGAGGAAAGTTCAATTCTTTAAGTGGAACACAAACATCACAAAGCAGTTTCTGAGAATGCTTCTGTTTAGTTTTTCTGTGAAGATGAACCCGTTTCCAACGAAATCTTCACAGAGGTCCACATATCCACTTGCAGAATCCAAAGAAAGAGAGTTTCAAAACTGCTCCATCAGCAGGATTGTTCACCTCTGTGAGTTGAATGCAGTCATCACAGGAAACATTCTGAGAATGCTTCTGTCTAGGTTTGATGTGAAGATATACCCGTTTCGAAGGAAGGCCACAAAGTGGTCCAAATATCCACTTGCAGATTCTACAAAAAGAGTGTTTGAAAGCTGAACTATGAAAGCAAGGTTCAACTCTGTGAGTTGAATGCAAACATCACAAAGAAGTTTCTCACAATGCTTCCGTGTAGTTCTGGGAAGTTTATCCCGTTTCCAACGAAATCCTCAGAGAAGTCCAAATATCCACTTGCAGATTCTACAGAAAGTGGGTTTGGAAACTGCTCCATCTAAAGGAATGTTCAGCTCTGTTAGTTCAATCCAATGATCACTAAGAATTGTCTGTGAATGCTTCCGTTTGGTTTTTAAATGAAGTTATTTCCTTTACTACAGTAGGCCTCAAAGCAGTCCAAATCTCCAATCGCAGATTCTACAAAAAGATTGTTTACAACCTGCTCTATCTATAGGAATGTTCAACTCTGTGAGTCGAATGCAATCATCACAAAGTAGTTTCTGAGAATGATTCCATCTAGTTTTTATGTGAAGATTTTCCTTTTCCACCACAGGCCTCAAAGCCCTCCAAATGTCCACTTGCAGATTCTAGAAAAAGAGGGTTTCAGAGCTGCTCTGTCAAGAGGAAAGTTCAATTCTTGAAGTGGAACACAAACATCACAAAGTAGTTTCTGAGAATGCTCCTGTTTAGTTTTTCTGTGAAGATGAACCCGTTTCCAACGAAATCTTCACAGACGTCCACATATCCACTTGCAGAATCCAAAGAAAGAGAGTTTCAAAACTGCTCCATCAGCAGGATTGTTCACCTCTGTGAGTTGAATGCAGTCATCACAGGAAACATTCTGAGAATGCTTCTGTCTAGGTTTGATGTGAAGATATACCCGTTTCGAAGGAAGGCCACAAAGTGGTCCAAATATCCACTTGCAGATTCTACAAAAAGAGTGTTTGAAAGCTGAACTATGAAAGCAAGGTTCAACTCTGTGAGTTGAATGCAAACATCACAAAGAAGTTTCTCAGAATGCTTCCGTGTAGTTCTGGGAAGTTTATCCCGTTTCCAAGGAAATCCTCAGAGAGGTCCAAATATCCACTTGCAGATTCTACAGAAAGTGTGTTTGGAAACTGCGCCATCTAAAGGAATGTTCAGCTCTGTTAGTTCAATGCAATGATTACTAAGAATTGTCTGTGAATGCTTCCGTTTGGTTTTTAGATGAAGTTATTTCCTTTACTACAGTAGGCCTCAAAGCAGTCCAAATCTCCAATCGCAGATTCTACAAAAAGATTGTTTACAACCTGCTCTATCTATAGGAATGTTCAACTCTGTGAGTCGAATGCAATCATCACAAAGGAGTTTCTGAGAATGCTTCCATCTAGTTTTTATGTGAAGATTTTCCTTTTCCACCACAGGCCTCAAAGCCCTCCAAATGTCCACTTGCAGATTCTAGAAAAAGAGGGTTTCAGAGCTGCTCTGTCAAGAGGAAAGTTCAATTCTTGAAGTGGAACACAAACATCACAAAGCAGTTTCTGAGAATGCTTCTGTTTAGTTTTTCTGTGAAGATGAACCCGTTTCCAACGAAATCTTCACAGAGGTCCACATATCCACTTGCAGAATCCAAAGAAAGAGAGTTTCAAAACTGCTCCAACAGCAGGATTGTTCACCTCTGTGAGTTGAATGCAGTCATCACAGGAAACATTCTGAGAATGCTTCTGTCTAGGTTTGATGTGAAGATATACCCGTTTCGAAGGAAGGCCACAAAGTGGTCCAAATATCCACTTGCAGCTTCTACAAAAAGAGTGTTTGAAAGCTGAACTATGAAAGCAAGGTTCAACTCTGTGAGTTGAATGCAAACATCACAAAGAAGTTTCTCACAATGCTTCCGTGTAGTTCTGGGAAGCATATCCCGTTTCCAACGAAATCCTCAGAGAGGTCCAAATATCCACTTGCATATTCTACAGAAAGTGGGTTTGGAAACTGCTCCATCTAAAGGAATGTTCAGCTCTGTTAGTTCAATCCAATGATCACTAAGCATTGTCAGTGAATGCTTCCGTTTGGTTTTTAGATGAAGTTATTTCCTTTACTACAGTAGGCCTCAAAGCAGTCCAAATCTCCAATCGCAGATTCTACAAAAAGATTGTTTACAACCTGCTCTATCTATAGGAATGTTCACCTCTGTGAGTCGAATGCAATCATCACAAAGTAGTTTCTGAGAATGCTTCCATCTAGTTTTTATGTGAATATTTTCCTTTTCCACCACAGGCCTCAAAGCCCTCCAAATGTCCACTTGCAGATTCTAGAAAAAGAGGGTTTCAGAGCTGCTCTGTCAAGAGGAAAGTTCAATTCTTGAAGTGGAACACAAACATCACAAAGCAGTTTCTGAGAATGCTTCTGTTTAGTTTTTCTGTGAAGATGAACCCGTTTCCAACGAAATCTTCACAGAGGTCCACATATCCACTTGCAGAATCCAAAGAAAGAGAGTTTTAAAACTGCTCCATCAGCAGGATTGTTCACCTCTGTGAGTTGAATGCAGTCATCACAGGAAACATTCTGAGAATGCTTCTGTCTAGGTTTGATGTGAAGATATACCCGTTTCGAAGGAAGGCCACAAAGTGGTCCAAATATCCACTTGCAGATTCTACAAAAAGAGTGTTTGAAAGCTGAACTATGAAAGCAAGGTTCAACTCTGTGAGTTGAATGCAAACATCACAAAGAAGTTTCTCACAATGCTTCCGTGTAGTTCTGGGAAGTTTATACCGTTTCCAACGAAATCCTCAGAGAAGTCCAAATATCCACTTGCAGATTCTACAGAAAGTGTGTTTGGAAACTGCTCCATCTAAAGGAATGTTCAGCTCTGTTAGTTCAATGCAATGATCACTAAGAATTGTCTGTGAATGCTTCCGTTTGGTTTTCAGATGAAGTTATTTCCTTTACTACAGTAGGCCTCAAAGCAGTCCAAATCTCCAATCGCAGATTCTACAAAAAGATTGTTTACAACCTGCTCTATCTATAGGAATGTTCAACTCTGTGAGTCGAATGCAATCATCACAAAGTAGTTTCTGAGAATGCTTCCATCTAGTTTTTATGTGAAGATTTTCCTTTTCCACCACAGGCCTCAAAGCCCTCCAAATGTCCACTTGCAGATTCTAGAAAAAGAGGGTTTCAGAGCTGCTCTGTCAAGAGGAATGTTCAATTCCTGAAGTGGAACACAAACATCACAAAGCAGTTTCTGAGAATGCTCCTGTTTACTTTTTCTGTGAAGATGAACCCGTTTCCAACGAAATCTTCACAGAGGTCCACATATCCACTTGCAGAATCCAAAGAAAGAGAGTTTCAAAACTGCTCCATCAGCAGGATTGTTCACCTTTGTGAGTTGAATGCAGTCATCACAGGAAACATTCTGAGAATGCTTCTGTCTAGGTTTGATGTGAAGATATACCCGTTTCGAAGGAAGGCCACAAAGTGGTCCAAATATCCACTTGCAGATTCTACAAAAAGAGTGTTTGAAAGCTGAACTATGAAAGCAAGCTTCAACTCTGTGAGTTGAATGCAAACATCACAAAGAAGTTTCTCACAATGCTTCCGTGTAGTTCTGGGAATTTTATCCCGTTTCCAACGAAATCCTCAGAGAAGTCCAAATATCCACTTGCAGATTCTAGAGAAAGTGTGTTTGGAAACTGCTCCATCTAAAGGAATGTTCAGCTCTGTTAGTTCAATCCAATGATCACTAAGAATTGTCTGTGAATGCTTCCGTTTGGTTTTTAGATGAAGTTATTTCCTTTACTACAGTAGGCCTCAAAGCAGTCCAAATCTCCAATCGCAGATTCTACAAAAAGATTGTTTACAACCTGCTCTATCTATAGGAATGTTCAACTCTGTGAGTCGAATGCAATCATCACAAAGTAGTTTCTGAGAATGCTTCCATCTAGTTTTTATGTGAAGGTTTTCCTTTTCCACCACAGGCCTCAAAGCCCTCCAAATGTCCACTTGCAGATTCTAGAAAAAGAGGGTTTCAGAGCTGCTCTGTCAAGAGGAAAGTTCAATTCCCTGAAGTGGAACAAAAACATCACAAAGCAGTTTCTGAGAATGCTCCTGTTTAGATTTTCTGTGAAGATGAACCCGTTTCCAACGAAATCTTCACAGAGGTCCACATATCCACTTGCAGAATCCAAAGAAAGAGAGTTTCAAAACTGCTCCATCAGCAGGATTGTTCACCTCTGTGAGTTGAATGCAGTCATCACAGGAAACATTCTGAGAATGCTTCTGTCTAGGTTTGATGTGAAGATATACCCGTTTCGAAGGAAGGCCACAAAGTGGTCCAAATATCCACTTTCTGTAGATTCTACAAAAAGAGTGTTTGAAAGCTGAACTATGAAAGCAAGGTTCAACTCTGTGAGTTGAATGCAAACATCACAAAGAAGTTTCTCAGAATGCTTCTGTGTAGTTCTGGGAAGTTTATCCCGTTTCCAACGAAATCCTCAGAGAAGTCCAAATATCCACTTGCAGATTCTACAGAAAGTGTGTTTGGAAACTGCTCCATCTAAAGGAATGTTCCGCTCTGTTAGTTCAATCCAATGATCACTAAGAATTGTCTGTAAATGCTTCCGTTTGGTTTTTAGATGAAGTTATTTCCTTTACTACAGTAGGCCTCAAAGCAGTCCAAATCTCCAATCGCAGATTCTACAAAAAGATTGTTTACAACCTGCTCTATCTATAGGAATGTTCAACTCTGTGAGTCGAATGCAATCATCACAAAGTAGTTTCTGAGAATGCTTCCATCTAGTTTTTATGTGAAGATTTTCCTTTTCCACCACAGGCCTCAAAGCCCTCCAAATGTCCACTTGCATATTCTAGAATAAGAGCGTTTCAGAGCTGCTCTGTCAAGAGGAAAGTTCAATTACTGAAGTGGAACACAAACATCACAAAGCAGTTTCTGAGAATACTTCTGTTTAGTTTTTCTGTGAAGATGAACCCGTTTCCAACGAAATCTTCACAGAGGTCCACATATCAACTTGCGGAATCCAAAGAAAGAGAGTTTGAAAAGTGCTCCATCAACAGGATTGTTCACCTCTGTGAGTTGAATGCAGTCATCACAGGAAACATTCTGAGAATGCTTCTGTCTAGGTTTGATGTGAAGATATACCCGTTTCGAAAGAAGGCCACAAAGTGGTCCAAATATCCACTTGCAGATTCTACAAAAAGAGTGTTTGAAAGCTGAACTATGAAAACAAGGTTCAACTCTGTGAGTTGAATGCAAACATCACAAAGAAGTTTCTCAGAATGCTTTCCCTGTAGTTCTGCGAAGTTTATCCCGTTTCCAACGAAATTCTCAGAGAAGTCCAAATATCCACTTGCAGATTCTACAGAAAGTGTGTTTGGAAACTGCTCCATCTAAAGGAATGTTCAGCTCTGTTAGTTCAATCCAATGATCACTAAGAATTGTCTGTGAATGCTTCCGTTTGGTTTTTAGATGAAGTTTTTTCCTTTACTACAGTAGGCCCCAAAGCACTCCAAATCTCCAATCGCAGATTCTACAAAAAGATTGTTTACAACCTGCTCTATCTATAGGAATGTTCAACTCTGTGAGTCGAATGCAATCATCACAAAGTGGTTTCTGAGAATGCTTCCATCTAGTTTTTATGTGAAGATTTTCCTTTTCCACCACAGGCCTCAAAGCCCTCCAAATGTCCACTTGCAGATTCTAGAAAAAGAGGGTTTCAGAGCTGCTCTATCAAGAGGAAAGTTCAATTCTTCAAGTGGAACACAAACATCACAAAGCAGTTTCTGAGAATGCTCCTGTTTAGTTTTTCTGTGAAGATGAACCCGTTTCCAACGAAATCTTCACAGAGTTCCACATATCCACTTGCAGAATCCAAAGAAAGGGAGTTTCAAAACTGCTCCATCAACAGGATTGTTCACCTCTGTGAGTTGAATGCAGTTATCACAGTAAACATTCTGAGAATGCTTCTGTCTAGGTTTGATGTGAAGATATACCCGTTTCGAAGGAAGGCCACAAAGTGGTCCAAATATCCACTTGCAGATTCTACAAAAAGAGTGTTTGAAAGCTGAACTATGAAAGCAAGTTTCAACTCTGTGAGTTGAATGCAAACATCACAAAGAAGTTTCTCAGCATGCTTTCCGTGTAGTTCTGGGAATTTTATCCCGTTTCCAACGAAATCCTCAGAGAGGTCCAAATATCCACTTGCAGATTCTACAGAAAGTGTGTTTGGAAACTGCGCCATCTAAGGGAATGTTCAGCTCTGTTAGTTCAATGCAATGATCACTAAGAATTGTCTGTGAATGCTTCCGTTTGGTTTTTAGATGAAGTTATTTCCTTTACTACAGTAGGCCTCAAAGCAGTCCAAATCTCCAATCGCAGATTCTACAAAAAGATTGTTTACAACCTGCTCTATCTATAGGAATGTTCAACTCTGTGAGTCGAATGCAATCATCACAAAGTAGTTTCTGAGAATGCTTCCATCTAGTTTTTATGTGAAGATTTTCCTTTTCCACCACAGGCCTCAAAGCCCTCCAAATGTCCACTTGCAGATTCTAGAATAAGAGGGTTTCAGAGCTGCTCTGTCAAGAGGAAAGTTCAATTCCTGAAGTGGAACACAAACATCACAAAGCAGTTTCTGAGAATGCTCCTGCTTAGTTTTTCTGTGAAGATGAACCCGTTTCCAACGAAATGTTCACAGAGGTCCACATATCCACTTGCAGAATACAAAGAAAGAGAGTTTCAAAACTGGTCCATCAGCAGGATTGTTCACCTCTGTGAGTTGAATGCAGTCATCACAGAAAACATTCTGAGAATGCTTCTGTCTAGGTTTGATGTGAAGATATACCCGTTTCGAAGGAAGGCCACAAAGTGGTCCAAATATCCACTTGCAGATTCTACAAAAAGAGTGTTTGAAAGCTGAACTATGAAAGCAAGTTTCCACTCTGTGAGTTGAATGCAAACATCACAAAGAAGTTTCTCAGAATGCTTCCGTGTAGTTCTGGGAAGTTTATCCCGTTTCCAACGAAATCCTCAGAGAGGTCCAAATATCCACTTGCAGATTCTACAGAAAGTGTGTTTGGAAACTGCGCCCTCTAAGGGAATGTTCAGCTCTGTTAGTTCAATCCAATGATCACTAAGAATTGTCTGTGAATGCTTCCGTTTGGTTTTTAGATGTAGTTATTTCCTTTACTACAGTTGGCCTCAAAGCAGTCCAAATCTCCAATCGCAGATTCTAGAAAAAGATTGTTTACAACCTGCTCTATCTATAGGAATGTTCAACTCTGTGAGTCGAATGCAATCATCACAAAGTAGTTTCTGAGAATGCTTCCATCTAGTTTTTATGTGAAGATTTTCCTTTTCCACCACAGGCCTCAAAGCCCTCCAAATGTCCACTTGCAGATTCTAGAAAAAGAGGGTTTCAGAGCTGCTCTGTCAAGAGGAAAGTTCAATTCTTGAAGTGGAACACAAACATCACAAAGCAGTTTCTGAGAATGCTCCTGTTTAGTTTTTCTGTGAAGATGAACCCGTTTCCAACGAAATCTTCACAGAGGTCCACATATCCACTTGCAGAATCCAAAGAAAGAGAGTTTCAAAACTGCTCCAACAGCAGGATTGTTCACCTCTGTGAGTTGAATGCAGTCATCACAGGAAACATTCTGAGAATGCTTCTGTCTAGGTTTGATGTGAAGATATACCCGTTTCGAAGGAAGGCCACAAAGTGGTCCAAATATCCACTTGCAGATCCTACAAAAAGAGTGTTTGAAAGCTGAACTATGAAAGCAAGGTTCAACTCTGTGAGTTGAATGCAAACATCACAAAGAAGTTTCTCACAATGCTTCCGTGTAGTTCTGGGAAGTTTATCCCGTTTCCAACGAAATCCTCAGAGAGGTCCAAATATCCACTTGCAGATTCTACAGAAAGTGTGTTTGGAAACTGCGCCATCTAAAGGAATGTTCAGCTCTGTTAGTTCAATGCAATGATCACTAAGGATTGTCTGTGAATGCTTCCGTTTGGTTTTTAGATGAAGTTATTTCCTTTACTACAGTAGGCCTCAAAGCAGTCCAAATCTCCAATCGCAGATTCTACAAAAACATTGTTTACAACCTGCTCTATCTATAGTAATGTTCAACTCTGTGAGTCGAATGCAATCATCACAAAGTAGTTTCTGAGAATGCTTCCATCTAGTTTTTATGTGAAGATTTTCCTTTTCCACCACAGGCCTCAAAGCCCTCCAAATGTCCACTTGCAGATTCTAGAATAAGAGGGTTTCAGAGCTGCTCTGTCAAGAGGAAAGTTCAATTCCTGAAGTGGAACACAAACATCACAAAGCAGTTTCTGAGAATGCTCCTGTTTAGTTTTTCTGTGAAGATGAACCCGTTTCCAACGAAATCTTCACAGAGGTCCACATATCCACTTGCAGAATCCAAAGAAAGAGAGTTTCAAAACTGCTCCATCAGCAGGATTGTTCACCTCTGTGAGTTGAATGCAGTCATCACAGGAAACATTCTGAGAATGCTTCTGTCTAGGTTTGATGTGAAGATATACCCGTTTCGAAGGAAGGCCACAAAGTGGTCCAAATATCCACTTGCAGATTCTACAAAAAGAGTGTTTGAAAGCTGAACTATGAAAGCAAGGTTCAACTCTGTGAGTTGAATGCAAACATCACAAAGAAGTTTCTCAGAATGCTCCGTGTAGTTCTGGGAAGTTTATCCCGTTTCCAACGAAATCCTCAGAGAAGTCCCAATATCCACTTGCAGATTCTACAGAAAGTGTGTTTGGAAACTGCTCCATCTAAAGGAATGTTCAGCTCTGTTAGTTCAATCCAATGATCACTAAGAATTGTCTGTGAATGCTCTCCGTTTGGTTTTTAGATGAAGTTATTTCCTTTACTACAGTAGGCCTCAAAGCAGTCCAAATCTCCAATCGCAGATTCTACAAAAAGATTGTTTACAACCTGCTCTATCTATAGGAATGTTCAACTCTGTGAGTCGAATGCAATCATCACAAAGTAGTTTCTGAGAATGCTTCCATCTAGTTTTTATGTGAAGATTTTCCTTTTCCACCACAGGCCTCAAAGCCCTCCAAATGTCCACTTGCAGATTCTAGAAAAAGAGGGTTTCAGAGCTGCTCTGTCAAGAGGAAAGTTCAATTCTTGAAGTGGAACACAAACATCACAAAGCAGTTTCTGAGAATGCTCCTTTTTAGTTTTTCTGTGAAGATGAACCCGTTTCCAACGAAATCTTCACAGAGGTCCACATATCCACTTGCAGAATCCAAAGAAAGAGAGTTTCAAAACTGCTCCATCAGCAGGATTGTTCACCTCTGTGAGTTGAATGCAGTCATCACAGGAAACATTCTGAGAATGCTTCTGTCTAGGTTTGATGTGAAGATATACCCGTTTCGAAGGAAGGCCACAAAGTTGTCAAATATCCACTTGCAGATCCTACAAAAAGAGTGTTTGAAAGCTGAACTATGAAAGCAAGGTTCAACTCTGTGAGTTGAATGCAAACATCACAAAGAAGTTTCTCAGAATGCTTCCATGTAGTTCTGGGAAGTTTATCCCGTTTCCAACGAAATCCTCAGAGAGGTCCAAATATCCACTTGCAGATTCTACAGAAAGTGTGTTTGGAAACTGCTCCATCTAAAGGAATGTTCAGCTCTGTTAGTTCAATCCAATGATCACTAAGAATTGTCTGTGAATGCTTCCGTTTGGTTTTTAGATGAAGTTATTTCCTTTACTACAGTAGGCCTCAAAGCAGTCCAAATCTCCAATCGCAGATTCTACAAAAAGATTGTTTACAACCTGCTCTATCTATAGGAATATTCAACTCTGTGAGTCGAATGCAATCATCACAAAGTAGTTTCTGAGAATGCTTCCATCTAGTTTTTATGTGAAGATTTTCCTTTTCCACCAGAGGCCTCAAAGCCCTCCAAATATCCACTTGCAGATTCTAGAATAAGAGGTTTTCAGAGCTGCTCTGTCAAGAGGAAAGTTCAATTCCTGAAGTGGAACAAAAACATCACAAAGCAGTTTCTGAGAATGCTCCTGTTTAGTTTTTCTGTGAAGATGAACCCGTTTCCAACGAAATCTTCACAGAGGTCCACATATCCACTTGCAGAATCCAAAGAAAGAGAGTTTCAAAACTGCTCCAACAGCAGGATTGTTCACCTCTGTGAGTTGAATGCAGTCATCACAGGAAACATTCTGAGAATGCTTCTGTCTAGGTTTGATGTGAAGATATACCCGTTTCGAAGGAAGGCCACAAAGTGGTCCAAATATCCACTTGCAGATTCTACAAAAAGAGTGTTTGAAAGCTGAACTATGAAAGCAAGGTTCAACTCTGTGAGTTGAATGCAAACATCACAAAGAAGTTTCTCACAATGCTTCCGTGTAGTTCTGGGAAGTTTATCCCGTTTCCAACGAAATCCTCAGAGAGGTCCAAATATCCACTTGCAGATTCTACAGAAAGTGGGTTTGGAAACTGCTCCATCTAAAGGAATGTTCAGCTCTGTTAGTTCAATCCAATGATCACTAAGAATTGTCTGTGAATGCTTCCGTTTGGTTTTTAGATGAAGTTATTTCCTTTACTACAGTAGGCCTCAAAGCAGTCCAAATCTCCAATCGCAGATTCTACAAAAAGATTGTTTACAACCTGCTCTATCTATAGGAATGTTCAACTCTGTGAGTTGAATGCAATCATCACAAAGGAGTTTCTGAGAATGCTTCCATCTAGTTTTTATGTGAAGATTTTCCTTTTCCACCACAGGCCTCAAAGCCCTCCAAATGTCCACTTGCAGATTCTAGAAAAAGAGGGTTGCAGAGCTGCTCAGTCAAGAGGAAAGTTCAATTCTTGAAGTGGAACACAAACATCACAAAGCAGTTTCTGAGAAAGCTCCTGTTAATTTTTCTGTGAAGATGAACCTGTTTCCAACGAAATCTTCACAGAGGTCCACATATCCACTTGCAGAATCCAAAGAAAGAGAGTTTCAAAACTGCTCCATCAACAGGATTGTTCACCTCTGTGAGTTGAATGCAGTCATCACAGGAAACATTCTGAGAATGCTTCTGTCTAGGTTTGATGTGAAGATATACCCGTTTCGAAGGAAGGCCACAAAGTGGTCCAAATATCCACTTGCAGATTCTACAAAAAGAGTGTTTGAAAGCTGAACTATGAAAGCAAGGTTCAACTCTCTGAGTTGAATGCAAACATCACAAAGAAGTTTCTCAGAATGCTTCCGTGTAGTTCTGGGAAGTTTATCCCGTTTCCAACGAAATCCTCAGAGAAGTCCAAATATCCACTTGCAGATTCTACAGAAAGTGTGTTTGGAAACTGCGCCATCTAAAGGAATGTTCAGCTCTGTTAGTTCAATGCAATGATCACTAAGAATTGTCTGTGAATGCTTCCGTTTGGTTTTTAGATGAAGTTATTTCCTTTACTACAGTAGGCCTCAAAGCAGTCCAAATCTCCAATCGCAGATTCTACAAAAACATTGTTTACAACCTGCTCTATCTATAGGAATGTTCAACTCTGTGAGTCGAATGCAATCATCACAAAGTAGTTTCTGAGAATGCTTCCATCTAGTTTTTATGTGAAGATTTTCCTTTTCCACCACAGGCCTCAAAGCCCTCCAAATGTCCACTTGCAGATTCTAGAAAAAGAGGGTTTCAGAGCTGCTCTGTCAAGAGGAATGTTCAGTTCCTGAAGTGGAACACAAACATCACAAAGCAGTTTCTGAGAATGCTTCTGTTTAGTTTTTCTGTGAAGATGAACCCGTTTCCAACGAAATCTTCACAGAGGTCCACATATGAACTTGCAGAATCCAAAGAAAGAGAGTTTCAAAAGTGCTCCATCAACAGGATTGTTCACCTCTGTGAGTTGAATGCAGTCATCACAGGAAACATTCTGAGAATGCTTCTGTCTAGGTTTGATGTGAAGATATACCCGTTTCGAAGGAAGGCCAGAAAGTGGTCCAAATATCCACTTGCAGATTCTACAAAAAGAGTGTTTGAAAGCTGAACTATGAAAGCAAGGTTCAACTCTGTGAGTTGAATGCAAACATCACAAAGAAGTTTCTCGCAATACTTCCGTGTAGTTCTGGGAAGTTTATCCCGTTTCCAACGAAATCCTCAGAGAGGTCCAAATATCCACTTGCAGATTCTAC
Source organism: Homo sapiens (assembly GCF_000001405.40). Classification (NCBI taxonomy): domain Eukaryota; kingdom Metazoa; phylum Chordata; class Mammalia; order Primates; family Hominidae; genus Homo; species Homo sapiens. Next base: position 53,727,596 of record NC_000011.10, on the reverse strand, counting down.
AGAAAGTGTGTTTGGAAACTGCGCCATCTAAAGGAATGTTCAGCTCTGTTAGTTCAATCCAATGATCACTAAGAATTGTCTGTGAATGCTTCCGTTTGGTTTTTAGATGAAGTTATTTCCTTTACTACAGTAGGCCTCAAAGCAGTCCAAATCTCCAATCGCAGATTCTACAAAAAGATTGTTTACAACCTGCTCTATCTATAGAAATGTTCAACTCTGTGAGTCGAATGCAATCATCACAAAGTAGTTTCTGAGAATGCTTCCATCTAGTTTTTATGTGAAGATTTTCGTTTTCCACCACAGGCCTCAAAGCCCTCCAAATGTCCACTTGCAGATTCTACAATAAGAGGGTTTCAGAGCTGCTCTGTCAAGAGGAAAGTTCAATTCCTGAAGTGGAACACAAACATCACAAAGCAGTTTCTGAGAATGCTCCTGTTTAGTTTTTCTGTGAAGATGAGCACGTTTCCAACGAAATCTTCACAGAGGTCCACATATCCACTTGCAGAATCCAAAGAAAGAGAGTTTCAAAACTGCTCCATCAGCAGGATTGTTCACCTCTGTGAGTTGAATGCAGTCATCACAGGAAACATTCTGAGAATGCTTCTGTCTAGGTTTGATGTGAAGATATACCCGTTTCGAAGGAAGGCCACAAAGTGGTCCAAATATCCACTTGCAGATTCTACAAAAAGAGTGTTTGAAAGCTGAACTATGAAAGCAAGGTTCAACTCTGTGAGTTGAATGCAAACATCACAAAGATGTTTCTCACAATGCTTCCGTGTAGTTCTGGGAATTTTATCCCGTTTCCAACGAAATCCTCAGAGAGGTCCAAATATCCACTTGCAGATTCTACAGAAAGTGTGTTTGGAAACTGCGCCATCTAAAGGAATGTTCAGCTCTGTTAGTTCAATGCAATGATCACTAAGAATTGTCTGTGAATGCTTCCGTTTGGTTTTTAGATGAAGTTATTTCCTTTACTACAGTAGGCCTCAAAGCAGTCCAAATCTCCAATCGCAGATTCTACAAAAAGATTGTTTACAACCTGCTCTATCTATAGGAATGTTCAACTCTGTGAGTCGAATGCAATCATCACAAAGTAGTTTCTGAGAATGCTTCCATCTAGTTTTTATGTGAAGATTTTCCTTTTCCACCACAGGCCTCAAAGCCCTCCAAATGTCCACTTGCAGATTCTAGAATAAGAGGGTTTCAGAGCTGCTCTGTCAAGAGGAAAGTTCAATTCCTGAAGTGGAACACAAACATCACAAAGCAGTTTCTGAGAATGCTTCTGTTTAGTTTTTCTGTGAAGATGAACCCGTTTCCAACGAAATCTTCACAGAGGTCCACATATCCACTTGCGGAATCCAAAGAAAGAGAGTTTCAAAAGTGCTCCATCAACAGGATTGTTCACCTCTGTGAGTTGAATGCAGTCATCACAGGAAACATTCTGAGAATGCTTCTGTCTAGGTTTGATGTGAAGATGTACCCGTTTCAAAGGAAGGCCACAAAGTGGTCCAAATATCCACTTGCAGATTCTACAAAAAGAGTGTTTGAAAGCTGAACTATGAAAGCAAGGTTCAACTCTGTGAGTTGAATGCAAACATCAGAAAGATGATTCTCACAATGCTTCCGTGTAGTTCTGGGAAGTTTATCCCGTTTCCAACGAAATCCTCAGAGAAGTCCAAATATCCACTTGCAGATTCTGCAGAAAGTGTGTTTGGAAACTGCTCCATCTAAAGGAATGTTCAGCTCTGTTAGTTCAATCCAATGATCACTAAGAATTGTCTGTGAATGCTTCCGTTTGGTTTTTAGATGAAGTTATTTCCTTTACTACAGTAGGCCTCAAAGCAGTCCAAATCTCCAATCGCAGATTCTACAAAAAGATTGTTTACAACCTGCTCTATCTATAGGAATGTTCAACTCTGTGAGTCGAATGCAATCATCACAAAGTAGTTTCTGAGAATGCTTCCATCTAGTTTTTATGTGAAGATTTTCCTTTTCCACCACAGGCCTCAAAGCCCTCCAAATGTCCACTTGCAGATTCTAGAAAAAGAGGGTTTCAGAGCTGCTCTGTCAAGAGGAAAGTTCAATTCTTGAAGTGGAACACAAACATCACAAAGTAGTTTCTGAGAATGCTTCTGTTTAGTTTTTCTGTGAAGATGAACCCGTTTCCAACGAAATCTTCACAGAGGTCCACATATCCACTTGCAGAATCCAAAGAAAGAGAGTTTCAAAACTGCTCCATCAGCAGGATTGTTCACCTCTGTGAGTTGAATGCAGTCATCACAGGAAACATTCTGAGAATGCTTCTGTCTAGGTTTGATGTGAAGATATACCCGTTTCGAAGGAAGGCCACAAAGTGGTCCAAATATCCACTTGCAGATTCTACAAAAAGAGTGTTTGAAAGCTGAACTATAAAAGCAAGGTTCAACTCTGTGAGTTGAATGCAAACATCACAAAGAAGTTTCTCAGAATGCTTCCGTGTAGTTCTGGGAAGTTTATCCCGTTTCCAACGAAATCCTCAGAGAAGTCCAAATATCCACTTGCAGATTCTACAGAAAGTGTGTTTGGAAACTGCTCCATCTAATGGAATGTTCAGCTCTGTTAGTTCAATCCAATGATCACTAAGAATTGTCTGTGAATGCTTCCGTTTGGTTTTTAGATGAAGTTATTTCCTTTACTACAGTAGGCCTCAAAGCAGTCCAAATCTCCAATCGCAGATTCTACAAAAAGATTGTTTACAACCTGCTCTATCTATAGGAATGTTCAACTCTGTGAGTCGAATGCAATCATCACAAAGTAGTTTCTGAGAATGCTTCCATCTAGTTTTTATGTGAAGATTTTCCTTTTCCACCACAGGCCTCAAAGCTCTCCAAATGTCCACTTGCAGATTCTAGAAAAAGAGGGTTTCAGAGCTGCTCTGTCAAGAGGAAAGTTCAATTCTTGAAGTGGAACACAAACATCACAAAGCAGTTTCTGAGAATGCTTCTGTTTAGTTTTTCTGTGAAGATGAACCCGTTTCCAACGAAATCTTCACAGAGGTCCACATATCCACTTGCAGAATCCAAAGAAAGAGAGTTTCAAAACTGCTCCATCAACAGGATTGTTCACCTCTGTGAGTTGAATGCAGTCATCACAGGAAACATTCTGAGAATGCTTCTGTCTAGGTTTGATGTGAAGATATACCCTTTTCGAAGGAAGGCCACAAAGTGGTCCAAATATCCACTTGCAGATTCTACAAAAAGAGTGTTTGAAAGCTGAACTATGAAAGCAAGGTGCAAATCCTGTGAGTTGAATGCAAACATCACAAAGAAGTTTCTCAGAATGCTTACCGTGTAGTTCTGGGAAGTTTATCCCGTTTCCAAAGAAATCCTCAGAGAGGTCCAAATATCCACTTGCAGATTCTACAGAAAGTGTGTTTGGAATCTGCTCCATCTAAAGGAATGTTCAGCTCTGTTAGTTCAATCCAATGATCACTAAGAATTGTCTGTGAATGCTTCCGTTTGGTTTTTAGATGAAGTTATTTCCTTTACTACAGTAGGCCTCAAAGCAGTCCAAATCTCCAATCGCAGATTCTACAAAAAGATTGTTTACAACCTGCTCTATGTATAGGAATGTTCAACTCTGTGAGTCGAATGCAATCATCACAAAGTAGTTTCTGAGAATGCTTCCATCTAGTTTTTATGTGAAGATTTTCCTTTTCCACCACAGGCCTCAAAGCCCTCCAAATGTCCACTTGCAGATTCTAGAATAAGAGGGTTTCAGAGCTGCTCTGTCAAGAGGAAAGTTCAATTCCTGAAGTGGAACACAAAAATCACAAAGCAGTTTCTGAGAATGCTTCTGTTTAGTTTTTCTGTGAAGATGAACCCGTTTCCAACGAAATCTTCACAGAGGTCCACATATCAACTTGCAGAATCCAAAGAAAGAGAGTTTCAAAACTGCTCCATCAACAGGATTGTTCACCTCTGTGAGTTGAATGCAGTCATCACAGGAAACATTCTGAGAATGCTTCTGTCTAGGTTTGATGTGAAGATATACCCGTTTCGAAGGAAGGCCACAAAGTGGTCCAAATATCCACTTGCAGATTCCACAAAAAGAGTGTTTGAAAGCTGAACTATGAAAGCAAGGTTCAACTCTGTGAGTTGAATGCTAACATCACAGAGAAGTTTCTCACAATGCTTCCGTGTAGTTCTGGGAAGTTTATCCCGTTTCCAACGAAATCCTCAGAGAAGTCCAAATATCCACTTGCAGATTCTACAGAAAGTGTGTTTGGAAACTGCTCCATCTAAAGGAATGTTCAGCTCTGTTAGTTCAATGCAATGATCACTAAGAATTGTCTGTGAATGCTTCCGTTTGGTTTTTAGATGAAGTTATATCCTTTACTACAGTAGGCCTCAAAGCAGTCCAAATCTCCAATCGCAGATTCTACAAAAAGATTGTTTACAACCTGCTCTATCTATAGGAATGTTCAACTCTGTGAGTCGAATGCAATCAACACAAAGTAGTTTCTGAGAATGCTTCCATCTAGTTTTTATGTGAAGATTTTCCTTTTCCACCACAGGCCTCAAAGCCCTCCAAATGTCCACTTGCAGATTCTAGAAAAAGAGGGTTTCAGAGCTACTCTGTCAAGAGGAAAGTTCAATTCTTGAAGTGGAACACAAACATCACGAAGCAGTTTCTGAGAATGCTCCTGTTTAGTTTTTCTATGAAGATGAACCCGTTTCCAACGAAATCTTCACAGAGGTCCACATATCCACTTGCAGAATCCAAAGAAAGAGAGTTTCAAAACTGCTCCATCAGCAGGATTGTTCACCTCTGTGAGTTGAATGCAGTCATCACAGGAAACATTCTGAGAATGCTTCTGTCTAGGTTTGATGTGAAGATATACCCGTTTCGAAGGAAGGCCACAAAGTGGTCCAAATATCCACTTGCAGATTCTACAAAGAGTGTTTGAAAGCTGAACTATGAAAGCAAGGTTCAACTCTGTGAGTTGAATGAAAACATCACAAAGAAGTTTCTCACAATGCTTCCGTGTAGTTCTGGGAAGTTTATCCCGTTTCCAACGAAATCCTCAGAGAGGTCCAAATATCCACTTGCAGATTCTACAGAAAGTGGGTTTGGAAACTGCTCCGTCTAAAGGAATGTTCAGCTCTGTTAGTTCAATCCAATGATCACTAAGAATTGTCTGTGAATGCTTCCGTTTGGTTTTTAGATGAAGTTATTTCCTTTACTACAGTAGGCCTCAAAGCAGTCCAAATCTCCAATCGCACATTCTACAAAAAGATTGTTTACAACCTGCTCTATCTATAGGAATATTCAACTCTGTGAGTCGAATGCAATCATCACAAAGTAGTTTCTGAGAATGCTTCCATCTAGTTTTTATGTGAAGATTTTCCTTTTCCACCACAGGCCTCAAAGCCCTCCAAATGTCCACTTGCAGATTCTAGAAAAAGAGGGTTTCAGAGCTGCTCTGTCAAGAGGAAAGTTCAATTCCTGAAGTGGAACACAAACATCACAAAGCAGTTTCGGAGAATGCTTCTGTTTAGTTTTTCTGTGAAGATGAACCCGTTTCCAACGAAATCTTCACAGAGGTCCACATATCCACTTGTAGAATCCAAAGAAAGAGAGTTTCAAAACTGCTCCATCAGCAGGATTGTTCACCTCGGTGAGTTGAATGCAGTCATCACAGGAAACATTCTGAGAATGCTTCTGTCTAGGTTTGATGTGAAGATATACCCGTTTCGAAGGAAGGCCACAAAGTGGTCCAAATATCCACTTGCAGATTCTACAAAAAGAGTGTTTGAAAGCTGAACTATGAAAGCAAGGTTCAACTCTGTGAGTTGAATGCAAACATCACAAAGAAGTTTCTCAGCATGCTTCCGTGTAGTTCTGGGAAGTTTATCCCTTTTCCAACGAAATCCTCAGAGAGGTCCAAATATCCACTTGCAGATTCTACAGAAAGTGTGTTTGGAAACTGCGTCATCTAAAGGAATGTTCAGCTCTGTTAGTTCAATGCAATGATCACTAAGAATTGTCTGTGAATGCTTCCGTTTGGTTTTTAGATGAAGTTATTTCCTTTACTACAGTAGGCCTCAAAGCAGTCCAAATCTCCAATCGCAGATTCTACAAAAACATTGTTTACAACCTGCTCTATCTATAGGAATGTTCAACTCTGTGAGTCGAATGCAATCATCACAAAGTAGTTTCTGAGAATGCTTCCATCTAGTTTTTATGTGAAGATTTTCCTTTTCCACCACAGGCCTCAAAGCCCTCCAAATGTCCACTTGCAGATTCTAGAATAAGAGGGTTTTAGAGCTGCTCTGTCAAGAGGAAAGTTCAATTCCTGAAGTGGAACACAAACATCACAAAGCAGTTTCTGAGAATGCTTCTGTTTAGTTTTTCTGTGAAGATGAACCCGTTTCCAACGAAATCTTCACAGAGGTCCACATATCAACTTGCAGAATCCAAAGAAAGGGAGTTTCAAAACTGCTCCATCAGCAGGATTGTTCACCTCTGTGAGTTGAATGCAGTCATCACAGGAAACATTCTGAGAATGCTTCTGTCTAGGTTTGATGTGAAGATATACCCGTTTCGAAGGAAGGCCACAAAGTGGTCCAAATATCCACTTGCAGATTCTACAAAAAGAGTGTTTGAAAGCTGAACTATGAAAGCAAGGTTCAACTCTGTGAGTTGAATGCAAACATCACAAAGAAGTTTCTCAGCATGCTTCCGTGTAGTTCTGGGAAGTTTAGCCCGTTTCCAACGAAATCCTCAGAGAGGTCCAAATATCCACTTGCAGATTCTACAGAAAGTGTGTTTGGAAACTGCGCCATCTAAAGGAATGTTCAGCTCTGTTAGTTCAATGCAATGATCACTAAGAATTGTCTGTGAATGCTTCCGTTTGTTTTTTAGATGAAGTTATTTCCTTTACTACAGTAGGCCTCAAAGCAGTCCAAATCTCCAATCGCAGATTCTACAAAAAGATTGTTTACAACCTGCTCTATCTATAGGAATGTTCAACTCTGTGAGTCGAATGCAATCATCACAAAGTAGTTTCTGAGAATGCTTCCATCTAGTTTTTATGTGAAGATTTTCCTTTTCCACCACAGGCCTCAAAGCCCTCCAAATGTCCACTTGCAGATTCTAGAATAAGAGGGTTTCAGAGCTGCTCTGTCAAGAGGAAAGTTCAATTCCTGAAGTGGAACACAAACATCACAAAGCAGTTTCTGAGAATGCTCCTGTTTAGTTTTTCTGTGAAGATGAACTTGTTTCCAACGAAATCTTCACAGAGGTCCACATATCCACTTGCAGAATCCAAAGAAAGAGAGTTTCAAAACTGCTCCATCAACAGGATTGTTCACATCTGTGAGTTGAATGCAGTCATCACAGGAAACATTCTGAGACTGCTTCTGTCTAGGTTTGATGTGAAGATATACCCGTTTCGAAGGAAGGCCACAAAGTGGTCCAAATATCCACTTGCAGATTCTACAAAAAGAGTGTTTGAAAGCTGAACTATGAAAGCAAGGTTCAACTCTGTGAGTTGAATGCAAACATCACAAAGAAGTTTATCAGAATGCTTCCGTGTAGTTCTGGGAAGTTTATCCTGTTTCCAACGAAATCCTCAGAGAAGTCCAAATATCCACTTGCAGATTCTACAGAAAGTGTGTTTGGAAACTGCGCCATCTAAAGGAATGTTCAGCTCTGTTAATTCAATGCAATGATCACTAAGAATTGTCTGTGAATGCTTCCGTTTGGTTTTTAGATGAAGTTATTTCCTTTACTACAGTAGGCCTCAAAGCAGTCCAAATCTCCAATCGCAGATTCTACAAAAAGATTGTTTACAACCTGCTCTATCTATAGGAATGTTCAACTCTGTGAGTCGAATGCAATCATCACAAAGTAGTTTCTGAGAATGCTTCCATCTAGTTTTTATGGGAAGATTTTCCTTTTCCACCACAGGCCTCAAAGCCCTCCAAATGTCCACTTGCAGATTCTAGAAAAAGAGGGTTTCAGAGCTGCTCTGTCAAGAGGAAAGTTCAATTCTTGAAGTGGAACACAAACATCACAAAGCAGTTTCTGAGAATGCTCCTGTTTAGTTTTTCTGTGAAGATGAACAGGTTTCCAACGAAATCTTCACAGAGGTCCACATATCCACTTGCAGAATCCAAAGAAAGAGAGTTTCAAAACTGCTCCATCAGCAGGATTGTTCACCTCTGTGAGTTGAATGCAGTCATCACAGGAAACATTCTGAGAATGCTTCTGTCTAGGTTTGATGTGAAGATATACCCGTTTCGAAGGAAGGCCACAAAGTGGTCCAAATATCCACTTGCAGATTCTACAAAAAGAGTGTTTGAAAGCTGAACTATGAAAGCAAGGTTCAACTCTGTGAGTTGAATGCAAACATCACAAATAAGTTTCTCAGCATGCTTCCGTGTAGTTCTGGGAAGTTTATCCCGTTTCCAACGAAATCCTCAGAGAGGTCAAAATATGCACTTGCAGATTCTACAGAAAGTGTGTTTGGAAACTACGCCATCTAAAGGAATGTTCAGCTCTGTTAGATGAATGCAATGATCACTAAGAATTGTCTGTGAATGCTTCCGTTTGGTTTTTAGATGAAGTTATTTCCTTTACTACAGTAGGCCTCAAAGCAGTCCAAATCTCCAATCGCAGATTCTACAAAAAGATTGTTTACAACCTGCTCTATCTATAGGAATGTTCAACTCTGTGAGTCGAATGCAATCATCACAAAGTAGTTTCTGAGAATGCTTCCATCTAGTTTTTATGTGAAGATTTCCCTTTTCCACCACAGGCCTCAAAGCCCTCCAAATGTCCACTTGCAGATTCTAGAATAAGAGGGTTTCAGAGCTGCTCTGTCAAGAGGAAAGTTCAATTCCTGAAGTGGAACACAAACATCACAAAGCAGTTTCTGAGAATGCTTCTGTTTAGTTTTTCTGTGAAGATGAACCCGTTTCCAACGAAATCTTCACAGAGGTCCACATATCCACTTGCAGAATCCAAAGAAAGAGAGTTTCAAAACTGCTCCATCAGCAGGATTGTTCACCTCTGTGAGTTGAATGCAGTCATCACAGGAAACATTCTGAGAATGCTTCTGTCTAGGTTTGATGTGAAGATATACCCGTTTCGAAGGAAGGCCACAAAGTGGTCCAAATATCCACTTGCAGATTCTACAAAAAGAGGGTTTGAAAGCTGAACTATGAAAGCAAGGTTCAACTCTGTGAGTTGAATGCAAACATCACAAAGAAGTTTCTCAGAATGCTTCCGTGTAGTTCTGGGAAGTTTATCCCGTTTCCAACGAAATCCTCAGAGAGGTCCAAATATCCACTTGCAGATTCTACAGAAAGTGTGTTTGGAAACTGCGCCATCTAAGGGAATGTTCAGCTCTGTTAGTTCAATCCAATGATCACTAAGAATTGTCTGTGAATGCTTCCGTTTGGTTTTTAGATGAAGTTATTTCCTTTACTACAGTAGGCCTCAAAGCAGTCCAAATCTCCAATCGCAGATTCTACAAAAAGATTGTTTACAACCTGCTCTATCTATAGGAATGTTCAACTCTGTGAGTCGAATGCAATCATAACAAAGTAGTTTCTGAGAATGCTTCCATCTAGTTTTTATGTGAAGCTTTTCCTTTTCCACCACAGGCCTCAAAGCCCTCCAAATGTCCACTTGCAGATTCTAGAAAAAGAGGGTTTCAGAGCTGCTCTGTCAAGAGGAAAGTTCAATTCTTGAAGTGGAACACAAACAACACAAAGCAGTTTCTGAGAATGCTTCTGTTTAGTTTTTCTGTGAAGATGAACCCGTTTCCAACGAAATCTTCACAGAGGTCCACATATCAACTTGCAGAATCCAAAGAAAGAGAGTTTCAAAACTGCTCCATCAGCAGGATTGTTCACCTCTGTGAGTTGAATGAAGTCATCACAGGAAACATTCTGAGAATGCTTCTGTCTAGGTTTGATGTGAAGATATACCCGTTTCGAAGGAAGGCCACAAAGTGGTCCAAATATCCACTTGCAGATTCTACAAAAAGAGTGTTTGAAAGCTGAACTATGAAAGCAAGGTTCAACTCTGTGAGTTGAATGCAAACATCACAAAGAAGTTTCTCAGAATGCTTCCATGTAGTTCTGGGAAGTTTATCCCGTTTCCAACGAAATCCTCAGAGAAGTCCAAATATCCACTTGCAGATTCTACAGAAAGTGTGTTTGGAAAATGCTCCATCTAAAGGAATGTTCAGCTCTGTTAGTTCAATCCAATGATCACTAAGAATTGTCTGTGAATGCTTCCGTTTGGTTTTTAGATGAAATTATTTCCTTTACTACAGTAGGCCTCAAAGCAGTCCAAATCTCCAATCGCAGATTCTACAAAAAGATTGTTTACAACCTGCTCTATCTATAGGAATGTTCAACTCTGTGTGTCGAATGCAATCATCACAAAGTAGTTTCTGAGAATGCTTCCATCTAGTTTTTATGTGAAGATTTTCCTTTTCCACCACAGGCCTCAAAGCCCTCCAAATCTCCACTTGCAGATTCTAGAAAAAGAGGGTTTCAGAGCTGCTCTGTCAAGAGGAAAGTTCAATTCTTGAAGTGGAACACTAACACCACAAAGCAGTTTCTGAGAATGCTTCTGTTTAGTTTTTCTGTGAAGATGAACCCGTTTCCAACGAAATCTTCACAGAGGTCCACATATCCACTTGCAGAATCCAAAGAAAGAGAGTTTCAAAACTGCTCCATCAGCAGGATTGTTCACCTCTGTGAGTTGAATGCAGTCATCACAGGAAACATTCTGAGAATGCTTCTGTCTGGGTTTGATGTGAAGATATACCCGTTTCGAAGGAAGGCAACAAAGTGGTCCAAATATCAAGTTCCAGATTCTACAAAAAGAGTGTTTGAAAGCTGAATTATGAAAGCAAGGTTCAACTCTGTGATTTGAATGCAAACATCACAAAGAAGTTTCTCAGAATGCTTCCGTGTAGTTCTGGGAATGTTATCCCGTTTCCAACGAAATATTCAGAGAGGTCCAAATATCCACTTGCAGATTCTACAGAAAGTGTGTTTGGAAACTGCGTCATCTAAAGGAATGTTCAGCACTCTTAGTTCAATCCAATGATCACTAAGAATTGTCTGTGAATGCTTCCGTTTTGTTTTTAGATGAAGTTATTTCCTTTACTAGAGTAGGCCTCAAAGCAGTCAAAATCTCCAATCGCAGATTCTACAAAAAGATTGTTTACAACCTGCTCTATCTATAGGAATGTTCAACACTGTGAGTCGAATGGAATCATCACAAAGTAGTTTCTGAGAATGCTTCCATCTAGTTTTTATGTGAAGATTTTCCTTTTCCACCACAGGCCTCAAAGCCCTCCAAATGTCCACTTGCAGATTCTAGAAAAAGAGGGTTTCAGAGCTGCTCTGTCAAGAGGAAAGTTCAATTCTTGAAGTGGAACACAAACATGACAATGCAGTTTCTGAGAATGCTTCTGTTTATTTTTTCTGTGAAGATGAACCCGTTTCCAATGAAATCTTCACAGAGGTCCACATATCCACTTGCAGAATCCAAAGAAAGAGAGTTTCAAAACTGCTCCATCAGCAGGATTGTTCACCTCTGTGAGTTGAATGCAGTCATCACAGGAAACATTCTGAGAATGCTTCTGTCTAGGTTTGATGTGAAGATATACCCGTTTCGAAGGAAGGCCACAAAGTGGTCCAAATATCCACTTGCAGATTCTACAAAAAGAGTGTTTGAAAGCTGAACTATGAAAGCAAGGTTCAACTCTGTGAGTTGAATGCAAACATCACAAAGAAGTTTCTCAGAATGCTTCCGTGTAGTTCTGGGAAGTTTATCCCGTTTCCAACGAAATCCTCAGAGAAGTCCAAATATCCACTTGCAGATTCTACAGAAAGTGTGTTTGGAAACTGCTCCATCTAAAGGAATGTTCAGCTCTGTTAGTTCAATCCAATGATCACTAAGAATTGTCTGTGAATGCTTCCGTTTGGTTTTTAGATGAAGTTATTTCCTTTACTACAGTAGGCCTCAAAGCAGTCCAAATCTCCAATCGCAGATTCTACAAAAAGATTGTTTACAACCTGCTCTATCTATAGGAATGTTCAACTCTGTGAGTCGAATGCAATCATCACAAAGTAGTTTCTGAGAATGCTTCCATCTAGTTTTTATGTGAAGAGTTTCCTTTTCCACCACAGGCCTCAAAGCCCTCCAAATGTCCACTTGCAGATTCTAGAAAAAGAGGGTTTCAGAGCTGCTCTGTCAAGAGGAAAGTTCAATTCTTGAAGTGGAACACAAACATCACAAAGCAGTTTCTGAGAATGCTCCTGTTTAGTTTTTCTGTGAAGATGAACCCGTTTCCAACGAAATCTTCACAGAGGTCCACATATCCACTTGCAGAATCCAAAGAAAGAGAGTTTCAAAACTGCTCCATCAGCAGGATTGTTCACCTCTGTGAGTTGAATGCAGTCATCACAGGAAACATTCTGAGAATGCTTCTGTCTAGGTTTGATGTGAAGATATACCCGTTTCGAAGGAAGGCCACAAAGTGGTCCAAATATCCACTTGCAGATTCTACAAAAGGAGTGTTTGAAAGCTGAACTATGAAAGCAAGGTTCAACTCTGTGAGTTGAATGCAAACATCACAAAGAAGTTTCTCAGAATGCTTCCGTGTAGTTCTGGGAAGTTTATCCCGTTTCCAACGAAATCCTCAGAGAAGTCCAAATATCCACTTGCAGATTCTACAGAAAGTGGGTTTGGAAACTGCTCCATCTAAAGGAATAGTCAGCTCTGTTAGTTCAATCCAATGATCACTAAGAATTGTCTGTGAATGCTTCCGTTTGGTTTTTAGATGAAGTTATTTCCTTTACTACAGTAGGCCTCAAAGCAGTCCAAATCTCCAATCGCAGATTCTACAAAAAGATTGTTTACAACCTGCTCTATCTATAGGAATGTTCAACTCTGTGAGTCGAATGCAATCATCACAAAGTAGTTTCTGAGAATGCTTCCATCTAGTTTTTATGTGAAGATTTTCCTTTTCCACCACAGGCCTCAAAGCCCTCCAAATGTCCACTTGCAGATTCTACAAAAAGAGGGTTTCAGAGCTGCTCTGTCAAGAGGAAAGTTCAATTCCTGAAGTGGAACACAAACATCACAAAGCAGTTTCTGAGAATGCTTCTGTTTAGTTTTTCTGTGAAGATGAACCCGTTTCCAACGAAATCTTCACAGAGGTCCACATATCCACTTGCAGAATCCAAAGAAAGAGAGTTTCAAAACTGCTCCATCAGCAGGATTGTTCACCTCTGTGAGTTGAATGCAGTCATCACAGGAAACATTCTGAGAATGCTTCTGTCTAGGTTTGATGTGAAGATATTCCCGTTTCGAAGGAAGGCCACAAAGTGGTCCAAATATCCACTTGCAGATTCTACAAAAAGAGTGTTTGGAAGCTGAACTATGAAAGCAAGGTTCAAGTCTGTGAGTTGAATGCAACATCACAAAGAAGTTTCTGAGAATGCTTCCGTGTAGTTTTGGGAAGTTTATCCCGTTTCCAACGAAATCCTCAGAGAGGTCCAAATATCCACTTGCAGATTCTACAGAAAGTGTGTTTGGAAACTGCTCCATCTAAAGGAATGTTCAGCTCTGTTAGTTCAATCCAATGATCAAAAAGAATTGTCTCTGAATGCTTCCGTTTGGTTTTTAGATGAAGTTATTTCCTTTACTACAGTAGGCCTCAAAGCAGTCCAAATCTCCAATCGCAGATTCTACAAAAAGATTGTTTACAACCTGCTCTATCTATAGGAATGTTCAACTCTGTGAGTCGAATGCAATCATCACAAAGTAGTTTCTGAGAATGCTTCCATCTAGTTTTTATGTGAAGATTTTCCTTTTCCACCACAGGCCTCAAAGCCCTCCAAATGTCCACTTGCAGATTCTAGAAAAAGAGGGTTTCAGAGCTGCTCTGTCAAGAGGAAAGTTCAATTCTTGAAGTGGAACACAAACATCACAAAGCAGTTTCTGAGAATGCTCCTGTTTAGTTTTTCTGTGAAGATGAACCCGTTTCCAACGAAATCTTCCCAGAGGTCCACATATCCACTTGCAGAATCCAAAGAAAGAGAGTTTCAAAACTGCTCCATCAGCAGGATTGTTCACCTCTGTGAGTTGAATGCAGTCATCACAGGAAACATTCTGAGAATGCTTCTGTCAAGGTTTGATGTGAAGATATACCCGTTTCGAAGGAAGGCCACAAAATGGTCCAAATATCCACTTGCAGATTCTACAAAAAGAGTGTTTGAAAGCTGAACTATGAAAGCAAGGTTCAACTCTGTGAGTTGAATGCAACCATCACGAAGAAGTTTCTCAGAATACTTCCGTGTAGTTCTGGGAAGTTTATCCCGTTTCCAACGAAATCCTCAGAGAAGTCCAAATATCCACTTGCAGATTCTACAGAAAGTGGGTTTGGCAACTGCTCCATCTAAAGGAATGTTCAGCTCTGTTAGTTCAATCCAATGATCACTAAGAATTGTCTGTGAATGCTTCCGTTTGGTTTTTAGATGAAGTTATTTCCTTTACTACAGTAGGCCTCAAAGCAGTCCAAATCTCCAATCGCAGATTCTACAAAAAGATTGTTTACAACCTGCTCTATCTATAGGAATGTTCAACTCTGTGAGTCGAATGCAATCATCACAAAGTAGTTTCTGAGAATGCTTCCATAAAGTTTTTATGTGAAGATTTTCCTTTACCACCACAGGCCTCAAAGCCCTCCAAATGTCCACTTGCAGATTCTAGAAAAAGAGGGTTTCAGAGCTGCTCTGTCAAGAGGAAAGTTCAATTCTTGAAGTGGAACACAAACATCACAAAGCAGTTTCTGAGAATGCTCCTGTTTAGTTTTTCTGTGAAGATGAACCCGTTTCCAACGAAATCTTCACAGAGGTCCACATATCAACTTGCAGAATCCAAAGAAAGAGAGTTTCAAAACTGCTCCATCAGCAGGATTGTTCACCTCTGTGAGTTGAATGCAGTCATCACAGGAAACATTCTGAGAATGCTTCTGTCTAGGTTTGATGTGAAGATATACCCGTTTCGAAGGAAGGCCACAAAGTGGTCCAAATATCCACTTGCAGATTCTACAAAAAGAGTGTTTGAAAGCTGAACTATGAAAGCAAGGTTCAACTCTGTGAGTTGAATGCAAACATCACAAAGAAGTTTCTCACAATGCTTCCGTGTAGTTCTGGGAAGTTTATCCCGTTTCCAACGAAATCCTCAGAGAGGTCCAAATATCCACTTGCAGATTCTACAGAAAGTGTGTTTGGAAACTGCGCCATCTAAAGGAATGTTCAGCTCTGTTAGTTCAATGCAATGATCACTAAGAATTGTCTGTGAATGCTTCCGTTTGGTTTTTAGATGAAGTTATTTCCTTTACTACAGTAGGCCTCAAAGCAGTCCAAATCTCCAATCGCATATTCTACAAAAAGATTGTTTACAACCTGCTCTATCTATAGGAATGTTCAACTCTTTGAGTCGAATGCAATCATCACAAAGTAGTTTCTGAGAATGATTCCATCTAGTTCTTATGTGAAGATTTTCCTTTTCCACCACAGGCCTCAAAGCCCTCCAAATGTCCACTTGCAGATTCTGGAAAAAGAGGGTTTCAGAGCTGCTCTGTCAAGAGGAAAGTGCAATTCTTGAAGTGGAACACAAACATCACAAAGCAGTTTCTGAGAATGCTTCTGTTTAGTTTTTCTGTGAAGATGAACCCGTTTCCAACGAAATCTTCACAGAGGTCCACATATCCACTTGCAGAATCCAAAGAAAGAGAGTTTCAAAACTGCTCCATCAGCAGGATTGTTCACCTCTGTGAGTTGAATGCAGTCATCACAGGAAACATTCTGAGAATGCTTCTGTCTAGGTTTGATGTGAAGATATACCCGTTTCGAAGGAAGGCCACAAAGTGGTCCAAATATCCACTTGCAGATTCTACAAAAAGAGTGTTTGAAAGCTGAACTATGAAAGCAAGGTTCAACTCTGTGAGTTGAATGCAAACATCACAAAGAAGTTTCTCAGAATGCTTCCGTGTAGTTCTGGGAAGTTTATCCCGTTTCCAACGAAATCCTCAGAGAGGTCCAAATATCCACTTGCAGATTCTACAGAAAGTGTGTTTGGAAACTGCTCCATCTAAAGGAATGTTCAGCTCTGTTAGTTCAATCCAATGATCACTAAGAATTGTCTGTGAATGCTTCCGTTTGGTTTTTAGATGCAGTTATTTCCTTTACTACAGTAGGCCTCAAAGCAGTCCAAATCTCCAATCGCAGATTCTACAAAAAGATTGTTTACAACCTGCTCTATCTATAGGAATGTTCAACTCTGTGAGTCGAATGCAATCATCACAAAGTAGTTTCTGAGAATGCTTCCATCTAGTTTTTATGTGAAGATTTTCCTTTTCCACCACAGGCCTCAAAGCCCTCCAAATGTCCACTTGCAGATTCTAGAAAAAGAGGGTTTCAGAGCTGCTCTGTCAAGAGGAAAGTTCAATTCTTGAAGTGGAACACAAACATCACAAAGTAGTTTCTGAGAATGCTTCTGTTTAGTTTTTCTGTGAAGATGAACCCGTTTCCAACGAAATCTTCACAGAGGTCCACATATCAACTTGCAGAATCCAAAGAAAGAGAGTTTCAAAAGTGCCCCATCAACAGGATTGTTCACCTCTCTGAGTTGAATGCAGTCATCACAGGAAACATTCTGAGAATGCTTCTGTCTAGGTTTGATGTGAAGATATACCCGTTTCGAAAGAAGGCCACAAAGTGGTCCAAATATCCACTTGCAGATTCTACAAAAAGAGTGTTTGAAAGCTGAACTATGAAAGCAAGGTTCAACTCTGTGAGTTGAATGCAAACATCACAAAGAAGTTTCTCACAATGCTTCCGTGTAGTTCTGAGAAGTTTATCCCGTTTCCAACGAAATCCTCAGAGAAGTCCAAATATCCACTTGCAGATTCTACAGAAAGTGTGTTTGGAAACTGCTCCATCTAAAGGAATGTTCAGCTCTGTTAGTTCAATCCAATGATCACTAAGAATTGTCTGTGAATGCTTCCGTTTGGTTTTTAGATGAAGTTATTTCCTTTACTACAGTAGGCCTCAAAGCAGTCCAAATCTCCAATCGCAGATTCTACAAAAACATTGTTTACAACCTGCTCTATCTATAGGAATGTTCAACTCTGTGAGTCGAATGCAATCATCACAAAGTAGTTTCTGAGAATGCTTCCATCTAGTTCTTATGTGAAGATTTTCCTTTTCCACCACAGGCCTCAAAGCCCTCCAAATGTCCACTTGCAGATTCTGGAAAAAGAGGGTTTCAGAGCTGCTCTGTCAAGAGGAAAGTGCAATTCTTGAAGTGGAACACAAACATCACAAAGCAGTTTCTGAGAATGCTTCTGTTTAGTTTTTCTGTGAAGATGAACCCGTTTCCAACGAAATCTTCACAGAGGTCCACATATCAACTTGCAGAATCCAAAGAAAGAGAGTTTCAAAACTGCTCCATCAACAGGATTGTTCACCTCTGTGAGTTGAATGCAGTCATCACAGGAAACATTCTGAGAATGCTTCTGTCTAGGTTTGATGTGAAGATATACCCGTTTCGAAGGAAGGCCACAAAGTGGTCCAAATATCCACTTGCAGATTCTACAAAAAGAGTGTTTGAAAGCTGAACTATGAAAGCAAGGTTCAACTCTGTGAGTTGAATGCAAACATCACAAAGAAGTTTCTCACAATGCTTCCGTGTAGTTCTGGGAAGTTTATCCCGTTTCCAACGAAATCCTCAGAGAAGTCCAAATATCCACTTGCAGATTCTACAGAAAGTGTGTTTGGAAACTGCTCCATCTAAAGGAATGTTCAGCTCTGTTAGTTCAATCCAATGATCACTAAGAATTGTCTGTGAATGCTTCCGTTTGGTTTTTAGATGAAGTTCTGTCCTTTACTACAGTAGGCCTCAAAGCAGTCCAAATCTCCAATCGCAGATTCTACAAAAAGATTGTTTACAACCTGCTCTATCTATAGGAATGTTCAACTCTGTGAGTCGAATGCAATCATCACAAAGTAGTTTCTGAGAATGCTTCCATCTAGTTTGTATGTGAAGATTTTCCTTTTCCACCACAGGCCTCAAAGCCCTCCAAATGTCCACTTGCAGATTCTAGAATAAGAGGGTTTCAGAGCTGCTCTGTCAAGAGGAAAGTTCAATTCCTGAAGTGGAACACAAACATCACAAAGCAGTTTCTGAGAATGCTTCTGTTTAGTTTTTCTGTGAAGATGAACCCGTTTCCAACGAAATCTTCACAGAGGTCCACATATCCACTTGCAGAATCCAAAGAAAGAGAGTTTCAAAACTGCTCCATCAGCAGGATTGTTCACCTCTGTGAGTTGAATGCAGTCATCACAGGAAACATTCTGAGAATGCTTCTGTGTAGGTTTGATGTGAAGATATACCCGTTTCGAAGGAAGGCCACAAAGTGGTCCAAATATCCACTTGCAGATTCTACAAAAAGAGTGTTTGAAAGCTGAACTATGAAAGCAAGGTTCAACTCTGTGAGTTGAATGCAAACATCACAAAGAAGTTTCTCACAATGCTTCCGTGTAGTTCTGGGAAGTTTATCCCGTTTCCAACGAAATCCTCAGAGAAGTCCAAATATCCACTTGCAGATTCTACAGAAAGTGTGTTTGGAAACTGCTCCATCTAAAGGAATGTTCAGCTCTGTTAGTTCAATCCAATGATCACTAAGAATTGTCTGTGAATGCTTCCGTTTGGTTTTTAGATGAAGTTATTTCCTTTACTACAGTAGGCCTCAAAGCAGTCCAAATCTCCAATCGCAGATTCTACAAAAAGATTGTTTACAACCTGCTCTATCTATAGGAATGTTCAACTCTGTGAGTCGAATGCAATCATCACAAACTAGTTTCTGAGAATGCTTCCATCTAGTTTTTATGTGAAGATTTTCCTTTTCCACCACAGGCCTCAAAGCCCTCCAAATGTCCACTTGCAGATTCTAGAAAAAGAGGGTTTCAGAGCTGCTCTGTCAAGAGGAAAGTTCAATTCTTGAAGTGGAACACAAACATCACAAAGTAGTTTCTGAGAATGCTCCTGTTTAGTTTTTCTGTGAAGATGAACCCGTTTCCAACGAAATCTTCACAGAGGTCCACATATCCACTTGCAGAATCCAAAGAAAGAGAGTTTCAAAACTGCTCCAACAGCAGGATTGTTCACCTCTGTGAGTTGAATGCAGTCATCACAGGAAACAATCTGAGAATGCTTCTGTCTATGTTTCATGTGAAGATATACCCGTTTCGAAGGAAGGCCACAAAGTGGTTCAAATATCCACTTGCAGATCCTACAAAAAGAGTGTTTGATAGCTGAACTATGAAAGCAAGGTTCAACTCTGTGAGTTGAATGCAAACATCACAAAGAAGTTTCTCACAATGCTTCCGTGTAGTTCTGGGAAGTTTATCCCGTTTCCAACGAAATCCTCAGAGAAGTCCAAATATCCACTTGCAGATTCTACAGAAAGTGTGTTTGGAAAATGCTCCATCTAAAGGAATGTTCAGCTCTGTTAGTTCAATCCAATGATCACTAAGAATTGTCTGTGAATGCTTCCGTTTGGTTTTTAGATGAAGTTATTTCCTTTACTACAGTAGGCCTCAAAGCAGTCCAAATCTCCAATCGCAGATTCTACAAAAAGATTGTTTACAACCTGCTCTATCTATAGGAATGTTCAACTCTGTGAGTCGAATGCAATCATCACAAAGTAGTTTCTGAGAATGCTTCCATCTAGTTTTTATGTGAAGAGTTTCCTTTTCCACCACAGGCCTCAAAGCCCTCCAAATGTCCACTTGCAGATTCTAGAAAAAGAGGGTTTCAGAGCTGCTCTGTCAAAAGGAAAGTTCAATTCTTGAAGTGGAACACAAACATCACAAAGCCGTTTCTGAGAATGCTTCTGTTTAGCTTTTCTGTGAAGATGAACCCGTTTCCAACGAAATCTTCACAGAGGTCCACATATCAACTTGCAGAATCCAAAGAAAGAGAGTTTCAAAAGTGCTCCATCAACAGGATTGTTCACCTCTGTGAGTTGAATGCAGTCATCACAGGAAACATTCTGAGAATGCTTCTGTCAAGGTTTGATGTGAAGATATGCCCGTTTCGAAGGAAGGCCACAAATTGGTCCAAATATCCACTTGCAGATTCTACAAAAAGAGTGTTTGAAAGCTGAACTATGAAAGCAAGCTTCAACTCTGTGAGTTGAATGCAACCATCACAAAGAAGTTTCTTAGAATACTTCCGTGTAGTTCTGGGAAGTTTATCCCGTTTCCAACGAAATCCTCAGAGAGGTCCAAATATCCACTTGCAGATTCTACAGAAAGTGTGTTTGGAAACTGCGCCATCTAAGGGAATGTTCAGCTCTGTTAGTTCAATCCAATGATCACTAAGAATTGTCTGTGAATGCTTCCGTTTGGTTTTTAGATGAAGTTATTTCCTTTACTACAGTAGGCCTCAAAGCAGTCCAAATCTCCAATCGCAGATTCTACAAAAAGATTGTTTACAACCTGCTCTATGTATAGGAATGTTCAACTCTGTGAGTCGAATGCAATCATCACAAAGTAGTTTCTGAGAATGCTTCCATCTAGTTTTTATGTGAAGATTTTCCTTTTCCACCACAGGCCTCTAAGCCCTCAAAATGCCCACCTGCAGATTCTAGAAAAAGAGGGTTTCAGAGCTGCTCTGTCAAGAGGAAAGTTCAATTCCTGAAGTGGAACACAAACATCACAAAGCAGTTTCTGAGAATGCTTCTGTTTAGTTTTTCTGTGAAGATGAACCCGTTTCCAACGAAATCTTCACAGAGGTCCACATATCCACTTGCAGAATCCAAAGAAAGAGAGTTTCAAAACTGCTCCATCAGCAGGATTGTTCACCTCTGTGAGTTGAATGCAGTCATCACAGGAAACATTCTGAGAATGCTTCTGTCTAGGTTTGATGTGAAGATATAACCGTTTCGAAGGAAGGCCACAAATTGGTCCAAATATCCACTTGCAGATTCCACAAAAAGAGTGTTTGAAAGCTGAACTATGAAAGCAAGGTTCAACTCTGTGAGTTGAATGCAAACATCACAAAGAAGTTTCTCACAATGCTTCCGTGTAGTTCTGGGAAGTTTATCCCGTTTCCAACGAAATCCTCAGAGAAGTCCAAATATCCACTTGCAGATTCTTCAGAAAGTGGGTTTGGAAACTGCTCCATCTAAAGGAATGTTCAGCTCTGTTAGTTCAATCCAATGATCACTAAGAATTGTCTGTGAATGCTTCCGTTTGGTTTTTAGATGAAGTTATTTCCTTTACTATAGTAGGCCTCAAAGCAGTCCAAATCTCCAATCGCAGATTCTACAAAAAGATTGTTTACAACCTGCTCTATCTATAGGAATGTTCAACTCTGTGAGTCGAATGCAATCATCACAAAGTAGTTTCTGAGAATGCTTCCATCTAGTTTTTATGTGAAGATTTTCCTTTTCCACCACAGGCCTCAAACCCCTCCAAATGTCCACTTGCAGATTCTAGAATAAGAGGGTTTCAGAGCTGCTCTGTCAAGAGGAAAGTTCAATTCCTGAAGTGGAACACAAACATCACAAAGCAGTTTCTGAGAATGCTCCTGTTTAGTTTTTCTGTGAAGATGAACCCGTTTCCAACGAAATCTTCACAGAGGTCCACATATCCACTTGCAGAATCCAAAGAAAGGGAGTTTCAAAACTGCTCCATCAGCAGGATTGTTCACCTCTGTGAGTTGAATGCAGTCATCACAGGAAACATTCTGAGAATGCTTCTTTCTAGGTTTGATGTGAAGATATACCCGTTTCGAAGGAAGGCCACAAAGTGGTCCAAATATCCACTTGCAGATTCTACAAAAAGAGTGTTTGAAAGCTGAACTATGAAAGCAAGGTTCAACTCTGTGAGTTGAATGCAAACATCACAAAGAAGTTTCTCAGCATGCTTCCGTGTAGTTCTGGGAAGTTTATCCCGTTTCCAACGAAATCCTCAGAGAGGTCCAAATATCCACTTGCAGACTCTACAGAAAGTGTGTTTGGAAACTGCGCCATCTAAAGGAATGTTCAGCTCTGTTAGTTCAATGCAATGATCAATAAGAATTGTCTGTGAATGCTTCCGTTTGGTTTTTAGATGTAGTTATTTCCTTTACTACAGTTGGCCTCAAAGCAGTCCAAATCTCCAATCGCAGATTCTACAAAAAGATTGTTTACAACCTGCTCTATCTATAGGAATGTTCAACTCTGTGAGTCGAATGCAATCATCACAAAGTAGTTTCTGAGAATGCTTTCATCTAGTTTTTTATGTGAAGATTTTCCTTTTCCACCACAGGCCTCAAAGCCCTCCAAATGTCAACTTGCAGATTCTAGAAAAAGAGGGTTTCAGAGCTGCTCTGTCAAGAGGAAAGTTCAATTCCTGAAGTGGAACACAAACATCACAAAGCAGTTTCTGAGAATGCTTCTGTTTAGTTTTTCTGTGAAGATGAACCCGTTTCCAACGAAATCTTCACAGAGGTCCACATATCCACTTGCAGAATCCAAAGAAAGAGAGTTTCAAAACTGCTCCATCAGCAGGATTGTTCACCTCTGTGAGTTGAATGCAGTCATCACAGGAAACATTCTGAGAATGCTTCTGTCTAGGTTTGATGTGAAGATATACCCGTTTCGAAGGAAGGCCACAAAGTGGTCCAAATATCCACTTGCAGACCCTACAAAAAGAGTGTTTGATAGCTGAACTATGAAAGCAAGGTTCAACTCTGTGAGTTGAATGCAAACATCACAAAGAAGTTTCTCACAATGCTTCCGTGTAGTTCTGGGAAGTTTATCCCGTTTCCAACGAAATCCTCAGAGAAGTCCAAATATCCACTTGCAGATTCTACAGAAAGTGTGTTTGGAAACTGCTCCATCTAAAGGAATGTTCAGCTCTGTTAGTTCAATGCAATGATCACTAAGAATTGTCTGTGAATGCTTCCGTTTGGTTTTTAGATGAAGTTATTTCCTTTACTACAGTAGGCCTCAAAGCAGTCCAAATCTCCAATCGCAGATTCTACAAAAAGATTGTTTACAACCTGCTCTATCTATAGGAATGTTCAACTCTGTGAGTCGAATGCAATCATCACAAAGTAGTTTCTGAGAATGCTTCTATCTAGGTTTTATGTGAAGATATTTCCTTTTCCACCACAGGCCTCAAAGTCCTCCAAATGTCCACTTGCAGATTCTAGAAAAAGAGGGTTTCAGAGCTGTTCTGTCAAGAGGAAAGTTCAATTCTTGAAGTGGAATACAAACATCACAAAGCAGTTTCTGAGAATGCTTCTGTTTAGTTTTTCTGTGAAGATGAACCCGTTTCCAACGAAATCTTCACAGAGGTCCACATATCCACTTGCAGAATCCAAAGAAAGAGAGTTTCAAAACTGCTCCATCAGCA
Organism: Homo sapiens; assembly: GCF_000001405.40. Taxonomy (NCBI): domain Eukaryota; kingdom Metazoa; phylum Chordata; class Mammalia; order Primates; family Hominidae; genus Homo; species Homo sapiens. Next base: position 53,704,101 of record NC_000011.10, on the reverse strand, counting down.
GGATTGTTCACCTCTGTGAGTTGAATGCAGTCATCACAGGAAACATTCTGAGAATGCTTCTGTCTAGGTTTGATGTGAAGATATACCCGTTTCGAAGGAAGGCCACAAAGTGGTCCAAATATCCACTTGCAGATTCTACAAATAGAGTGTTTGAAAGCTGAACTATGAAAGGAAGGTTCAACTCTGTGAGTTGAATGCAAAAGTGAGAAATATGTTTCTGAGAATGCTACCGTGTAGTTCTGGGAAGTTTATCCCGTTTCCAAAGAAATCCTCAGAGAGGTCCAAATATCCAGTGGCAGATTCTACAGAAAGTGTGTTTGGAAACTGCTCCATCTAAAGGAATGTTCAGCTCTGTTAGTTCAATCCAATGATCACTAAGAATTTTCTGTGAATGCTTCCGTTTGGTTTTTACATGAAGTTATTTCCTTTACTACAGTAGGCCTCAATGCAGTCCAAATCTCCAATCGCAGATTCTACAAAAAGATTGTTTACAACCTGCTCTATCTATAGGAATGTTCAACTCTGTGAGTCGAATGCAATCATCACAAAGTAGTTTCTGAGAATGCTTCCATCTAGTTTTTATGTGAAGATTTTCCTTTTCCACCACAGGCCTCAAAGCCCTCCAAATGTCCACTTGCAGATTCTAGAAAAAGAGGGTTTCAGAGCTGCTCTGTCAAGAGGAAAGTTCAATTCTTGAAGTGGAACACAAACATCACAAAGCAGTTTCTGAGAATGTTTCTGTTTAGTTTTTCTGTGAAGATAAACCCGTTTCCAACGAAATCTTCACAGAGGTCCACATATCCACTTGCAGAATCCAAAGAAAGAGAGTTTCAAAACTGCTCCATCAGCAGGATTGTTCACCTCTGTGAGTTGAATGCAGTCATCACAGGAAACATTCTGAGAATGCTTCTGTCTAGGTTTGATGTGAAGATATACCCGTTTCGAAGGAAGGCCAGAAAGTGGTCCAAATATCCACTTGCAGATTCTACAAAAAGAGTGTTTGAAAGCTGAACTATGAAAGCAAGGTTCAACTCTGTGAGTTGAATGCAAACATCACAAAGAAGTTTCTCAGAATGCTTCCGTGTAGTTCTGGGAAGTTTATCCCGTTTCCAACGAAATCCTCAGAGAAGTCCAAATATCCACTTGCAGATTCTACAGAAAGTGTGTTTGGAAACTGCTCCATCTAAAGGAATGTTCAGCTCTGTTAGTTCAATGCAATGATCACTAAGAATTGTCTGTGAATGCTTCAGTTTGGTTTTTAGATGAAGTTATTTCCTTTACTACAGTAGGCCTCAAAGCAGTCCAAATCTCCAATCGCAGATTCTACAAAAAGATTGTTTACAACCTACTCTATCTATAGGAATGTTCAACTCTGTGAGTCGAAAGCAATCAACACAAAGTAGTTTCTGAGAATGCTTCCATCTAGTTTTTATGTGAAGATTTTCCTTTTCCACCACAGGCCTCAAAGCCCTCCAAATGTCCACTTGCAGATTCTAGAATAAGAGGGTTTCAGAGCTGCTCTGTCAAGAGGAAAGTTCAATTCCTGAAGTGGAACACAAACATCACAAAGCAGTTTCTGAGAATGCTTCTGTTTAGTTTTTCTGTGAAGATGAACCCGTTTCCAACGAAATCTTCACAGAGGTCCAGATATCCACTTGCAGAATCCAAAGAAAGAGAGTTTCAAAACTGCTCCATCAGCAGGATTGTTCACCTCTGTGAGTTGAATGCAGTCATCACAGGAAACATTCTGAGAATGCTTCTGTCTAGGTTTGATGTGAAGATATACCCTTTTCGAAAGAAGGCCACAAAGTGGTCCAAATATCCACTTGCAGATTCTACAAAAAGAGTGTTTGAAAGCTGAACTTTGAAAGCAAGGTTCAAATCTGTGAGTTGAATGCAAACATCACAAAGAAGTTTCTCAGAATGCTTCCGTGTACTTCTGGGAAGTTTATCCCGTTTCCAACGAAATCCTCAGAGAGGTCCAAATATCCACTTGCAGATTCTACAGAAAGTGTGTTTGGAAACTGCGCCATCTAAGGGAATGTTCAGCTCTGTTAGTTCAATCCAATGATCACTAAGAATTGTCTGTGAATGTCTCCGTTTGGTTTTTAGATGAAGTTATTTCCTTTACTACAGTAGGCCTCAAAGCAGTCCAAATCTCCAGTCGCAGATTCTACAAAAAGATTGTTTACAACCTGCTCTATCTATAGGAATGTTCAACTCTGTGAGTCGAATGCAATCATCACAAAGTGGTTTCTGAGAATGCTTCCATCTAGTTTTTATGTGAAGATTTTCCTTTTCCACCACAGGCCTCAAAGCCCTCCAAATGTCCAGTTGCAGATTCTAGAATAAGAGGATTTCAGAGCTGCTCTGTCAAGAGGAAAGTTCAATTCCTGAAGTGGAACACAAACATCACAAAGCAGTTTCTGAGAATGCTCCTGTTTAGTTTTTCTGTGAAGATGAACCCGTTTCCAAAGAAATCTTCACAGAGGTCCACATATCCACTTGCAGAATCCAAAGAAAGAGAGTTTCAAAACTGCTCCATCAGCAGGATTGTTCACCTCTGTGAGTTGAATGCAGTCATCACAGGAAACATTCTGAGAATGCTTCTGTCTAGATTTGATGTGAAGATATACCCGTTTCGAAGGAAGGCCACAAAGTTGTCCAAATATCCACTTGCAGATTCTACAAAAAGAGTGTTTGAAAGCTGAACTATGAAAGCAAGGTTCAACTCTGTGAGTTGAATGCAAACATCACAAATAAGTTTCTCAGCATGCTTCCGTGTAGTTCTGGGAAGTTTATCCCGTTTCCAACGAAATCCTCAGAGAAGTCCAAATATCCACTTGCAGATTCTACAGAAAGTGTGTTTGGAAACTGCGCCATCTAAAGGAATGTTCAGCTCTGTTAGTTCAATGCAATGATCACTAAGAATTGTCTGTGAATGCTTCCGTTTGGTTTTTAGATGAAGTTATTTCCTTTACTACAGTAGGCCTCAAAGCAGTCCAAATCTCCAATCGCAGATTCTACAAAAAGATTGTTTACAACCTGCTGTATCTATAGGAATGTTCAACTCTGTGAGTCGAATGCAATCATCACAAAGTAGTTTCTGAGAATGCTTCTATCTAGTTTTTATGTGAAGATTTTCCTTTTCCACCACAGGCCTCAAAGCCCTCCAAATGTCCACTTGCAGATTCTAGAAAAAGAGGGTTTCAGAGCTGCTCTGTCAAGAGGAAAGTTCAATTCCTGAAGTGGAACAAAAACATCACAAAGCAGTTTCTGAGAATGCTCCTGTTTAGTTTTTCTGTGAAGATGAACCCGTTTCCAACGAAATCTTCACAGAGGTCCACATATCCACTTGCAGAATCCAAAGAAAGAGAGTTTCAAAACTGCTCCATCAGCAGGATTGTTCACCTCTGTGAGTTGAATGCAGTCATCACAGGAAACATTCTGAGAATGCTTCTGTCTAGGTTTGATGTGAAGATATACCCGTTTCGAAGGAAGGCCACAAAGTGGTCCAAATATCCACTTGCAGATTCTACAAAAAGAGTGTTTGAAAGCTGAACTATGAAAGCAAGGTTCAACTCTGTGAGTTGAATGCAAACATCACAAAGAAGTTTCTCAGCATGCTTCCGTGTAGTTCTGGGAAGTTTATCCCGTTTCCAACGAAATCCTCAGAGAGGTCCAAATATCCACTTGCAGATTCTACAGAAAGTGTGTTTGGAAACTGCGCCATCTAAAGGAATGTTCAGCTCTGTTAGTTCAATGCAATGATCACTAAGAATTGTCTGTGAATGCTTCCGTTTGGTTTTTAGGTGAAGTTATTTCCTTTACTACAGTAGGCCTCAAAGCAGTCCAAATCTCCAATCGCAGATTCTACAAAAAGATTTCTTACAACCTGCTCAATCTATAGGAATGTTCAACTCTGTGAGTCGAATGCAATCATCACAAAGTAGTTTCTGAGAATGCTTCCATCTAGTTTTTATGTGAAGATTTTCCTTTTGCACCACAGGCCTCAAAGCCCTCCAAATGTCCACTTGCAGATTCTAGAAAAAGAGGGTTTCAGAGCTGCTCTGTCAAGAGGAAAGTTAAATTCTTGAAGTGGAACACAAACATCACAAAGCAGTTTCTGAGAATGCTTCTGTTTAGTTTTTCTGTGAAGATGAACCCGTTTCCAACGAAATCTTCACAGAGGTCCTCATATCAACTTGCAGAATCCAAAGAAAGAGAGTTTCAAAAGTGCTCCATCAACAGGATTGTTCACCTCTGTGAGTTGAATGCAGTCATCACAGGAAACATTCTGAGAATGCTTCTGTCTAGGTTTGATGTGAAGATATACCCGTTTCGAAGGAAGGCCACAAAGTGGTCCAAATATCCACTTGCAGATTCTACAAAAAGAGTGTTTGAAAGCTGAACTATGAAAGCAAGGTTCAACTCTGTGAGTTGAATGCAAACATCACAAAGAAGTTTCTCAGAATGCTTCCGTGTAGTTCTGGGAAGTTTATCCCGTTTCCAACGAAATCCTCAGAGAGGTCCAAATATCCACTTGCAGATTCTACAGAAAGTGTGTTTGGAAACTGCTCCATCTAAAGGAATGTTCAGCTCTGTTAGTTCAATCCAATGATCACAAAGAATTGTCTCTGAATGCTTCCGTTTGGTTTTTAGATGAAGTTATTTCCTTTACTACAGTAGGCCTCAAAGCAGTCCAAATCTCCAATCGCAGATTCTACAAAAAGATTGTTTACAACCTGCTCTATCTATAGGAATGTTCAACTCTGTGAGTCGAATGCAATCATCACAAAGTAGTTTCTGAGAATGCTTCCATCTAGTTTTTATGTGAAGATTTTCCTTTTCCACCACAGGCCTCAAAGCCCTCCAAATGTCCACTTGCAGATTCTAGAAAAAGAGGGTTTCAGAGCTGCTCTGTCAAGAGGAAAGTTCAATTCTTGAAGTGGAACACAAACATCACAAAGTAGTTTCTGAGAATGCTTCTGTTTAGTTTTTCTGTGAAGATGAACCCGTTTCCAACGAAATCTTCACAGAGGTCCACATATCAACTTGCAGAATCCAAAGAAAGAGAGTTTCAAAAGTGCTCCATCAACAGGATTGTTCACCTCTGTGAGTTGAATGCAGTCATCACAGGAAACATTCTGAGAATGCTTCTGTCTAGGTTTGATGTGAAGATATACCCGTTCGAAGGAAGGCCACAAAGTGGTCCAAATATCCACTTGCAGATTCTACAAAAAGAGTGTTTGAAAGCTGAACTATGAAAGCAAGGTTCAACTCTGTGAGTTGAATGCAAACATCACAAAGAAGTTTCTCAGAATGCTTCCGTGTAGTTCTGGGAAGTTTAGCCCGTTTCCAACGAAATCCTCAGAGAGGTCCAAATATCCACTTGCAGATTCTACAGAAAGTGTGTTTGGAAACTGCTCCATCTAAAGGAATGTTCAGCTCTGTTAGTTCAATCCAATGATCACTAAGAATTGTCTGTGAATGCTTCCGTTTGGTTTTTAGATGAAGTTATTTCCTTTACTACACTAGGCCTCAAAGCAGTCCAAATCTGCAATCGCAGATTCTACAAAAAGATTGTTTTCAACCTGCTCTATCTATAGGAATGTTCAACTCTGTGAGTCGAATGCAATCATCACAAAGTAGTTTCTGAGAATGCTTCCATCTAGTTTTTATGTGAAGATTTTCCTTTTCCACCACAGGCCTCAAAGCCCTCCAAATGTCCACTTGCAGATTCTAGAAAAAGAGGGTTTCAGAGCTGCTCTATCAAGAGGAAAGTTCAATTCTTGAAGTGGAACACAAACATCACAAAGTAGTTTCTGAGAATGCTTCTGTTTAGTTTTTCTGTGAAGATGAACCCGTTTCCAACGAAATCTTCACAGAGGTCCACATATGAACTTGCAGAATCCAAAGAACGAGAGTTTCAAAAGTGCTCCATCAACAGGATTGTTCACCTCTGTGAGTTGAATGCAGTCATCACAGGAAACATTCTGAGAATGCTTCTGTCTAGGTTTGATGTGAAGATATACCCGTTTGGAAGGAAGGCCACAAAGTGGTCCAAATATCCACTTGCAGATTCTACAAAAAGAGTGATTGAAAGCTGAACTATGAAAGCAAGTTTCAACTCTGTGAGTTGAATGCAAACATCACAAAGAAGTTTCTCAGAATGCTTCCGTGTAGTTCTGGGAAGTTTATCCCGTTTCCAACGAAATCCTCAGAGAAGTCCAAATATCCACTTGCAGATTCTACAGAAAGTGTGTTTGGAAACTGCGCCATCTAAAGGAATGTTCAGCTCTGTTAGTTCAATGCAATGATCACTAAGAATTGTCTGTGAATGCTTCCGTTTGGTTTTTAGATGAAGTTATTTCCTTTACTACAGTAGGCCTCAAAGCAGTCCAAATCTCCAATCGCAGATTCTACAAAAAGATTGTTTACAACCTGCTCTATCTATAGGAATGTTCAACTCTGTGAGTCGAATGCAATCATCACAAAGTAGTTTCTGAGAATGCTTCCATCTAGTTTGTATGGGAAGATTTTCCTTTTCCACCACAGGCCTCAAAGCCCTCCAAATGTCCACTTGCAGATTCTAGAATAAGAGGGTTTCAGAGCTGCTCTGTCAAGAGGAAAGTTCAGTTCCTGAAGTGGAACGCAAACATCACAAAGCAGTTTCTGAGAATGCTCCTGTTTAGTTTTTCTGTGAAGATGAACCCGTTTCCAACGAAATCTTCACAGAGGTCCACATATCCACTTGCAGAATCCAAAGAAAGAGAGTTTCAAAACTGCTCCATCAGCAGGATTGTTCACCTCTGTGAGTTGAATGCAGTCATCACAGGAAACATTCTGAGAATGCTTCTGTCTAGGTTTGATGTGAAGATATACCCGTTTCGAAGGAAGGCCCCAAAGTGGTCCAAATATCCACTTGCAGATTCTACAAAAAGAGTGTTTGAAAGCTGAACCATGAAAGCAAGGTTCAACTCTGTGAGTTGAATGCAAACATCACAAAGAAGTTTCTCAGAATGCTTCCGTGTATTTCTGGGAAATTTATCCCATTTCCAACGAAATCCTCAGAGAGGTCCAAATATCCAATTGCAGATTCTACAGAAAGTGTGTTTGGAAACTGCTCCATCTAAAGGAATGTTCAGCTCTGTTAGTTCAATCCAATGATCACTAAGAATTGTCTGTGAATGCTTCCGTTTGGTTTTTAGATGAAGTTATTTCCTTTACTACAGTAGGCCTCAAAGCAATCCAAATCTCCAATCGCAGATTCTACAAAAACATTGTTTACAACCTGCTCTATCTATAGGAATGTTCAACTGCTGTGAGTCGAATGCAATCATCACAAAGTAGTTTGCTGAGAATGCTTCCATCTAGTTTTTATGTGAAGATTTTCCTTTTCCACCACAGGCCTCAAAGCCCTCCAAATGTCCACTTGCAGATTCTAGAATAAGAGGGTTTCAGAGCTGCTCTGTCAAGAGGAAAGTTCAATTCCTGAAGTGGAACACAAACATCACAAAGCAGTTTCTGAGAATGCTTCTGTTTAGTTTTTCTGTGAAGATGAACCCGTTTCCAACGAAATCTTCACAGAGGTCCACATATCAACTTGCAGAATCCAAAGAAAGAGAGTTTCAAAAGTGCTCCATCAACAGGATTGTTCACCTCTGTGAGTTGAATGCAGTCATCACAGGAAACATTCTGAGAATGCTTCTGTCTAGGTTTGATGTGAAGATATACCCGTTTCGAAGGAAGGCCACAAAGTGGTCCAAATATCCACTTGCAGATTCTACAAAAAGAGTGTTTGAAAGCTGAACTATGAAAGCAACGTTCAACTCTGTGAGTTGAATGCAAACATCACAAAGAAGTTTCTCACAATGCTTCCGTGTAGTTCTGGGAAGTTTATCCCGTTTCCAACGAAATCCTCAGAGAAGTCCAAATATCCACTTGCAGATTCTACAGAAAGTGTGTTTGGAAACTGCGCCATCTAAAGCAATGTTCAGCTCTGTTAGTTCAATGCAATGATCACTAAGAATTGTCTGTGAATGCTTCCGTTTGGTTTTTAGATGAAGTTATTTCCTTTACTACAGTAGGCCTCAAAGCAGTCCAAATCTCCAATCGCAGATTCTACAAAAAGATTGTTTACAACCTGCTCTATCTATAGGAATGTTCAACTCTGTGAGTCGAATGCAATCATCACAAAGTAGTTTCTGAGAATGCTTCCATCTAGTTTTTATGGGAAGATTTTCCTTTTCCACCACAGGCCTCAAAGCCCTCCAAATGTCCACTTGCAGATTCTAGAAAAAGAGGGTTTCAGAGCTGCTCTGTCAAGAGGAAAGTTCAATTCTTGAAGTGGAACACAAACATCACAAAGCAGTTTCTGAGAATGCTTCTGTTAAGTTTTTCTGTGAAGATGAACCCGTTTCCAACGAAATCTTCACAGAGGTCCACATATCCCCTTGCAGAATCCAAAGAAGGTGAGTTTCAAAACTGCTCCATCAGCAGGATTGTTCACCTCTGTGAGTTGAATGCAGTCATCACAGGAAACATTCTGAGAATGCTTCTGTCTAGGTTTGATGTGAAGATATACCCGTTTCGAAGGAAGGCCACAAAGTGGTCCAAATATCCACTTGCAGATTCTACAAAAAGAGTGTTTGAAAGCTGAACTATGAAAGCAAGGTTCAACTCTGTGAGTTGAATGCAAACATCACAAAGAAGTTTCTCACAATGCTTCCGTGTAGTTCTGAGAAGTTTATCCCGTTTCCAACGAAATCCTCAGAGAAGTCCAAATATCCACTTTCAGATTCTACAGAAAGTGTGTTTGGAAACTGCTCCATCTAAAGGAATGTTCAGCTCTGTTAGTTCAATGCAATGATCACTAAGAATTGTCTGTGAATGCTTCCGTTTGGTTTTTAGATGAAGTTATTTCCTTTACTACAGTAGGCCTCATAGCAGTCCAAATCTCCAATCGCAGATTCTACAAAAAGATTGTTTACAACCTGCTCTATCTATAGGAATGTTCAACTCTGTGAGTCGAATGCAATCATCACAAAGTAGTTTCTGAGAATGCTTCCATCTAGTTTTTATGTGAAGATTTTCCTTTTCCACCACAGGCCTCAAAGCCCTCCAAATGTCCACTTGCAGATTCTAGAAAAAGAGGGTTTCAGAGCTGCTCTGTCAAGAGGAAAGTTCAATTCTTGAAGTGGAACACAAACATCACAAAGCAGTTTCTGAGAATGCTCCTGTTTAGTTTTTCTGTGAAGATGAACCCGTTTCCAACGAAATCTTCACAGAGGTCCACATATCCACTTGCAGAATCCAAAGAAAGAGAGTTTCAAAACTGCTCCATCAGCAGGATTGTTCACCTCTGTGAGTTGAATGCAGTCATCACAGGAAACATTCTGAGAATGCTTCTGTCTAGGTTTGACGTGAACATATACCCGTTTCGAAGGAAGGCCACAAAGTGGTCCAAATATCCACTTGCAGATTCTACAAAAAGAGGGTTTGAAAGCTGAACTATGAAAGCAAGGTTCAACTCTGTGAGTTGAATGCAAACATCACAAAGAAGTTTCTCACAATGCTTCCGTGTAGTTCTGGGAAGTTTATCTCGTTTCCAACGAAATCCTCAGAGAGGTCCAAATATCCACTTGCAGATTCAACAGAAAGTGTGTTTGGAAACTGCGCCACCTAAAGGAATGTTCAACTCTGTTAGTTCAATGCAATGATCACTAAGAATTGTCTGTGAATGCTTCCGTTTGGTTTTTAGATGAAGTTATTTCCTTTACTACAGTAGGCCTCAAAGCAGTCCAAATCTCCAATCGCAGATTCTACAAAAAGATTGTTTACAACCTGCTCTATCTATAGGAATGTTCAACTCTGTGAGTCGAAAGCCATCATCACAAAGTAGTTTCTGAGAATGCTTCCATCTAGTTTTTATGTGAAGATTTTCCTTTTCCACCACAGGCCTCAAAGCCCTCCAAATGTCCACTTGCAGATTCTAGAAAAAGAGGGTTTCAGAGCTGCTCTGTCAAGAGGAAAGTTCAATTCTTGAAGTGGAACACAAACATCACAAAGCAGTTTCTGAGAATGCTTCTGTTTAGTTTTTCTGTGAAGATGAACCCGTTTCCAACGAAATCTTCACAGAGTTCCACATATCCACTTGCAGAATCCAAAGAAAGAGAGTTTCAAAACTGCTCCATCAGCAGGATTGTTCACCTCTGTGAGTTGAATGCAGTCATCACAGGAAACATTCTGAGAATGCTTCTGTCTAGGTTTGATGTGAAGATATACCCGTTTCGAAGGAAGGCCACAAAGTGGTCCAAATATCCACTTGCAGATTCTACAAAAAGAGTGTTTGAAAGCTGAACTATGAAAGCAAGGTTCAACTCTGTGAGTTGAATGCAAACATCACAAAGAAGTTTCTCAGAATGCTTCCCTGTAGTTCTGGGAAGTTTATCCCGTTTCCAACGAAATCCTCAGAGAAGTCCAAATATCCACTTGCAGATTCTACAGAAAGTGTGTTTGGAAACTGCTCCATCTAAAGGAATGTTCAGCTCTGTTAGTTCAATCCAATGATCACTAAGAATTGTCTATGAATGCTTCCGTTTGGTTTTTAGATGAAGTTATTTCCTTTACTACAGTAGGCCTCAAAGCAGTCCAAATGTCCAATCGCAGATTCTACAAAAAGATTGTTTACAACCTGCTCTATCTATAGGAATGTTCAACTCTGTGAGTCGAATGCAATCATCACAAAGTAGTTTCTGAGAATGCTTCCATCTAGTTGTTATGTGAAGATTTTCCTTTTCCACCAAAGGCCTCAAAGCCCTCCAAATGTCCACTTGCAGATTCTAGAAAAAGAGGGTTTCAGAGCTGCTCTGTCAAGAGGAAAGTTCAATTCTTGAAGTGGAACACAAACATCACAAAGCAGTTTCTGAGAATGCTTCTGTTTAGTTTTTCTGTGAAGATGAACCCGTTTCCAACGAAATCTTCACAGAGGTCCACATATCCACTTGCAGAAACCAAAGAAAGAGAGTTTCAAAACTGCTCCATCAACAGGATTGTTCACCTCTGTGAGTTGAATGCAGTCATCACAGGAAACATTCTGAGAATGCTTCTGTCTAGGTTTGATGTGAAGATATACCCGTTTCGAAGGAAGGCCACAAAGTGGTCCAAATATCCACTTGCAGATTCTACAAAAAGAGTGTTTGAAAGCTGAACTATGAAAGCAAGGTTCAACTCTGTGAGTTGAATGAAAACATCACAAAGAAGTTTCTCACAATGCTTCCGTGTAGTTCTGGGAAGTTTATCCCGTTTCCAACGAAATCCTCAGAGAAGTCCAAATATCCACTTGCAGATTCTACAGAAAGTGTGTTTGGAAACTGCTCCATCTAAAGGAATGTTCAGCTCTGTTAGTTCAATCCAATGATCACTAAGAATTGTCTGTGAATGCTTCCGTTTGGTTTTTAGATGAAGTTATTTCCTTTACTACAGTAGGCCTCAAAGCAGTCCAAATCTCCAATCGCAGATTCTACAAAAAGATTGTTTGCAACCTGCTCTATCTATAGGAATGTTCAACTCTGTGAGTCGAATGCAATCATCACAAAGTAGTTTCTGAGAATGCTTCCATCTAGTTTTTATGTGAAGATTTTCCTTTTCCACCACAGGCCTCAAAGCCCTCCAAATGTCCACTTGCAGATTCTAGAAAAAGAGGGTTTCAGAGCTGCTCTGTCAAGAGGAAAGTTCAATTCTTGAAGTGGAACACAAACATCACAAAGCAGTTTCTGAGAATGCTCCTGTTTAGTTTTTCTGTGAAGATGAACCCTTTTCCAACGAAATCTTCACAGAGGTCCACATATCCACATGCAGAATCCAAAGAAAGAGAGTTTCAAAACTGCTCCATCAGCAGGATTGTTCACCTCTGTGAGTTGAATGCAGTCATCACAGGAAACATTCTGAGAATGCTTCTGTCTAGGTTTGATGTGAAGATATACCCGTTTCGAAGGAAGGCCACAAAGTGGTCCAAATATCCACTTGCAGATTCTACAAAAAGAGTGTTTGAAAGCTGAACTATGAAAGCAAGGTTCAACTCTGTGAGTTGAATGCAAACATCACAAAGAAGTTTCTCAGAATGCTTCCGTGTAGTTCTGGGAAGTTTATCCCGTTTCCAACGAAATCCTCAGAGAGGTCCAAATATCCACTTGCAGATTGTACAGAAAGTGAGTTTGGAAACTGCGCCATCTAAAGGAATGTTCAGCTCTGTTAGTTCAATCCAATGATCACTAAGAATTGTCTGTGAATACTTCCGTTTGGTTTTTAGATGAAGTTATTTCCTTTACTACAGTAGGCCTCAAAGCAGTCCAAATCTCCAATCTCAGATTCTACAAAAAGATTGTTTACAACCTGCTCTATCTATAGGAATGTTCAACTCTGTGAGTCGAATGCAATCATCACAAAGTAGTTTCTGAGAATGCTTCCATCTAGTTTTTATGTGAAGATTTTCCTTTTCCACCACAGGCCTCAAAGCCCTCCAAATGTCCACTTGCAGATTCTAGAATAAGAGGATTTCAGAGCTGCTCTGTCAAGAGGAAAGTTCAATTCCTGAAGTGGAACACAAACATCACAAAGCAGTTTCTGAGAATGTTCCTGTTTAGTTTTTCTGTGAAGATGAGCACGTTTCCAACGAAATCTTCACAGAGGTCCACATATCCACTTGCAGAATCCAAAGAAAGAGAGTTTCAAAACTGCTCCATCAGCAGGATTGTTCACCTCTGTGAGTTGAATGCAGTCATCACAGGAAACATTCTGAGAATGCTTCTGTCTAGGTTTGATGTGAAGATATACCCGTTTCGAAGGAAGGCCACAAAGTGGTCCAAATATCCACTTGCAGATTCTACAAAAAGAGTGTTTGAAAGCTGAACTATGAAAGCAAGGTTCAACTCTGTGAGTTGAATGCAAACATCACAAAGATGTTTCTCACAATGCTTCCGTGTAGTTCTGGGAAGTTTATCCCGTTTCCAACGAAATCCTCAGAGAAGTCCAAATATCCACTTGCAGATTCTACAGAAAGTGGGTTTGGAAACTGCTCCATCTAAAGGAATGTTCAGCTCTGTTAGTTCAATCCAATGATCACTAAGAATTGTCTGTGAATGCTTCCGTTTGGTTTTTAGATGAAGTTATTTCCTTTACTACAGTAGGCCTCAAAGCAGTCCAAATCTCCAATCGCAGATTCTACAAAAAGATTGTTTACAACCTGCTCTATGTATAGGAATGTTCAACTCTGTGAGTCGAATGCAATCATCACAAAGTAGTTTCTGAGAATGCTTCCATCTAGTTTTTATGTGAAGATTTTCCTTTTCCACCACAGGCCTCAAAGCCCTCCAAATGTCCACTTGCAGATTCTAGAAAAAGAGGGTTTCAGAGCTGCTCTGTCAAGAGGAAAGTTCAATTTCTTGAAGTGGAACACAAACATCACAAAGCAGTTTCTGAGAATGCTTCTGTTTAGTTTTTCTGTGAAGATGAACCCGTTTCCAACGAAATCTTCACAGAGGTCCACATATCCACTTGCAGAATCCAAAGAAAGAGAGTTTCAAAACTGCTCCATCAGCAGGATTGTTCACCTCTGTGAGTTGAATGCAGTCATCACAGGAAACATTCTGAGAATGCTTATCTGTCTAGGTTTGATGTGAAGATATACCCGTTTCGAAGGAAGGCCAAAAAGTGGTCCAAATATCCACTTGCTGATTCTACAAAAAGAGTGTTTGAAAGCTGAACTACGAAAGCAAGGTTCAACTCTGTGAGTTGAATGCAAACATCAAAAAGAAGTTTCTCAGAATGCTTCCGTGTAGTTCTGGGAAGTTTATCCCGTTTCCAACGAAATCCTCAGAGAAGTCCAAATATCCACTTGCAGATTCTGCAGAAAGTGTGTTTGGAAACTGCTCCATCTAAAGGAATGTTCAGCTCTGTTAGTTCAATCCAATGATCACTAAGAATTGTCTGTGAATGATTCCGTTTGGTTTTTAGATGAAGTTATTTCCTTTACTACAGTAGGCCTCAAAGCAGTCCAAATCTCCAATCGCAGATTCTACAAAAACATTGTTTACAACCTGCTCTATCTATAGGAATGTTCAACTCTGTGAGTCGAATGCAATCATCACAAAGTAGTTTCTGAGAATGCTTCCATCTAGTTTTTATGTGAAGATTTTCCTTTTCCACCACAGGCCTCAAAGCCCTCCAAATGTCCACTTGCAGATTCTAGAAAAAGAGGGTTTCAGAGCTGCTCTGTCAAGAGGAAAGTTCAATTCTTGAAGTGGAACACAAACATCACAAAGCAGTTTCTGAGAATGCTCCTGTTTAGTTTTTCTCTGAAGATGAACCCGTTTCCAACGAAATCTTCACAGAGGTCCACATATCCACTTGCAGAATCCAAAGAAAGAGAGTTTCAAAACTGCTCCATCAGCAGGATTGTTCACCTCTGTGAGTTGAATGCAGTCATCACAGGAAACATTCTGAGAATGCTTCTGTCTAGGTTTGATGTGAAGATATACCCGTTTCGAAGGAAGGCCACAAAGTGGTCCAAATATCCACTTGCAGATTCTACAAAAAGAGTGTTTGAAAGCTGAACTATGAAAGCAAGGTTCAACTCTGTGAGTTGAATGCAAACATCACAAAGAAGTTTCTCAGAATGCTTCCGTGTAGTTCTGGGAAGTTTATCCCGTTTCCAACGAAATCCTCAGAGAAGTCCAAATATCCACTTGCAGATTCTACAGAAAGTGTGTTTGGAAACTGCTCCATCTAAAGGAATGTTCAGCTCTGTTAGTTCAATGCAATGATCACTAAGAATTGTCTGTGAATGCTTCCGTTTGGTTTTTAGATGAAGTTATTTCCTTTACTACAGTAGGCCTCAAAGCAGTCCAAATCTCCAATCGCAGATTCTACAAAAAGATTGTTTACAACCTGCTCTATCTATAGGAATGTTCAACTCTGTGAGTCGAATGCAATCATCACAAAGTAGTTTCTGAGAATGCTTCCATCTAGTTTTTATGTGAAGATTTTCCTTTTCCACCACAGGCCTCAAAGCCCTCCAAATGTCCACTTGCAGATTCTAGAATAAGAGGGTTTCAGAGCTGCTCTGTCAAGAGGAAAGTTCAATTCTTGAAGTGGAACACAAACATCACAAAGCAGTTTCTGAGAATGCTCCTGTTTAGTTTTTCTGTGAAGATGAACCCGTTTCCAACGAAATCTTCACAGAGGTCCACATATCCACTTGCAGAATACAAAGAAAGAGAGTTTCAAAACTGCTCCATCAGCAGGATTGTTCACCTCTGTGAGTTGAATGCAGTCATCACAGGAAACATTCTGAGAATGCTTCTGTCTAGGTTTGATGTGAAGATATACCCGTTTCGAAGGAAGGCCACAATGTGGTCCTAATATCCACTTGCAGATTCTACAGAAAGAGTGTTTCAAAGCTGAACTATGAAAGCAAGGTTCAGCTCTGTGAGTTGAATGCAAACATCACAAAGAAGTTTCTCAGAATGCTTCCGTGTAGTTCTGGGAAGTTTATCCCGTTTCCAACGAAATCCTCAGAGAGGTCCAAATATCCACTTGCAGATTCTACAGAAAGTGTGTTTGGAATCTGCTCCATCTAAAGGAATGTTCAGCTCTGTTAGTTCAATGCAATGATCACTAAGAATTGTCTGTGAATGCTTCCGTTTGGTTTTTAGATGAAGTTATTTCCTTTACTACAGTAGGCCTCAAAGCAGTCCAAATCTCCAATCGCAGATTCTACAAAAAGATTGTTTACAACCTGCTCTATGTATAGGAATGTTCAACTCTGTGAGTCGAATGCAATCATCACAAAGTAGTTTCTGAGAATGCTTCCATCTAGTTTTTATGTGAAGATTTTCCTTTTCCACCACAGGCCTCAAAGCCCTCCAAATGTCCACTTGCAGATTCTAGAATAAGAGGGTTTCAGAGCTGCTCTGTCAAGAGGAAAGTTCAATTCCTGAAGTGGAACACAAACATCACAAAGCAGTTTCCGAGAATGCTCCTGTTTAGTTTTTCTGTGAAGATGAACCCGTTTCCAACGAAATCTTCACAGAGGTCCACATATCCACTTGCAGAATCCAAAGAAAGAGAGTTTCAAGACTGCTCCATCAGCAGGATTGTTCACCTCTGTGAGTTGAATGCAGTCATCACAGGAAACATTCTGAGAATGCTTCTGTCTAGGTTTGATGTGAAGATATACCCGTTTCGAAGGAAGGCCACAAAGTGGTCCAAATATCCACTTGCAGATTCTACAAAAAGAGTGTTTGAAAGCTGAACTATGAAAGCAAGGTTCAACTCTGTGAGTTGAATGCAAACATCACAAAGAAGTTTCTCAGAATGCTTCCGTGTAGTTCTGGGAAGTTTATCCCGTTTCCAACGAAATCCTCAGAGAAGTCCAAATATCCACTTGCAGATTCTACAGAAAGTGTGTTTGGAAACTGCTCCATCTAAAGGAATGTTCAGCTCTGTTAGTTCAATCCAATGAATACAAAGAATTGTCTGTGAATGCTTCCGTTTGGTTTTTAGATGAAGTTATTTCCTTTACTACAGTAGGCCTCAAAGCAGTCCAAATCTCCAATCGCAGATTCTACAAAAAGATTGTTTACAACCTGCTCTATCTATAGGAATGTTCAACTCTGTGAGTCGAATGCAATCATCACAAAGTAGTTTCTGAGAATGCTTCCATCTAGTTTTTATGTGAAGATTTTCCTTTTCCACCACAGGCCTCAAAGCCCTCCAAATGTCCACTTGCAGATTCTAGAATAAGAGGGCTTCAGAGCTGCTCTGTCAAGAGGAAAGTTCAATTCCTGAAGTGGAACACAAACATCACAAAGCAGTTTCTGAGAATGCTCCTGTTAATTTTTCTGTGAAGATGAACCCGTTTCCAACGAAATCTTCACAGAGTTCCACATATCCACTTGCAGAATCAAAAGAAAGGGAGTTTCAAAACGGCACCATCAACAGGATTGTTCACAACTGTGAGTTGAATGCAGTCATCACAGGAAACATTCTGAGAATGCTTCTGTCTAGGTTTGATGTGAAGATATACCCGTTTCGAAGGAAGGCCACAAAGTGGTCGAAATATCCACTTGCAGATTCTACAAAAAGAGTGTTTGAAAGCTGAACTATGAAAGCAAGGTTCAACTCTGTGAGTTGAATGCAAACATCACAAAGAAGTTTCTCACAATGCTTCCGTGTAGTTCTGGGAAGTTTATCCCGTTTCCAACGAAATCCTCAGAGAAGTCCAAATATCCACTTACAGATTCTACAGAAAGTGGGTTTGGAAACTACTCCATCTAAAGGAATGTTCAGCTCTGTTGGTTCAATCCAATGATCACTAAGTATTGTCTGTGAATGCTTCCGTTTGGTTTTTAGATGGAGTTATTTCCTTTACTACAGTAGGCCTCAAAGCAGTCCAAATCTCCAATCGCAGATTCTACAAAAAGATTGTTTACAACCTGCTCTATCTATAGGAATGTTCAACTCTGTGAGTCGAATGCAATTCTCACAAAGTAGTTTCTGAGAATGCTTTCCATCTAGTTTTTATGTGAAGATTTTCCTTTTCCACCACAGGCCTCAAAGCCCTCCAAATGTCCACTTGCAAATTGTAGAAAAAGAGGGTTTCACAGCTGCTCTGTCAGGAGGAAAGTTCAATTCTTGAAGTGGAACACAAACATCACAAAGCAGTTTTTGATAATGCTCCTGTTTAGTTTTTCTGTGAAGATGAACCCGTTTCCAACGAAATCTTCACAGAGGTCCACATATCCACTTGCAGAATCCAAAGAAAGAGAGTTTCAAAACTGCTCCATCAGCAGGATTGTTCACCTCTGTGAGTTGAATGCAGTCATCACAGGAAACATTCTGAGAATGCTTCTGTCTAGGTTTGATGTGAAGATATACCCGTTTCGAAGGAAGGCCACAAAGTGGTCCAAATGTCCACTTGCAGATTCTACAAAAAGAGTGTTTGAAAGCTGAACTATGAAAGCAAGGTTCAACTCTGTGAGTTGAATGCAAACATCACAAAGAAGTTTCTCACAATGCTTCCGTGTAGTTCTGGGAAGTTTATCCCGTTTCCAACGAAATCCTCTGAGAAGTCCAAATATCCACTTGCAGATTCTACAGAAAGTGGGTTTGGAAACTGCTCCATCTAAAGGAATGTTCAGCTCTGTTAGTTCAATCCAATGATCACTAAGAATTGTCTGTGAATGCTTCCGTTTGGTTTTTAGATGAAGTTATTTCCTTTACTACAGTAGGCCTCAAAGCAGTCCAAATCTCCAATCGCAGATTCTACAAAAAGATTGTTTACAACCTGCTCTATCTATAGGAATGTTCAACTCTGTGAGTCGAATGCAATCATCACAAAGTAGTTTCTGAGAATGCTTCCATCTAGTTTTTATGTGAAGATTTTCCTTTTCCACCACAGGCCTCAAAGCCCTCCAAATGTCCACTTGCAGATTCTAGAATAAGAGGGTTTCAGAGCTGCTCTGTCAAGAGGAAAGTTCAATTCCTGAAGTGGAACACAAACATCACAAAGCAGTTTCTGAGAATGCTTCTGTTTAGTTTTTCTGTGAAGATGAACCCGTTTCCAACGAAATCTTCACAGAGGTCTACATATCCACTTGCAGAATCCAAAGAAAGAGAGTTTCAAAACTGCTCCATCAGCAGGATTGTTCACCTCTGTGAGTTGAATGCAGTCATCACAGGAAACATTCTGAGAATGCTTCTGTCTAGGTTTGATGTGAGGATATACCCGTTTCGAAGGAAGGCCACAAAGTGGTCCAAATATCCACTTGCAGATTCTACAAAAAGAGTGTTTGAAAGCTGAACTAGGAAAGCAAGGTTCAACTCGGTGAGTTGAATGCAAACATCACAAAGAAGTTTCTCAGAATGCTTCCGTGTAGTTCTGGGAAGTTTATCCCGTTTCCAACGAAATCCTCAGAGAGGTCCAAATATCCACTTGCAGATTCTACAGAAAGTGTGTTTGGAAACTGCTCCATCTAAAGGAATGTTCAGCTCTGTTAGTTCAATCCAATGATCACTAAGAATTGTCTGTGAATGCTTCCGTTTGGTTTTTAGATGAAGTTATTTCCTTTACTACAGTAGGCCTCAAAGCAGTCCAAATCTCCAATCGCAGATTCTACAAAAAGATTGTTTACAACCTGCTCTATCTATAGGAATGTTCAACTCTGTGAGTCGAATGCAATCATCAGAAAGTAGTTTCTGAGAATGCTTCCATCTAGTTTTTATGTGAAGATTTTCCTTTTCCACCACAGGCCTCAAAGCACTCCAAATGTCCACTTGCAGATTCTAGAAAAAGAGGGTTTCAGAGCTGCTCTATCAAGAGGAAAGTTCAATTCCTGAAGTGGAACACAAACATCACAAAGCAGTTTCTGAGAATGCTTCTGTTTAGTTTTTCTGTGAAGATGAACCCGTTTCCAACGAAATCTTCACAGAGGTCCACATATCCACTTGCAGAATCCAAAGAAAGAGAGTTTCAAAACTGCTCCATCAGCAGGATTGTTCACCTCTGTGAGTTGAATGCAGTCATCACAGGAAACATTCTGAGAATGCTTCTGTCTAGGTTTGATGTGAAGATATACCCGTTTCGAAGGAAGGCCACAAATTGGTCCAAATATCCACTTGCAGATTCTACAAAAAGAGGGTTTGAAAGCTGAACTATGAAACCAAGGTTCAACTCTGTGAGTTGAATGCAAACATCACGAAGAAGTTTCTCAGAATGCTTCCGTGTAGTTCTGGGAAGTTTATCCCGTTTCCAACGAAATCCTCAGAGAAGTCCAAATATCCAGTTGCAGATTCTACAGAAAGTGTGTTTGGAAACTGCTCCATCTAAAGGAATGTTCAGCTCTGTTAGTTCAATCCAATGATCACTAAGAATTGTCTGTGAATGCTTCCGTTTGGTTTTTAGATGAAGTTATTTCCTTTACTACAGTAGGCCTCAAAGCAGTCCAAATCTCCAATCGCAGATTCTACAAAAAGATTGTTTACAACCTGCTCTATCTATAGGAATGTTCAACTCTGTGAGTCGAATGCAATCATCACAAAGTAATTTCTGAGAATGCTTCCATCTAGTTTTTATGTGAAGATTTTCCTTTTCCACCACAGGCCTCAAAGCCCTCCAAATGTCCACTTGCAGATTCTAGAAAAAGAGGGTTTCAGAGCTGCTCTGTCAAGAGGAAAGTCCAATTCTTGAAGTGGAACACAAACATCACAAAACAGTTTCTGAGAATGCTTCTGTTTAGTTTTTCTGTGAAGATGAACCCGTTTCCAACGAAATCTTCACAGAGGTCCACATATCCACTTGCAGAATCCAAAGAAAGAGAGTTTCAAAACTGCTCCATCAGCAGGATTGTTCACCTCTGTGAGTTGAATGCAGTCATCACAGGAAACATTCTGAGAATGCTTCTGTCTAGGTTTGATGTGAAGATATACCCGTTTCGAAGGAAGGCCACAAAGTGGTCCAAATATCCACTTGCAGATTCTACAAAAAGAGTGTTTGAAAGCTGAACTATGAAAGCAAGGTTCAACTCTGTGAGTTGAATGCAAACATCACAAAGAAGTTTCTCAGAATGCTTCCGTGTAGTTCTGGGAAGTTTATCCCGTTTTCAACGAAATCCTCAGAGAAGTCCAAATATCCACTTGCAGATTCTACAGAAAGTGTGTTTGGAAACTGCTCCATCTAAAGGAATGTTCAGCTCTGTTAGTTCAATCCAATGATCACTAAGAATTGTCTGTGAATGCTTCCGTTTGGTTTTTAGATGAAGTTATTTCCTTTACTACAGTAGGCCTCAAAGCAGTCCAAATCTCCAATCGCAGATTCTACAAAAAGATTGTTTACAACCTGCTCTATGTATAGGAATGTTCAACTCTGTGAGTCGAATGCAATCATCACAAAGTAGTTTCTGAGAATGCTTCCATCTAGTTTTTATGTGAAGATTTTCCTTTTCCACCACAGGCCTCAAAGCCCTCCAAATGTCCACTTGCAGATTCTAGAAAAAGAGGGTTTCAGAGCTGCTCTGTCAAGAGGAAAGTTCAATTCTTGAAGTGGAACAGAAACATCACAAAGCAGTTTCTGGGAATGCTTCTGCTTAGTTTTTCTGTGAAGATGAACCCGTTTCCAACGAAATCTTCACAGAGGTCCACATATCCACTTGCAGAATCCAAAGAAAGAGATTTTCAAAACTGCTCCATCAACAGGATTGTTCACCTCTGTGAGTTGAATGCAGTCATCACAGGAAACATTCTGAGAATGCTTCTGTCTAGGTTTGATGTGAAGATATACCCGTTTCGAAGGAAGGCCACAAAGTGGTCCAAATATCCACTTGCAGATTCTACAAAAAGAGTGTTTGAAAGCTGAACTATGAAAGCAAGGTTCAACTCTGTGAGTTGAATGCAAACATCACAAAGAAGTTTCTCACAATGCTTCCGTGTAGTTCTGGGAAGTTTATCCCTTTTCCAACGAAATCCTCAGATAAGTCCAAATATCCACTTGCAGATTCTACAGAAAGTGTGTTTGGAAACTGCTCCATCTAAAGGAATGTTCAGCTCTGTTAGTTCAATGCAATGATCACTAAGAATTGTCTGTGAATGCTTCCGTTTGGTTTTTCGATGAAGTTATTTCCTTTACTACAGTAGGCCTCAAAGCAGTCCAAATCTCCAATCGCAGATTCTACAAAAAGATTGTTTACAACCTGCTCTATCTATAGGAATGTTCAACTCTGTGAGTCGAATGCAATCATCACAGAGTAGTTTCTGAGAATGCTTCCATCTAGTTTTTATGTGAAGATTTTCCTTTTCCACCACAGGCCTCAAAGCCCTCCACATGTCCACTTGCAGATTCTAGAAAAAGAGGGTTTCAGAGCTGCTCTGTCAAGAGGAAAGTTCAATTCTTGAAGTGAAACACAAACATCACAAAGCAGTTTCTGAGAATGCTCCTGTTTAGTTTTTCTGTGAAGATGAACCCGTTTCCAACGAAATCTTCACAGAGGTCCACATATCCACTTGCAGAATCCAAAGAAAGAGAGTTTCAAAACTGCTCCATCAGCAGGATTGTTCACCTCTGTGAGTTGAATGCAGTCATCACAGGAAACATTCTGAGAATGCTTCTGTCTAGGTTTGATGTGAAGATATACCCGTTTCGAAGGAAGGCCACAAAGTGGTCCAAATATCCACTTGCAGATTCTACAAAAAGAGTGTTTGAAAGCTGAACTATGAAAGCAAGGTTCAACTCTGTGAGTTGAATGCAAACATCACAAAGAAGTTTCTCAGAATGCTTCCGTGTAGTTCTGGGAAGTTTATCCCGCTTCCAACGAAATCCTCAGAGAAGTCCAAATATCCACTTGCAGATTCTACAGAAAGTGTGTTTGGAAACTGCGCCATCTAAAGGAATGTTCAGTTCTGTTAGTTCAATGCAATGATCACTAAGAATTGTCTGTGAATGCTTCCGTTTGGTTTTTAGATGAAGTTATTTCCTTTACTACAGTAGGCCTCAAAGCATTCCAAATCTCCAATCGCAGATTCTACAAAAAGATTGTTTACAACCTGCTCTATCTATAGGAATGTTCAACTCTGTGAGTCGAATGCAATCATCACAAAGTAGTTTACTGACAATGCTTATCCATCTAGTTTTTATGTGAAGATTTTCCTTTTCCACCACAGGCCTCAAAGCCCTCCAAATGTCCACTTGCAGATTCTAGAATAAGAGGGTTTCAGAGCTGCTCGGTCAAGAGGAAAGTTCAATTCTTGAAGTGGAACACAAACATCACAAAGCAGTTTCTGAGAATGCTTCTGTTTAGTTTTTCTGTGAAGATGAACCCGTTTCCAACGAAATCTTCACAGAGGTCCACATATCAACTTGCAGAATCCAAAGAAAGAGAGTTTCAAAAGTGCTCCATCAACAGGATTGTTCACCTCTGTGAGTTGAATGCAGTCATCACAGGAAACATTCTGAGAATGCTTCTGTCTAGGTTTGATGTGAAGATATACCCGTTTCGAAGGAAGGCCACAAAGTGGTCCAAATATCCACTTGCAGATTCTACAAAAAGAGTGTTTGAAAGCTGAACTATGAAAGCAAGGTTCAACTCTGTGAGTTGAATGCAAACATCACAAAGAAGTTTCTCAGCATGCTTCCGTGTAGTTCTGGGAAGTTTATCCCGTTTCCAAAGAAATCCTCAGAGAGGTCCAAATATCCACTTGCAGATTCTACAGAAAGTGTGTTTGGAAACTGCGCCATCTAAAGGAATGTTCAGCTCTGTTAGTTCAATCCAATGATCACTAAGAATTGTCTGTGAATGCTTCCGTTTGGTTTTTAGATGAAGTTATTTCCTTTACTACAGTAGGCCTCAAAGCAGTCCAAATCTCCAATCGCAGATTCTACAAAAAGATTGTTTACAACCTGCTCTATCTATAGGAATGTTCAACTCTGTGAGTCGAATGCAATCATCACAAAGGAGTTTCTGAGAATGTTTCCATCTAGTTTTTATGTGAAGATTTTCCTTTTCCACCACAGGCCTCAAAGCCCTCCAAATGTCCACTTGCAGATTCTAGAATAAGAGGGTTTCAGAGCTGCTCTGTCAAGAGGAAAGTTCAATTCCTGAAGTGGAACACAAACATCACAAAGCAGTTTCTGAGAATGCTCCTGTTTAGTTTTTCTGTGAAGATGAACCCGTTTCCAACGAAATCTTCACAGAGGTCCACATATCCACTTGCAGAATCCAAAGAAAGAGAGTTTCAAAACTGCTCCATCAGCAGGATTGTTCACCTCTGTGAGTTGAATGCAGTCATCACAGGAAACATTCTGAGAATGCTTCTGTCTAGGTTTGATGTGAAGATATACCCTTTTCAAAGGAAGGCCACAAAGTGGTCCAAATATCCACTTGCAGATTCTACAAAAAGAGTGTTTGAAAGCTGAACTATGAAAGCAAGGTTCAACTCTGTGAGTTGAATGCAAACATCACAAAGAAGTTTCTCACAATGCTTCCGTGTAGTTCTGGGAAGTATATCCCGTTTCCAACGAAATCCTCAGAGAAGTCCAAATATCCACTTGCAGATTCTACAGAAAGTGTGTTTGGAAAATGCTCCATCTAAAGGAATGTTCAGCTCTGTTAGTTCAATGCAATGATCACTAAGAATTGTCTGTGAATGCTTCCGTTTGGTTTTTAGATGAAGTTATTTCCTTTACTACAGTAGGCCTCAAAGCAGTCAAAATCTCCAATCGCAGATTCTACAAAAAGATTGTTTACAACCTGCTCTATCTATAGGGATGTTCAACTCTGTGAGTCGAATGCAATCATCACAAAGTAGTTTCTGAGAATGCTTCCATCTAGTTTTTATGTGAAGATTTTCCTTTTCCACCACAGGCCTCAAAGCCCTCCAAATGTCCACTTGCAGATTCTAGAAAAAGAGGGTTTCAGAGCTGCTCTGTCAAGAGGAAAGTTCAATTCTTGAAGTGGAACAGAAACATCACAAAGCAGTTTCTGGGAATGCTCCTGTTTAGTTTTTCTGTGAAGATGAACCCGTTTCCAACGAAATCTTCACAGAGGTCCACATATCCACTTGCAAAATCCAAAGAAAGAGAGTTTCAAAACTGCTCCATCAGCAGGATTGTTCACCTCTGTGAGTTGAATGCAGTCATCACAGGAAACATTCTGAGAATGCTTCTGTCTAGGTTTGATGTGAAGATATACCCGTTTCGAAGGAAGGCCACAAAGTGGTCCAAATATCCACTTGCAGATTCTACAAAAAGAGTGTTTGAAAGCTGAACTATGAAAGCAAGGTTCAACTCTGTGAGTTGAATGCAAACATCACAAAGAAGTTTCTCACAATGCTTCCGTGTAGTTCTGGGAAGTTTATCCCGTTTCCAACGAAATCCTCAGAGAAGTCCAAATATCCACTTGCAGATTCTACAGAAAGTGTGTTTGGAAACTGCGCCATCTAAAGGAATGTTCAGCTCTGTTAGTTCAATGCAATGATCACTAAGAATTGTCTGTGAATGCTTCCGTTTGGTTTTTAGATGAAGTTATTTCCTTTACTACAGTAGGCCTCAAAGCAGTCCAAATCTCCAATCGCAGATTCTACAAAAAGATTGTTTACAACCTGCTCTATCTATAGGAATGTTCAACTCTGTGAGTCGAATGCAATCATCACAAAGTAGTTTCCTGAGAATGCTTCCATCTAGTTTTTATGTGAAGATTTTCCTTTTCCACCACAGGCCTCAAAGCCCTCCAAATGTCCACTCGCAGATTCTAGAAAAAGAGGGTTTCAGAGCTGCTCTGTCAAGAGGAAAGTTCAATACTTGAAGTGGAACACAAACATCACAAAGCAGTTTCTGAGAATGCTCCTGTTTAGTTTTTCTGTGAAGATGAACCCGTTTCCAACAAAATCTTCACAGAGGTCCACATATCCACTTGCAGAATCCAAAGAAAGAGAGTTTCAAAACTGCTCCATCAACAGGATTGTTCACATCAGTGAGTTGAATGCAGTCATCACAGGAAACATTCTGAGAATGCTTCTGTCTAGGTTTGATGTGAAGATATACCCGTTTCGAAGGAAGGCCACAAAGTGGTCCAAATATCCACTTGCAGATTCTACAAAAAGAGTGTTTGAAAGCTGAACTATGAAAGCAAGGTTCAACTCTGTGAGTTGAATGCAAACATCACAAAGAAGTTTCTCAGAATGCTTCCGTGTAGTTCTGGGAAGTTTAGCCCGTTTCCAACGAAATCCTCAGAGATGTCCAAATATCCACTTGGAGATTCTACAGAAAGTGTGTTTGGAAACTGCTCCATCTAAAGGAATGTTCAGCTCTGTTATTTCAATCCAATGATCACTAAGAATTGTCTGTGAATGCTTCCGTTTGGTTTTTAGATGAAGTTATTTCCTTTACTACAGTAGGCCTCAAAGCAGTCCAAATCTCCAATCACAGATTCTACAAAAAGATTGTTTACAACCTGCTCTATCTATAGGAATGTTCAACTCTGTGAGTCGAATGCAGTCATCACAAAGTAGTTTCTGAGAATGCTTCCATCTAGTTTTTATGTGAAGATTTTCCTTTTCCACCACAGGCCTCAAAGCCCTCCAAATGTCCACTTGCAGATTCTAGAAAAAGAGGGTTTCAGAGCTGCTCTGTCAAGAGGAAAGTTCAATTCTTGAAGTGGAACACAAACATCACAAAGCAGTTTCTGAGAATGTTCCTGTTTAGTTTTTCTGTGAAGATGAACCCGTTTCCAACGAAATCTTCACAGAGGTCCACATATCCACTTGCAGAATCCAAAGAAAGAGAGTTTCAAAACTGCTCCATCAGCAGGATTGTTCACCTCTGTGAGTTGAATGCAGTCATCACAGGAAACATTCTGAGAATGCTTCTGTCTAGGTTTGATGCGAAGATATACCCGTTTCGAAGGAAGGCCAAAAAGTGGTCCAAATATTCACTTGCAGATTCTACAAAAAGAGTGTTTGAAAGCTGAACTATGAAAGCAAGATTCAACTCTGTGAGTTGAATGCAAACATCACAAAGAAGTTTCTCAGAATGCTTCCGTGTAGTTCTGAGAAGTTTATCCCGTTTCCAACGAAATCCTCAGAGAAGTCCAAATATCCACTTGCAGATTCTACAGAAAGTGGGTTTGGAAACTGCTCCATGTAAAGGAATGTTCAGCTCTGTTAGTTCAATGCAATGATCACTAAGAATTGTCTGTGAATGCTTCCGTTTGGTTTTTAGATGAAGTTATTTCCTTTACTACAGTAGGCCTCAAAGCAGTCCAAATCTCCAATCGCAGATTCTACAAAAAGATTGTTTACAACCTGCTCTATCTATAGGAATGTTCAACTCTGTGAGTCGAATGCAATCATCACAAAGTAGTTTCTGAGAATGCTTCCATCTAGTTTTTATGTGAAGATTTTCCTATTCCACCACAGGCCTCAAAGCCCTCCAAATGTCCACTTGCAGATTCTAGAATAAGAGGGTTTCAGAGCTGCTCTGTCAAGAGGAAAGTTCAATTCCTGAAGTGGAACACAAACATCACAAAGCAGTTTCTGAGAATGCTTCTGTTTAGTTTTTCTGTGAAGATGAACCCGTTTCCAACGAAATCTTCACAGAGGTCCACATATCCACTTGCAGAATCCAAAGAAAGAGAGTTTCAAAACTGCTCCATCAGCAGGATTGTTCACCTCTGTGAGTTGAATGCAGTCATCACAGGAAACATTCTGAGAATGCTTCTGTCTAGGTTTGATGTGAAGATATACCCGTTTCGAAGGAAGGCCACAAAGTGGTCCAAATATCCACTTGCAGATTCTACAAAAAGAGTGTTTGAAAGCTGAACTATGAAAGCAAGGTTCAACTCTGTGAGTTGAATGCAAACATCACAAAGAAGTTTCTCACAATGCTTCCGTGTAGTTCTGGGAAGTTTATCCCGTTTCCAACGAAATCCTCAGAGAAGTCCAAATATCCACTTGCAGATTCTACAGAAAGTTGGTTTGGAAACTGCTCCATCTAAAGGAATGTTCAGCTCTGTTAGTTCAATCCAATGATCACTAAGAATTGTCTGTGAATGCTTCCGTTTGGTTTTTAGATGAAGTAATTTCCTTTACTACAGTAGGCCTCAAAGCAGTCCAAATCTCCAATCGCAGATTCTACAAAAAGATTGTTTACAACCTGCTCTATCTATAGGAATGTTCAACTCTGTGAGTCGAATGCAATCATCACAAAGAAGTTTCTGAGAATGCTTCCATAAAGTTTTTATGTGAAGATTTTCCTTTCCCACCACAGGCCTCAAAGCCCTCCAAATGTCCACTTGCAGATTCTAGAATAAGAGGGTTTCAGAGCTGCTCTGTCAAGAGGAAAGTTCAATTCTTGAAGTGGAACACAAACATCACAAAGCAGTTTCTGAGAATGCTTCTGTTTAGTTTTTCTGTGAAGATGAACCCGTTTCCAACGAAATCTTCACAGAGGTCCACATATCCACTTGCAGAATCCAAAGAAAGAGAGTTTCAAAACTGCTCCATCAGCAGGATTGTTCACCTCTGTGAGTTGAATGCAGTCATCACAGGAAACATTCTGAGAATGCTTCTGTCTAGGTTTGATGTGAAGATATACCCGTTTCGAAGGAAGGCCACAAAGTGGTCCAAATATCCACTTGCAGATTCTACAAAAAGAGTGTTTGAAAGCTGAACTATGAAAGCAAGGTTCAACTCTGTGAGTTGAATGCAAACATCACAAAGAAGTTTCTCACAATGCTTCCGTGTAGTTCTGGGAAGTTTATCCCGTTTCCAACGAAATCCTCAGAGAGGTCCAAATATCCACTTGCAGATTCTACAGAAAGTGTGTTTGGAAACTGCTCCATCTAAAGGAATGTTCAGCTCTGTTAGTTCAATCCAATGATCACTAAGAATTGTCTGTGAATGCTCCGTTTGGTTTTTAGATGAAGTTATTTCCTTTACTACAGTAGGCCTCAAAGCAGTCCAAATCTCCAATCGCAGATTCTACAAAAAGATTGTTTACAACCTGCTCTATCTATAGGAATGTTCAACTCTGTGGGTCGAATGCAATCATCACAAAGTAGTTTCTGAGAATGCTTTCCATCTAGTTTTTATGTGAAGATTTTCCTTTTCCACCACAGGCCTCAAAGCCCTCCAAATGTCCACTTGCAGATTCTAGAAAAAGAGGGTTTCAGAGCTGCTCTGTCAAGAGGAAAGTTCAATTCCTGAAGTAGAACACAAACATCACAAAGCAGTTTCTGAGAATGCTTCTGTTTAGTTTTTCTGTGAAGATGAACCCGTTTCCAACGAAATCTTCACAGAGGTCCACATATCCACTTGCAGAATCCAAAGAAAGAGAGTTTCAAAACTGCTCCATCAGCAGGATTGTTCACCTCTGTGAGTTGAATGCAGTCATCACAGGAAACATTCTGAGAATGCTTCTGTCTAGGTTTGATGTGAAGATATACCCGTTTCGAAGGAAGGCCACAAAGTGGTCCAAATATCCACTTGCAGATTCTACAAAAAGAGTGTTTGAAAGCTGAACTATGAAAGCAAGGTTCAACTCTGTGAGTTGAATGCAAACATCAAAAAGAAGTTTCTCACAATGCTTCCGTGTAGTTCTGGGAAGTTTATCCCGTTTCCAACGAAATCCTCAGAGAGGTCCAAATATCCACTTGCAGATTCTACAGAAAGTGTGTTTGGAAACTGCTCCATCTAAAGGAATGTTCAGCTCTGTTAGTTCAATCCAATGATCACTAAGAATTGTCTGTGAATGCTTCCGTTTGGTTTTTAGATGAAGTTATTTGCTTTAATGCAGTAGGCCTCAAAGCAGTCCAAATCTCCAATCGCAGATTCTACAAAAAGATTGTTTACAACCTGCTCTATCTATAGGAATGTTCAACTCTGTGAGTCGAATGCAATCATCAGAAAGGAGTTTCTGAGAATGCTTCCATCTAGTTTTTATGTGAAGATTTTCCTTTTCCACCACAGGCCTCAAAGAGCTCCAAATGTCCACTTGCAGATTCTAGAAAAAGAGGGTTTCAGAGCTGCTCTGTCAAGAGGAAAGTTCAATTCTTGAAGTGGAACACAAACATCACAAAGCAGTTTCTGAGAATGCTCCTGTTTAGTTTTTCTGTGAAGATGAACCCGTTTCCAACGAAATCTTCACAGAGGTCCACATATCCACTTGCAGAATCCAAAGAAAGAGAGTTTCAAAACTGCTCCATCAGCAGGATTGTTCACCTGCTGTGAGTTGAATGCAGTCATCACAGGAAACATTCTGAGAATGCTTCTGTCTAGGTTTGATGTGAAGATATACCCGTTTCGAAGGAAGGCCACAAAGTGGTCCAAATATCCACTTGCAGATTCTACAAAAAGAGTGTTTGAAAGCTGAACTATGAAAGCAAGGTTCAACTCTGTGAGTTGAATGCAAACATCACAAAGAAGTTTCTCACAATGCTTCCGTGTAGTTCTGGGAAGTTTATCCCGTTTCCAACGAAATCCTCAGAGAAGTCCAAATATCCACTTGCACATTCTACAGAAAGTGTGTTTGGAAACTGCTCCATCTAAAGGAATGTTCAGCTCTGTTAGTTCAATCCAATGATCACTAAGAATTGTCTGTGAATGCTTCCGTTTGGTTTTTAGATGAAGTTATTTCCTTTACTACAGTAGGCCTCAAAGCAGTCCAAATCTCCAATCGCAGATTCTACAAAAAGATTGTTTACAACCTGCTCTATCTATAGGAATGTTCAACTCTGTGAGTCGAATGCAATCATCACAAAGTAGTTTCTGAGAATGCTTCCATCTAGTTTTTATGTGAAGATTTTCCTTTTCCACCACAGGCCTCAAAGCCCTCCAAATGTCCACTTGCAGATTCTAGAAAAAGAGGGTTTCAGAGCTGCTCTGTCAAGAGGAAAGTTCAATTCTTGAAGTGGAACACTAACATCACAAAGCAGTTTCTGAGAATGCTTCTGTTTAGTGTTTCTGTGAAGATGAACCCGTTTCCAACGAAATCTTCACAGAGGTCCACATATCCACTTGCAGAATCCAAAGGAAGAGAGTTTCAAAACTGCTCCATCAGCAGGATTGTTCACCTCTGTGAGTTGAATGCAGTAATCACAGGATACATTCTGAGAATGCTTCTGTCTAGGTTTGATGTGAAGATATACCCGTTTCGAAGGAAAGCCACAAAGTGGTCCAAATATCCACTTGCAGATTCTACAAAAAGAGTGTTTGAAAGCTGAACTATGAAAGCAAGTTTCAACTCTGTGAGTTGAATGCAAACATCACAAAGAAGTTTCTCAGAATGCTTCCGTGTAGTTCTGGGAAGTTTATCCCGTTTCCAACGAAATCCTCAGAGAGGTCCAAATATCCACTTGCAGATTCTACAGAAAGTGTGTTTGGAAACTTCGCCATCTAAAGGAATGTTCAGCTCTGTTAGTTCAATGCAATGATCACTAAGAATTGTCTGTGAATGCTTCCGTTTGGTTTTTAGATGAAGTTATTTCCTTTACTACAGTAGGCCTCAAAGCAGTCCAAATCTCCAATCGCAGATTCTAGAAAAAGATTGTTTACAACCTGCTCCATCTATAGGAATGTTCAACTCTGTGAGTCGAATGCAATCATCACAAAGTAGTTTCTGAGAATGCTTCCATCTAGTTTTTATGTGAAGATTTTCCTTTTCCACCACAGGCCTCAAAGCCCTCCAAATGTCCACTTGCAGATTCTAGAAAAAGAGGGTTTCAGAGCTGCTCTGTCGAGAGGAAAGTTCAATTCTTGAAGTGGAACACAAACATCACAAAGCAGTTTCTGAGAATGCTTCTGTTTAGTTTTTCTGTGAAGATGAACCCGTTTCCAACGAAATCTTCACAGAGGTCCACATATCCACTTGCAGAATCCAAAGAAAGAGAGTTTCAAAACTGCTCCATTAGCCGGATTGTTCACCTCTGTGAGTTGAATGCAGTCATCACAGGAAACATTCTGAGAATGCTTCTGTCTAGGTTTGATGTGAAGATATACCCGTTTCGAAGGAAGGCCACAAAGTGGTCCAAATATCCACTTGCAGATTCTACAAAAAGAGTGTTTGAAAGCTGAACTAGGAAAGCAAGGTTCAACTCTGTGAGTTGAATGCAAACATCACAAAGAAGTTTCTCAGAATGCTTCCGTGTAGTTCTGGGAAGTTTAGCCCGTTTCCAACGAAATCCTCAGAGAGGTCCAAATATCCAGTGGCAGATTCTACAGAAAGTGTGTTTGGAAACTGCGCCATCTAAAGGAATGATCAGCTCTGTTAGTTCAATCCAATGATCACTAAGAATTGTCTGTGAATGCTTCCGTTTGGTTTTTAGATGAAGTTATTTCCTTTACTACAGTAGGCCTCAAAGCAATCCAAATCTCCAATCGCAGATTCTACAAAAACATTGTTTACAACCTGCTCTATCTATAGGAATGTTCAACTCTGTGAGTCGAATGCAATCATCACAAAGTAGTTTCTGAGAATGCTTCCATCTAGTTTTTATGTGAAGATTTTCCTTTTCCACCACAGGCCTAAAAGCCCTCCAAATGTCCACTTGCAGATTCTAGAAAAAGAGGGTTTCAGAGCTGCTCTGTCAGGAGGAAAGTTCAATTCCTGAAGTGGAACACAAACATCCCAAAGCAGTTTCTGAGAATGTTTCTGTTTAGTTTTTCTGTGAAGATGAACCCGTTTCCAACGAAATCTTCACAGAGGTCCACATATCCACTTGCAGAATCCAAAGAAAGAGAGTTTCAAAACTGCTCCATCAGCAGGATTGTTCACCTCTGTGAGTTGAATGCAGTCATCACAGGAAACATTCTGAGAATGCTTCTGTCTAGGTTTGATGTGAAGATATACCCGTTTCGAAGGAAGGCCACAAAGTGGTCCAAATATCCACTTGCAGATTCTACAAAAAGAGTGTTTGAAAGCTGAACTATGAAAGCAAGGTTCAACTCTGTGAGTTGAATGCAAACATCACAAAGAAGTTTCTCAGAATGCTTCCCGTGTAGTTCTGGGAATTTTATCCCGTTTCCAACGAAATCCTCAGAGAGGTCCAAATATCCACTTGCAGATTCTACAGAAAGTGTGTTTGGAAACTGCGCCATCTAAAGGAATGTTCAGCTCTGTTAGTTCAATGCAATGATCACTAAGAATTGTCTGTGAATGCTTCCGTTTGGTTTTTAGATGAAGTTATTTCCTTTACTACAGTAGGCCTCAAAGCAGTCCAAATCTCCAATCGCAGATTCTACAAAAAGATTGTTTACAACCTGCTCTATCTATAGGAATGTTCAACTCTGTGAGTCGAAAGCCATCATCACAAAGTAGTTTCTGAGAATGCTTCCATCTAGTTTTTATGTGAAGATTTTCCTTTTCCACCACAGGCCTCAAAGCCCTCCAAATGTCCACTTGCAGATTCTAGAAAAAGAGGGTTTCAGAGCTGCTCTGTCAAGAGGAAAGTTCAATTCTTGAAGTGGAACACAAACATCACAAAGCAGTTTCTGAGAATGCTCCTGTTTAGTTTTTCTGTGAAGATGAACCCGTTTCCAACGAAATCTTCACAGACGTCCACATATCCACTTGCAGAATCCAAAGAAAGAGAGTTTCAAAACTGCTCCATCAGCAGGATTGTTCACCTCTGTGAGTTGAATGCAGTCATCACAGGAAACATTCTGAGAATGCTTCTGTCTAGGTTTGATGTGAAGATATACCCGTTTCGAAGGAAGGCCACAAAGTGGTCCAAATATCCACTTGCAGATTCTACACAAAGAGTGTTTGAAAGCTGAACTATGAAAGCAAGGTTCAACTCTGTGAGTTGAATGCAAACATCACAAAGAAGTTTCTCAGCATGCTTCCGTGTAGTTCTGGGAAGTTTATCCCGTTTCCAACGAAATCCTCAGAGAAGTCCAAATATCCACTTGCAGATTCTACAGAAAGTGTGTTTGGAAACTGTTCCATCTACAGGAATGTTCAGCTCTGTTAGTTCAATCCAATGATCACTAAGAATTGTCTGTGAATGCTGCCGTTTGGTTTTTAGATGAAGTTATTTCCGTTACTACAGTAGGCCTCAAAGCAGTCCAAATCTCCAATCGCAGATTCTACAAAAAGATTGTTTACAACCTGCTCTATCTATAGGAATGTTCTACTCTGTGAGTCGAATGCAATCATCACAAAGTAGTTTCTGAGAATGCTTCCATCTAGTTTTCATGTGAAGATTTTCCTTTTCCACCACAGGCCTCAAAGCCCTCCAAATGTCCGCTTGCAGATTCTAGAAAAAGAGGGTTTCAGAGCTGCTCTGTCAAGAGGAAAGTTCAATTCTTGAAGTGGAACACAAACATCACAAAGCAGTTTCTGAGAATGCTTCTGTTTAGTTTTTCTGTGAAGATGAACCCGTTTCCAACGAAATCTTCACAGAGGTCCACATATCCACTTGCAGAATCCAAAGAAAGAGAGTTTCAAAACTGCTCCATCAGCAGGATTGTTCACCTCTGTGAGTTGAATGCAGTCATCACAGGAAACATTCTGAGAATGCTTCTGTCTAGGTTTGATGTGAAGATATACCCGTTTCGAAGGAAGGCCACAAAGTGGTCCAAATATCCACTTGCAGATTCTACAAAAAGAGTGTTTGAAAGCTGAACTATGAAAGCAAGGTTCAACTCTGTGAGTTGAATGCAAACATCACAAAGAAGTTTCTCAGCATGCTTCCGTGTAGTTCTGGGAAGTTTATCCCGTTTCCAACGAAATCCTCAGAGAGGTCCAAATATCCACTTGCAGATTATACAGAAAGTGTGTTTGGAAACTGCGCCATCTAAAGGAATGTTCAGCTCTGTTAGTTCAATGCAATGATCACTAAGAATTGTCTGTGAATGCTTCCGTTTCGTTTTTAGATGAAGTTATTTCCTTTACTACAGTAGGCCTCAAAGCAGTCCAAATCTCCAATCGCAGATTCTACAAAAAGATTGTTTACAACCTGCTCTATCTATAGGAATGTTTAACTCTGTGAGTCGAATGCAATCATCACAAAGTAGTTTCTGAGAATGCTTCCATCTAGTTTTTATGTGAAGATTTTCCTTTTCCACCACAGGCCTCAAATCCCTCCAAATGTCCACTTGCAGATTCTAGAAAAAGAGGGTTTCAGAGCTGCTCTGTCAAGAGGAAAGTTCAATTCCTGAAGTGGAACACAAACATCACAAAGCAGTTTCTGAGAATGCTCCTGTTTAGTTTTTCTGTGAAGATGAACCCGTTTCCAATGAAATCTTCACAGAGGTCCACATATCCACCTGCAGAATCCAAAGAAAGAGAGTTTCAAAACTGCTCCATCAGCAGGATTGTTCACCTCTGTGAGTTGAATGCAGTCATCACAGGAAACATTCTGAGAATGCTTCTGTCAAGGTTTGATGTGAAGATATACCCGTTTCGAAGGAAGGCCACAAAGTGGTCCAAATATGCACTTGCAGATTCTACAAAAAGAGTGTTTGAAAGCTGAACTATGAAAGCAAGGTTCAACTCTGTGAGTTGAATGCAACCATCACGAAGAAGTTTCTCAGAATACTTCCGTGTAGTTCTGGGAAGTATATCCCGTTTCCAGCGAAATCCTCAGAGAGGTCCAAATATCCACTTGCAGATTCTACAGAAAGTGGGTTTGGAAACTGCTCCATCTAAAGGAATGTTCAGCTCTGTTAGTTCAATCCAATGATCACTAAGAATTGTCTGTGAATGCTTCCGTTTGGTTTTTAGATGAAGTTATTTCCTTTACTACAGTAGGCCTCAAAGCAGTCCAAATCTCCAATCGCAGATTCTACAAAAACATTGTTTACAACCTGCTCTATCTATAGGAATGTTCAACTCTGTGAGTCGAATGCAATCATCACAAAGTAGTTTCTGAGAATGCTTCCATCTAGTTTTTATGTGAAGATTTTCCTTTTCCACCACAGGCCTCAAAGCCCTCCAAATGTCCACTTGCAGATTCTAGAAAAAGAGGGTTTCAGAGCTGCTCTATCAAGAGGAAAGTTCAATTCCTGAAGTGGAACACAAACATCACAAAGCAGTTTCTGAGAATGCTTCTGTTTAGTTTTTCTGTGAAGATGAACCCGTTTCCAACGAAATCTTCACAGAGGTCCACATATCCACTTGCAGAATCCAAAGAAAGAGAGTTTCAAAACTGCTCCATCAGCAGGATTGTTCACCTCTGTGAGTTGAATGCAGTCATCACAGGAAACATTCTGAGAATGCTTCTGTCTAGGTTTGATGTGAAGATATACCCGTTTCGAAGGAAGGCCACAAAGTGGTCCAAATATCCACTTGCAGATTCTACAAAAAGAGTGTTTGAAAGCTGAACTATGAAAGCAAGGTTCAACTCTGTGAGTTGAATGCAACCATCACAAAGATGTTTCTCAGAATACTTCCGTGTGGTTCTGGGAAGTTTATCCCGTTTCCAACGAAATCCTCAGAGAGGTCCAAATATCCACTTGCAGATTCTACAGAAAGTGTGTTTGGAAACTGCGCCATCTAAAGGAATGTTCAGCTCTGTTAGTTCAATGCAATGATCACTAAGAATTGTCTGTGAATGCTTCCGTTTGGTTTTTAGATGAAGTTATTTAATTTACTACAGTAGGCCTCAAAGCAGTCTAAATCTCCAATCGCAGATTCTACAAAAAGATTGTTTACAACCTGCTCTATCTATAGGAATGTTGAACTCTGTGAGTCGAATGCAATCATCACAAAGTAGTTTCTGAGAATGCTTCCATCTAGTTCTTATGTGAAGATTTTCCTTTTCCACCACAGGCCTCAAAGCCCTCCAAATGTCCACTTGCAGATTCTGGAAAAAGAGGGTTTCAGAGCTGCTCTGTCAAGAGGAAAGTTCAATTCTTGAAGTGGAACACAAACATCACAAAGCAGTTTCTGAGAATGCTCCTGTTTAGTTTTTCTGTGAAGATGAACCCGTTTCCAACGAAATCTTCACAGAGGTCCACATATCCACTTGCAGAATCCAAAGAAAGAGAGTTTCAAAACTGCTCCATCAGAAGGATTGTTCACCTCTGTGAGTTGAATGCAGTCATCACAGGAAACTTTCTGAGAATGCTTCTGTCTAGGTTTGATGTGAAGATATACCCGTTTCGAAGGAAGGCCACAAAGTGGTCCAAATATCCACTTGCAGATTCTACAAAAAGAGTGTTTGAAAGCTGAACTATGAAAGCAAGGTTCAACTCTGTGAGTTGAATGCAAACATCACAAAGAAGTTTCTCAGAATGCTTCCGTGTAGTTCTGGGAAGTTTATCCCGTTTCCAACGAAATCCTCAGAGAGGTCCAAATATCCACTTGCAGATTCTACAGAAAGTGTGTTTGGAAACTACGCCATCTAAAGGAATGTTCAGCTCTGTTAGATCAATGCAATGATCACTAAGAATTGTCTGTGAATGCTTCCGTTTGATTTTTAGATGAAGTTATTTCCTTTACTACAGTAGGCCTCAAAGCAGTCCAAATCTCCAATCGCAGATTCTACAAAAAGATTGTTTACAACCTGCTCTATCTATAGGAATGTTCAACTCTGTGAGTCGAATGCAATCATCACAAAGTAGTTTCTGAGAATGCTTCCATCTAGTTTTTATGTGAAGATTTTCCTTTTCCACCACAGGCCTCAAAGCCCTCCAAATGTCCACTTGCAGATTCTAGAAAAAGAGGGTTTCAGAGCTGCTCTGTCAAGAGGAAAGTTCAATTCTTGAAGTGGAACAGAAACATCACAAAGCAGTTTCTGGGAATGCTTCTGTTTAGTTTTTCTGTGAAGATGAACCCGTTTCCAACGAAATCTTCACAGAGGTCCACATATCAACTTGCAGAATCCAAAGAAAGAGAGTTTCAAAACTGCTCCATCAACAGGATTGTTCACCTCTGTGAGTTGAATGCAGTCATCACAGGAAACATTCTGAGAATGCTTCTGTCTAGGTTTGATGTGAAGATGTACCCGTTTCAAAGGAAGGCCACAAAGTGGTCCAAATATCCACTTGCAGATTCTACAAAAAGAGTGTTTGAAAGCTGAACTATGAAAGCAAGGTTCAACTCTGTGAGTTGAATGCAAACATCAGAAAGATGATTCTCACAATGCTTCCGTGTAGTTCTGGGAAGTTTATCCCGTTTCCAACGAAATCCTCAGAGAAGTCCAAATATCCACTTGCAGATTCTACAGAAAGTGGGTTTGGAAACTGCTCCATCTAAAGGAATGTTCAGCTCTGTTAGTTCAATCCAATGATCACTAAGAATTGTCTGTGAATGCTTCCGTTTGGTTTTTAGATGAAGTTATTTCCTTTACTACAGTAGGCCTCAAAGCAGTCCAAATCTCCAATCGCAGATTCTACAAAAAGATTGTTTACAACCTGCTCTATCTATAGGAATGTTCA
Organism: Homo sapiens; assembly: GCF_000001405.40. Taxonomy (NCBI): domain Eukaryota; kingdom Metazoa; phylum Chordata; class Mammalia; order Primates; family Hominidae; genus Homo; species Homo sapiens. The sequence continues at coordinate 53,666,172 of NC_000011.10, read as the reverse complement.
ACTCTGTGAGTCGAATGCAATCATCACAAAGTAGTTTCTGAGAATGCTTCCATCTAGTTTTTATGTGAAGATTTTCCTTTTCCACCACAGGCCTCAAAGCCCTCCAAATGTCCACTTGCAGATTCTAGAATAAGAGGGTTTTAGAGCTGCTCTGTCAAGAGGAAAGTTCAATTCCTGAAGTGGAACACAAACATCACAAAGCAGTTTCTGAGAATGCTCCTGTTTAGTTTTTCTGTGAAGATGAACCCGTTTCCAACGAAATCTTCACAGAGGTCCACATATCCACTTGCAGAATCCAAAGAAAGAGAGTTTCAAAACTGCTCCATCAGCAGGATTGTTCACCTCTGTGAGTTGAATGCAGTCATCACAGGAAACATTCTGAGAATGCTTCTGTCTAGGTTTGATGTGAAGATATACCCGTTTCGAAGGAAGGCCACAAAGTGGTCCAAATATCCACTTGCAGATTCTACAAAAAGAGTGTTTGAAAGCTGAACTATGAAAGCAAGGTTCAACTCTGTGAGTTGAATGCAAACATCACAAAGAAGTTTCTCACAATGCTTCCGTGTAGTTCTGGGAAGTTTAGCCCGTTTCCAACAAAATCCTCAGAGAGGTCCAAATATCCACTTGCAGATTCTACAGAAAGTGGGTTTGGAAACTGCTCCATCTAAAGGAATGTACAGCTCTGTTAGTTCAATCCAATGATCACTAAGTATTGTCTGTGAATGCTTCTGTTTGGTTTTTAGATGAAGTTATTTCCTTTACTACAGTAGGCCTCAAAGCAGTCCAAATCTCCAATCGCAGATTCTACAAAAAGATTGTTTTCAACCTGCTCTATCTATAGGAATGTTCAACTCTGTGAGTCGAATGCAATCATCACAAAGTAGTTTCTGAGAATGCTTCCATCTAGTTTTTATGTGAAGATTTTCCTTTTCCACCACAGGCCTCAAAGCCCTCCAAATGTCCACTTGCAGATTCTAGAAAAAGAGGGTTTCAGAGCTGCTCTGTCAAGAGGAAAGTTCAATTCTTGAAGTGGAACACAAACATCACAAAGCAGGTTCTGAGAATGCTCCTGTTTAGTTTTTCTGTGAAGATGAACCCGTTTCCAACGAAATCTTCACAGAGGTCCACATATCCACTTGCAGAATCCAAAGAAAGAGAGTTTCAAAACTGCTCCATCAGCAGGATTGTTCACCTCTGTGAGTTGAATGCAGTCATCACAGGAAACATTCTGAGAATGCTTCTGTCTAGATTTGATGTGAAGATATACCCGTTTCGAAGGAAGGCCACAAAGTGGTCCAAATATCCACTTGCAGATTCTACAAAAAGAGGGTTTGAAAGCTGAACTATGAAAGCAAGGTTCAACTCTGTGAGTTGAATGCAAACATCACAAAGAAGTTTCTCAGAATGCTTCCGTGTAGTTCTGGGAAGTATAACCCGTTTCCAACGAAATCCTCAGAGAGGTCCAAATATCCACTTGCAGATTCTACAGAAAGTGTGTTTGGAAACTGCTCCATCTAAAGGAATGTTCAGCTCTGTTAGTTCAATCCAATGATCACTAAGAATTGTCTGTGAATGCTTCCGTTTGGTTTTTAGATGAAGTTATTTCCTTTACTACAGTAGGCCTCAAAGCAGTCCAAATCTCCAATCGCAGATTCTACAAAAAGATTGTTTACAACCTGCTCTATCTATAGGAATGTTCAACTCTGTGAGTCGAATGCAATCATCACAAAGGAGTTTCTGAGAATGCTTCCATCTAGTTTTTATGTGAAGATTTCCTTTTCCACCACAGGCCTCAAAGCCCTCCAAATGTCCACTTGCAGATTCTAGAAAAAGAGGGTTTCAGAGCTGCTCTGTCAAGAGGAAAGTTCAATTCTTGAAGTGGAACACAAACATCACAAAGCAGTTTCTGAGAATGCTCCTGTTTAGTTTTTCTGTGAAGATGAACCCGTTTCCAACGAAATCTTCACAGTAGGTCCACATATCCACTTGCAGAATCCAAAGAAAGAGAGTTTCAAAACTGCTCCATCAGCAGGATTGTTCACCTCTGTGAGTTGAATGCAGTCATCACAGGAAACATTCTGAGAATGCTTCTGTCTAGGTTTGATGTGAAGATATACCCGTTTCGAAGGAAGGCCACAAAGTGGTCCAAATATCCACTTGCAGATTCTACAAAAAGAGTGTTTGAAAGCTGAACTATGAAAGCAAGGTTCAACTCTGTGAGTTGAATGCAAACATCATAAAGAAGTTTCTCACAATGCTTCCGTGTAGTTCTGGGAAGTTTATCCCGATTCCAACGAAATCCTCAGAGAAGTCCAAATATCCACTTGCAGATTCTACAGAAAGTGTGTTTGGAAACTGCTCCATCTAAAGGAATGTTCAGCTCTGTTAGTTCAATCCAATGATCACTAAGAATTGTCTGTGAATGCTTCCGTTTGGTTTTTAGATGAAGTTATTTCCTTTACTACAGTAGGCCTCAAAGCAGTCCAAATCTCCAATCGCAGATTCTACAAAAAGATTGTTTTCAACCTGCTCTATCTATAGGAATGTTCAACTCTGTGAGTCGAATGCAATCATCACAAAGTAGTTTCTGAGAATGCTTCCATCTAGTTTTTATGTGAAGAGTTTCCTTTTCCACCACAGGCCTCAAAGCCCTCCAAATGTCCACTTGCAGATTCTAGAAAAAGAGAGTTTCAGAGCTGCTCTGTCAAGAGGAAAGTTCAATTCCTGAAGTGGAACACAAACATCACAAAGCAGTTTCTGAGAATGCTCCTGTTTAGTTTTTCTGTGAAGATGAACCCGTTTCCAACGAAATCTTCACAGAGGTCCACATATCCACTTGCAGAATCCAAAGAAAGAGAGTTTCAAAACTGCTCCATCAGCAGGATTGTTCACCTCTGTGAGTTGAATGCAGTCATCACAGGAAACATTCTGAGAATGCTTCTGTCTAGGTTTGATGTGAAGATATACCCGTTTCGAAGGAAGGCCACAAAGTGGTCCAAATATCCACTTGCAGATTCTACAAAAAGAGTGTTTGAAAGCTGAACTATGAAAGCAAGGTTCAACTCTGTGAGTTGAATGCAAACATCACAAAGAAGTTTCTCACAATGCTTCCGTGTAGTTCTGGGAAGTTTATCTCGTTTCCAAAGAAATCCTCAGAGAAATCCAAATATCCACTTGCAGATTCTACAGAAAGTGGGTTTGGAAACTGCGCCATCTAAAGGAATGTTCAGCTCTGTTAGTTCAATCCAATAGATCACTAAGAATTGTCTGTGAATGCTTCCGTTTGGTTTTTAGATGAAGTTATTTCCTTTACTACAGTAGGCCTCAAAGCAGTCCAAATCTCCAATCGCAGATTCTACAAAAAGATTGTTTACAACCTGCTCTATCTATAGGAATGTTCAACTCTGTGAGTCGAATGCAATCATCACAAAGTACTTTCTGAGAATGCTTCCATCTAGTTTTTATGTGAAGATTTTCCTTTTCCACCACAGGCCTCAAAGCCCTCCAAATGTCCACTTGCAGATTCTAGAAAAAGAGGGTTTCAGAGCTGCTCTGTCAAGAGGAAAGTTCAATTCCTGAAGTGGAACACAAACATCACAAAGCAGTTTCTGAGAATGCTCCTGTTTAGTTTTTCTGTGAAGATGAACCCGTTTCCAACCAAATCTTCACAGAGGTCCACATATCCACTTGCAGAATCCAAAGAAAGAGAGTTTCAAAACTGCTCCATCAGCAGGATTGTTCACCTCTGTGAGTTGAATGCAGTCATCACAGGAAACATTCTGAGAATGCTTCTGTCTAGGTTTGATGTGAAGATATACCCCTTTCGAAGGAAGGCCACAAAGTGGTCCAAATATCTACTTGCAGATTCTACAAAAAGAGTGTTTGAAAGCTGAACTATGAAAGCAAGGTTCAACTCTGTGAGTTGAATGCAAACATCACAAAGAAGTTTCTCAGAATGCTTCCGTGTAGTTCTGGGAAGTTTATCCCGTTTCCAACAAAATCCTCAGAGACGTCCAAATATCCACTTGCAGATTCTACAGAAAGTGTGTTTGGAAACTGCTCCATCTAAAGGAATGTTCAGCTCTGTTAGTTCAATCCAATGATCACTAAGAATTGTCTGTGAATGCTTCCGTTTGGTTTTTAGATGAAGTTATTTCCTTTACTACAGTAGGCCTCAAAGCAGTCCAAATCTCCAATCGCAGATTCTACAAAAAGATTGTTTACAACCTGCTCTATCTATAGGAATGTTCAACTCTGTGAGTCGAATGCAATCATCACAAAGTAGTTTCTGAGAATGCTTCCATCTAGTTTTTATGTGAAGATTTTCCTTTTCCACCACAGGCCTCAAAGCCCTCCAAATGTCCACTTGCAGATTCTAGAAAAAGAGGGTTTCAGAGCTGCTCTGTCAAGAGGAAAGTTCAATTCTTGAAGTGGAACACAAACATCACAAAGCAGTTTCTGAGAATGTTTCTGTTTAGTTTTTCTGTGAAGATGAACCCGTTTCCAACGAAATCTTCACAGAGGTCCACATATCCACTTGCAGAATCCAAAGAAAGAGAGTTTCAAAACTGCTCCATCAGCAGGATTGTTCACCTCTGTGAGTTGAATGCAGTCATCACAGGAAACATTCTGAGAATACTTCTGTCTAGGTTTGATGTGAAGATATACTCGTTTCGAAGGAAGGCCACAAAGTGGTCCAAATATCCACTTGCAGATTCCTCAAAAAGAGTGTTTGAAAGCTGAACTATGAAAGCAAGGTTCAACTCTGTGAGTTGAATGCAAACATCACAAAGAAGTTTCTCAGAATGCTTCCGTGTAGTTCTGGGAAGTTTATCCCGTTTCCAACGAAATCCTCAGAGAAGTCCAAATATCCACTTGCAGATTCTACAGAAAGTGTGTTTGGAAACTGCTCCATCTAAAGGAATGTTCAGCTCTGTTATCTCAATGCAATGATCACTAAGAATTGTCTGTGAATGCTTCCGTTTGGTTTTTAGATGAAGTTATTTCCTTTACTACAGTAGGCCTCAAAGCAGTCCAAATCTCCAATCGCAGATTCTACAAAAAGATTGTTTTCAACCTGCTCTATCTATAGGAATGTTCAACTCTGTGAGTCGAATGCAATCATCACAAAGTAGTTTACTGAGAATGCTTCCATCTAGTTTTTATGTGAAGATTTTCCTTTTCCACCACAGGCCTCAAAGCCCTCCAAATGTCCACTTGCAGATTCTAGAAAAAGAGGGTTTCAGAGCTGCTCTGTCAAGAGGAAAGTTCAATTCTTGAAGTGGAACACAAACATCACAAAGTAGTTTCTGAGAATGCTTCTGTTTAGTTTTTCTGTGAAGATGAACCCGTTTCCAACGAAATCTTCACAGAGGTCCCCATATCAACTTGCAGAATCCAAAGAAAGAGAGTTTCAAAAGTGCTACATCAACAGGATTGTTCACCTCTGTGAGTTGAATGCAGTCATCACAGGAAACATTCTGAGAATGCTTCTGTCTAGGTTTGATGTGAAGATATACCCGTTTCGAAGGAAGGCCACAAAGTGGTCCAAATATCCACTTGCAGATTCTACAAAAAGAGTGTTTGAAAGCTGAACTATGAAAGCAAGGTTCAACTCTGTGAGTTGAATGCAAACATCACAAAGAAGTTTCTCACAATGCTTCCCTGTAGTTCTGGGAAGTTTATCCCGTTTCCAACGAAATCCTCGGAGAAGTCCAAATATCCACTTGCAGATTCTACAGAAAGTGGGTTTGGAAACTGCTCCATCTAAAGGAATGTTCAGCTCTGTTAGTTCAATCCAATGATCACTAAGAATTGTCTGTGAATGCTTCCGTTTGGTTTTTAGATGAAGTTATTTCCTTTACTACAGTAGGCCTCAAAGCAGTCCAAATCTCCAATCGCAGATTCTACAAAAAGATTGTTTACAACCTGCTCTATCTATAGGAATGTTCAACTCTGTGAGTCGAATGCAATCATCACAAAGTAGTTTCTGAGAATGCTTCCATCTAGTTTTTATGTGAAGATTTTCCTTTTCCACCACAGGCCTCAAAGCCCTCCAAATGTCCACTTGCATACTCTAGAAAAAGAGGGTTTCAGAGCTGCTCTGTCAAGAGGAAAGTTCAATTCTTGAAGTGGAACACAAACATCACAAAGCAGTTTCTGAGAATGCTCCTGTTTAGTTTTTCTGTGAAGATGAACCCGTTTCCAACGAAATCTTCACAGAGGTCCACATATCCACTTGCAGAATCCAAAGAAAGAGAGTTTCAAAACTGCTCCATCAGCAGGATTGTTCACCTCTGTGAGTTGAATGCAGTCATCACAGGAAACATTCTGAGAATGCTTCTGTCTAGGTTTGATGTGAAGCATATACCCGTTTCGAAGGAAGGCCACAAAGTGGTCCAAACATCCACTTGCAGATTCTACAAAAAGAGTGTTTGAAAGCTGAACTATGAAAGCAAGGTTCAACTCTGTGAGTTGAATGCAAACATCACAAAGAAGTTTCTCAGCATGCTTCCGTGTAGTTCTGGTAAGTTTATCCCGTTTCCAACGAAATCCTCAGGAGAAGTCCAAATATCCACTTGCAGATTCTACAGAAAGTGTGTTTGGAAACTGCGCCGTCTAAAGCAATGTTCAGCTCTGTTAGTTCAATGCAATGATCACTAAGAATTGTCTGTGAATGCTTCCGTTTGGTTTTCAGATGAAGTTATTTCCTTTACTACAGTAGGCCTCAAAGCAGTCCAAATCTCCAATCGCAGATTCTACAAAAAGATTGTTTACAACCTGCTCTATCTATAGGAATGTTCAACTCTGTGAGTCGAATGCAATCATCACAAAGTAGTTTCTTAGAATGCTTCCATCTAGTTTTTATGTGAAGATTTTCCTTTTCCACCACAGGCCTCAAAGCCCTCCAAATGTCCACTTGCAGATTCTAGAAAACGAGGGTTTCAGAGCTGCTCTGTCAAGAGGAAAGTTCAATTCCTGAAGTGGAACACAAACATCACAAAGCAGTTTCTGAGAATGCTCCTGTTTAGTTTTTCTGTGAGGATGAACCCGTTTCCAACGAAATCCTCACAGAGGTCCACATATCCACTTGCAGAATCCAAAGAAAGAGAGTTTCAAAACTGCTCCATCAGCAGGATTGTTCACCTCTGTGAGTTGAATGCAGTCATCACAGGAAACATTCTGAGAATGCTTCTGTCTAGGTTTGATGTGAAGATATACCCGTTTCGAAGGAAGGCCACAAAGTGGTCCAAATATCCACTTGCAGATTCTACAAAAAGAGTGTTTGAAAGCTGAACTATGAAAGCAAGGTTCAACTCTGTGAGTTGAATGCAAACATCACAAAGAAGTTTCTCAGAATGCTTCCGTGTAGTTCTGGGAAGTTTATCCCGTTTCCAACGAAATCCTCAGAGAAGTCCAAATATCCACTTGCAGATTCTACAGAAAGTGGGTTTGGAAACTGCTCCATCTAAAGGAATGTTCAGCTCTGTTAGTTCAATCCAATGATCACTAAGAATTGTCTGTGAATGCTTCCGTTTGGTTTTTAGATGAAGTTATTTCCTTTACTACAGTAGGCCTCAAAGCAATCCAAATCTCCAATCGCAGATTCTACAAAAACATTGTTTACAACCTGCTCTATCTATAGGAATGTTCAACTCTGTGAGTCGAATGCAATCATCACAAAGTAGTTTCTGAGAATGCTTCCATCTAGTTTTTATGTGAAGATTTTCCTTTTCCACCACAGGCCTCAAAGCCCTCCAAATGTCCACTTGCAGATTCTAGAAAAAGAGGGTTTCAGAGCTGCTCTGTCAAGAGGAAAGTTCAATTCTTGAAGTGGAACACAAACATCACAAAGCAGTTTCTGAGAATGTTTCTGTTTAGTTTTTCTGTGAAGATGAACCCGTTTCCAACGAAATCTTCACAGAGGTCCACATATCCACTTGCAGAATCCAAAGAAAGAGAGTTTCAAAACTGCTCCATCAGCAGGATTGTTCACCTCTGTGAGTTGAATGCAGTCATCACAGGAAACATTCTGAGAATGCTTCTGTCTAGGTTTGATGTGAAGATATACCCTTTTCGAAGGAAGGCCACAAAGTGGTCCAAATATCCACTTGCAGATTCTACAAAAAGAGTGTTTGAAAGCTGAACTATGAAAGCAAGGTGCAAATCCTGTGAGTTGAATGCAAACATCACAAAGAAGTTTCTCAGAATGCTTTCTATCTAGTTTTTATATGCAGATATTTACGTTTCCGCCACAGGCCTCAAAGCCCTTCAAATGTCCACTTGCAGATTCAAGAAAAGCAATGTTTCATAGCTGCTCTGTCAAGAGGAAATTTCAACTCTGCAAGTTGAACACAAACATCACAACGTAGTTTCTGAGAATGCTTCTGTTTAGTTTTTCTGTGAAGATGAACCCGTTTCCAACGAAAATCTTCACAGAGGTCCACATATCCACTTGCAGAATCCAAAGAAGGAGAGTTTCAAAACTGCTCCATCAGCAGGATTGTTCACCTCTGTGAGTTGAATGCAGTCATCACAGGAAACATTCTGAGAATGCTTCTGTCTAGGTTTGATGTGAAGATATACCCGTTTCGAAGGAAGGCCACAAAGTGGTTCAAATATCCACTTGCAGATTCTACAAAAAGAGTGTTTGAAAGCTGAACTATGAAAGCAAGGTTCAACTCTGTGAGTTGAATGCAAACATCACAAAGAAGTTTCTCACAATGCTTCCGTGTAGTTCTGGGAATTTTATCCCGTTTCCAACGAAATCCTCAGAGAGGTCCAAATATCCACTTGCAGATTCTACAGGAAGTGTGTTTGGAAACTGCGCCATCTAAAGGAATGTTCAGCTCTGTTAGTTCAATGCAATGATCATTAAGAATTGTCTGTGAATGCTTCCGTTTGGTTTTTAGATGAAGTTATTTCCTTTACTACAGTAGGCCTCAAAGCAGTCCAAATCTCCAATCGCAGATTCTACAAAAAGATTGTTTACAACCTGCTCTATCTATAGGAATGTTCAACTCTGTGAGTCGAATGCAATCATCACAAAGTAGTTTCTGAGAATGCTTCCATCTAGTTTTTATGTGAAGATTTTCCTTTTCCACCACAGGCCTCAAAGCCCTCCAAATGTCCACTTGCAGATTCTAGAAAAAGAGGGTTTCAGAGCTGCTCTGTCAAGAGGAAAGTTCAATTCCTGAAGTGGAACACAAACATCACAAAGCAGTTTCTGAGAATGCTCCTGTTTAGTTTTTCTGTGAAGATGAACCCGTTTCCAACGAAATCTTCACAGAGGTCCACATATCCACTTGCAGAATCCAAAGAAAGAGAGTTTCAAAACTGCTCCATCAGCAGGATTGTTCACCTCTGTGAGTTGAATGCAGTCATCACAGGAAACATTCTGAGAATGCTTCTGTCTAGGTTTGATGTGAAGATATACCCCTTTCGAAGGAAGGCCACAAAGTGGTCCAAATATCCACTTGCAGATTCTACAAAAACAGTGTTTGAAAGCTGAACGATGAAAGCAAGGTTCAACTCTGTGAGTTGAATGCAAACATCACAAAGAAGTTTCTCAGAATGCTTCCGTGTAGTTCTGGGAAGTTTATCCCGTTTCCAACGAAATCCTCAGAGAGGTCCAAATATCCACTTGCAGATTCTACAGAAAGTGTGTTTGGAAACTGCTCCATCTAAAGGAATGTTCAGCTCTGTTAGTTCAATGTAATGATCACTAAGAATTGTCTGTGAATGCTTCCGTTTGGTTTTTAGATGAAGTTATTTCCTTTACTACAGTAGGCCTCAAAGCAGTCCAAATCTCCAATCGCAGATTCTACAAAAAGATTGTTTACAACCTGCTCTATCTATAGGAATGTTCAACTCTGTGAGTCGAATGCAATCATCACAAAGTAGTTTCTGAGAATGCTTCCATCTAGTTTTTATGTGAAGATTTTCCTTTTCCACCACAGGCCTCAAAGCCCTCCAAATGTCCACTTGCAGATTCTAGAAAAAGAGGGTTTCAGAGCTGCTCTGTCAACAGGAAAGTTCAATTCCTGAAGTGGAACACAAACATCACAAAGCAGTTTCTGAGAATGCTCCTGTTTAGTTTTTCTGTGAAGATGAACCCGTTTCCAACGAAATCTTCACAGAGGTCCACATATCCACTTGCAGAATCCAAAGAAAGAGAGTTTCAAAACTGCTCCATCAGCAGGATTGTTCACCTCTGTGAGTTGAATGCAGTCATCACAGGAAACATTCTGAGAATGCTTCTGTCTAGGTTTGATGTGAAGATATACCCGTTTCGAAGGAAGGCCACAAAGTGGTCCAAATATCCACTTGCAGATTCTACAAAAAGAGTGTTTGAAAGCTGAACTATGAAAGCAAGGTTCAACTCTGTGAGTTGAATGCAAACATCACAAAGAAGTTTCTCAGAATGCTTCCGTGTAGTTCTGGGAAGCTTATCCCGTTTCCAACGAAATCCTCAGAGAGGTCCAAATATCCACTTGCAGATGCTACAGAAAGTGTGTTTGGAAACTGCGCCATCTAAAGGAATGTTCAGCTCTGTTAGTTCAATCCAATGATCACTAAGAATTGTCTGTGAATGCTTCCGTTTGGTTTTTAGATGAAGTTATTTCCTTTACTACAGTAGGCCTCAAAGCAGTCCAAATCTCCAATCGCAGATTCTACAAAAAGATTGTTTACAACCTGCTCTATCTATAGGAATGTTCAACTCTGTGAGTCGAATGCAATCATCACAAAGTAGTTTCTGAGAATGCTTCCATCTAGTTTTTATGTGAAGATTTTCCTTTTCCACCACAGGCCTCAAAGCCCTCCAAATGTCCAGTTGCAGATTCTAGAATAAGAGGATTTCAGAGCTGCTCTGTCAAGAGGAAAGTTCAATTCCTGAAGTGGAACACAAACATCACAAAGCAGTTTCTGAGAATGCTCCTGTTTAGTTTTTCTGTGAAGATGAACCCGTTTCCAACGAAATCTTCACAGAGGTCCACATATCCACTTGCAGAATCCAAAGAAAGAGAGTTTCAAAACTGCTCCATCAGCAGGATTGTTCACCTCTGTGAGTTGAATGCAGTCATCACAGGAAACATTCTGAGAATGCTTCTGTCTAGGTTTGATGTGAAGATATACCCGTTTCGAAGGAAGGCCACAAAGTGGTCCACATATCCACTTGCAGATTCTACAAAAAGAGTGTTTGAAAGCTGAACTATCAAAGCAAGGTTCAACTCTGTGAGTTGAATGCAAACATCACAAAGAAGTTTCTCAGAATGCTTCCGTGTAGTTCTGGGAAGTTTATCCCGTTTCCAACGAAATCCTCAGAGAAGTCCAAATATCCAGTTGCAGATTCTACAGAAAGTGTGTTTGGAAACTGCTCCATCTAAAGGAATGTTCAGCTCTGTTAGTTCAATCCAATGATCACTAAGAATTGTCTGTGAATGCTTCCGTTTGGTTTTTAGATGAAGTTATTTCCTTTACTACAGTAGGCCTCAAAGCAGTCCAAATCTCCAATCGCAGATTCTACAAAAAGATTGTTTACAACCTGCTCTATCTATAGGAATGTTCAACTCTGTGAGTCGAATGCAATCATCACAAAGTAGTTTCTGAGAATGCTTCCATCTAGTTTTTATGTGAAGATTTTCCTTTTCCACCACAGGCCTCAAAGCCCTCCAAATGTCCACTTGCAGATTCTAGAAAAAGAGGGTTTCAGAGCTGCTCTGTCAAGAGGAAAGTTCAATTCTTGAAGAGGAACACAAACATCACAAAGCAGTTTCTGAGAATGCTCCTGTTTAGTTTTTCTGTGAAGATGGACCCGTTTCCAACGAAATCTTCACAGAGATCCACATATCCACTTGCAGAATCCAAAGAAAGAGAGTTTCAAAAGTGCTCCATCAACAGGATTGTTCACCTCTGTGAGTTGAATGCAGTCATCACAGGAAACATTCTGAGAATGCTTCTGTCTAGGTTTGATGTGAAGATATACCCGTTTCGAAGGAAGGCCACAAAGTGGTCCAAATATCCACTTGCAGATTCTACAAAAAGAGTGTTTGAAAGCTGAACTATGAAAGCAAGGTTCAACTCTGTGAGTTGAATGCAAACATCACAAAGAAGTTTCTCAGAATGCTTCCGTGTAGTTCTGGGAACTTTATCCCGTTTCCAACGAAATCCTCAGAGAGGTCCAAATATCCACTTGCAGATTCTACAGAAAGTGTGTTTGGAAACTCCTCCATCTAAAGGAATGTTCAGCTCTGTTAGTTCAATCCAATGATCACTAAGAATTGTCTGTGAATGCTTCCGTTTGGTTTTTAGATGAAGTTATTTCCTTTACTACAGTAGGCCTCAAAGCAGTCCAAATCTCCAATCGCATATTCTACAAAAAGATGGTTTACAACCTGCTCTATCTATAGGAATGTTCAACTCTTTGAGTCGAATGCAATCATCACAAAGTAGTTTCTGAGAATGATTCCATCTAGTTCTTATGTGAAGATTTTCCTTTTCCACCACAGGCCTCAAAGCCCTCCAAATGTCCACTTGCAGATTCTGGAAAAAGAGGGTTTCAGAGCTGCTCTGTCAAGAGGAAAGTGCAATTCTTGAAGTGGAACACAAACATCACAAAGCAGTTTCTGAGAATGCTTCCTGTTTAGTTTTTCTGTGCAGTTGAACCCGTTTCCAACGAAATCTTCACAGTAGGTCCACATATCCACTTGCAGAATCCAAAGAAAGAGAGTTTCAAAACTGCTCCATCAATAGGATTGTTCACCTCTGTGAGTTGAATGCAGTCATCACAGGAAACATTCTGAGAATGCTTCTGTCTAGGTTTGATGTGAAGATATACCCGTTTCGAAGGAAGGCCACAAAGTGGTCCAAATATCCACTTGCAGATTCTACAAAAAGAGTGTTTGAAAGCTGAACTATGAAAGCAAGGTTCAACTCTGTGAGTTGAATGCAAACATCACAAAGAAGTTTCTCACAATGCTTCCGTGTAGTTCTGGGAAGTTTATCCCGTTTCCAACGAAATCCTCAGAGAAGTCCAAATATCCACTTGCAGATTCTACAGAAAGTGTGTTTGGAAACTGCTCCATCTAAAGGAATGTTCAGCTCTGTTAGTTCAATCCAATGATCACTAAGAATTGTCTGTGAATGCTTCCGTTTGGTTTTTAGATGAAGTTATTTCCTTTACTACAGTAGGCCTCAAAGCAGTCCAAATCTCCAATCGCAGATTCTACAAAAAGATTGTTTACAACCTGATCTATCTATAGGAATGTTCAACTCTGTGAGTCGAATGCAATCATCACAAAGTAGTTTCTGAGAATGCTTCCATCTAGTTTTTATGTGAAGATTTTCCTTTTCCACCACAGGCCTCAAATCCCTCCAAATGTCCACTTGCAGATTCTAGAATAAGAGGGTTTCAGAGCTGCTCTGTCAAGAGGAAAGTTCAATTCTTGAAGTGGAACACAAATATCACAAAGCAGTTTCTGAGAATGCTTCTGTTTAGTTTTTCTGTGAAGATGAACCCGTTTCCAACGAAATCTTCACAGAGGTCCACATATCCACTTGCAGAATCCAAAGAAAGAGAGTTTCAAAACTGCTCCATCAGCAGGATTGTTCACCTCTGTGAGTTGAATGCAGTCATCACAGGAAACATTCTGAGAATGCTTCAGTCTAGGTTTGATGTGAAGATATACCCGTTTCGAAGGAAGGCCACAAAGTGGTCCAAATATCCACTTGCAGATTTTACAAAAAGAGTGTTTGAAAGCTGAACTATGAAAGCAAGGTTCAACTCTGTGAGTTGAATGCAAACATCACAAAGAAGTTTCTCACAATGCTTCCGTGTAGTTCTGGGAAGTTTATCCCGTTTCCAACGAAATCCTCAGAGAAGTCCAAATATCCACTTGCAGATTCTACAGAAAGTGGGTTTGGAAACTGCTCCATCTAAAGGAATGTTCAGCTCTGTTAGTTCAATCCAATGATCACTAAGAATTGTCTGTGAATGCTTCCGTTTGGTTTTTAGATGAAGTTATTTCCTTTACTACAGTAGGCCTCAAAGCAGTCCAAATGTCCAATCGCAGATTCTACAAAAAGATTGTTTACAACCTGCTCTATCTATAGGAATGTTCAACTCTGTGAGTCGAATGCAATCATCACAAAGTAGTTTCTGAGAATGCTTCCATCTAGTTTTTATGTGAAGATTTTCCTTTTCCACCACAGGCCTCAAAGCCCTCCAAATGTCCACTTGCAGATTCTAGAAAAAGAGGGTTTCAGAGCTGCTCTGTCAAGAGGAAAGTTCAATTCTTGAAGTGGAACACAAACATCACAAAGCAGTTTCTGAGAATGCTCCTGTTTAGTTTTTCTGTGAAGATGAACCCGTTTCCAACGAAATCTTCACAGAGGTCCACATATCCACTTGCAGAATCCAAAGAAAGAGAGTTTCAAAACTGCTCCATCAGCAGGATTGTTCACCTCTGTGAGTTGAATGCAGTCATCACAGGAAACATTCTGAGAATGCTTCTGTCTAGGTTTGATATGAAGATATACCCGTTTCGAAGGAAGGCCACAAACTGGTCCAAATATCCTCTTGCAGATTTTACAAAAAGAGTGTTTGAAAGCTGACCTATGAAAGCAAGGTTCAACTCTGTGAGTTGAATGCAAACATCACAAAGAAGTTTCTCAGAATGCTTCCCTGTAGTTCTGGGAAGTTTATCCCGTTTCCAACGAAATCCTCAGAGAAGTCCAAATATCCACTTGCAGATTCTACAGAAAGTGGGTTTGGAAACTGCTCCATCTAAAGGAATGTTCAGCTCTGTTAGTTCAATCCAATGATCACTAAGAATTGTCTGTGAATGCTTCCGTTTGGTTTTTAGATGAAGTTATTTCCTTTACTACAGTAGGCCTCAAAGCAGTCCAAATCTCCAATCGCAGATTCTACTAAAAGATTGTTTACAACCCGCTCTATCTATAGGAATGTTCAACTCTGTGAGTCGAATGCAATCATCACAAAGTAGTTTCTGAGAATGCTTCCCATAAAGTTTTTATGTGAAGATTTTCCTTTTCCACCACAGGCCTCAAAGCCCTCCAAATGTCCACTTGCAGATTCTAGAAAAAGAGGGTTTCAGAGCTGCTCTGTCAAGAGGAAAGTTCAATTCTTGAAGTGGAACACAAACATCACAAAGCAGTTTCTGAGAATGCTTCTGTTTAGTTTTTCTGTGAAGATGAACCCGTTTCCAACGAAATCTTCACAGAGGTCCACATATCCACTTGCAGAATCCAAAGAAAGAGAGTTTCAAAACTGCTCCATCAGCAGGATTGTTCACCTCTGTGAGTTGAATGCAGTCATCACAGGAAACATTCTGAGAATGCTTCTGTCTAGGTTTGATGTGAAGATATACCCGTTTCGAAGGAAGGCCACAAAGTGGTCCAAATATCCACTTGCAGATTCTACAAAAAGAGTGTTTGAAAGCTGAACTATGAAAGCAAGGTTCAACTCTGTGAGTTGAATGCAAACATCACAAAGAAGTTTCTCAGAATGCTTCCGTGTAGTTCTGGGAAGTTTATCCCGTTTCCAACGAAATCCTCAGAGAGGTCCAAATATCCACTTGCAGATTCTACAGAAAGTGTGTTTGGAAACTGCGCCATCTAAAGGAATGTTCAGCTCTGTTAGTTCAATGCAATGATCACTAAGAATTGTCTGTGAATGCTTCCGTTTGGTTTTTAGATGAAGTTATTTCCTTTACTACAGTAGGCCTCAAAGCAGTCCAAATCTCCAATCGCAGATTCTACAAAAAGATTGTTTACAACCTGCTCTATCTATAGGAATGTTCAACTCTGTGAGTCGAATGCAATCATCACAAAGTAGTTTCTGAGAATGCTTCCATCCAGTTTTTATGTGAAGATTTTCCTTTTCCACCACAGGCCTCAAAGCCCTCCAAATGTCCACTTGCAGATTCTAGAAAAAGAGGGTTTCAGAGCTGCTCTGTCAAGAGGAAATTTCAATTCTTGAAGTGGAACACAAACATCACAAAGCAGTTTCTGAGAATGCTTCTGTTTAGTTTTTCTGTGAAGATGAACCCGTTTCCAACGAAATCTTCACAGAGGTCCACATATCCACTTGCAGAATCCAAAGAAAGAGAGTTTCAAAACTGCTCCATCAGCAGGATTGTTCACCTCTGTGAGTTGAATGCAGTCATCACAGGAAACATTCTGAGAATGCTTCTGTCTAGGTTTGATGTGAAGATATACCCGTTTCGAAGGAAGGCCACAAAGTGGTCCAAATATCCACTTGCAGATTCTACAAAAAGAGTGTTTGAAAGCTGAACTATGAAAGCAAGGTTCAACTCTGTGAGTTGAATGCAAACATGACAAGGAAGTTTCTCAGAATGCTTCCGTGTAGTTCTGGGAAGTTTATCCTTTTCCAACGAAATCCTCAGAGAAGTCCAAATATCCACTTGCAGATTCTACAGAAAGTGTGTTTGGAAACTGCTCCACCTAAAGGAATGTTCAGCTCTGTTAGTTCAATCCAATGATCACTAAGAATTGTCTGTGAATGCTTCCGTTTGGTTTTTAGATGAAGTTATTTCCTTTACTACAGTAGGCCTCAAAGCAGTCCAAATCTCCAGTCGCAGATTCTACAAAAAGATTGTTTACAACCTGCTCTATCTATAGGAATGTTCAACTCTGTGAGTCGAATGCAATCATCACAAAGTAGTTTCTGAGAATGCTTCCATCTAGTTTTTATGTGAAGATTTTCCTTTTCCACCACAGGCCTCAAAGCCCTCCAAATCTCCACTTGCAGATTCTAGAAAAAGAGGGTTTCAGAGCTGCTCTGTCAAAAGGAAAGTTCAATTCTTGAAGTGGAACACAAACATCACAAAGCAGTTTCTGAGAATGCTTCTGTTTAGTTTTTCTGTGAAGATGAACCCGTTTCCAACGAAATCTTCACAGAGGTCCACATATCAACTTGCAGAATCCAAAGAAAGAGAGTTTCAAAAGTGCTCCATGAACAGGATTGTTCACCTCTGTGAGTTGAATGCAGTCATCACAGGAAACATTCTGAGAATGCTTCTGTCTAGGTTTGATGTGAAGATATACCCGTTTCGAAGGAAGGCCACAAAGTGGTCCAAATATCCACTTGCAGATTCCACAAAAAGAGTGTTTGAAAGCTGAACTATGAAAGCAAGGTTCAACTCTGTGAGTTGAATGCAAACATCACAGAGAAGTTTCTCACAATGCTTCCGTGTAGTTCTGGGAATTTTATCCCGTTTCCAACGAAATCCTCAGAGAAGTCCAAATATCCACTTGCAGATTCTACAGAAAGTGTGTTTGGAAACTGCTCCATCTAAAGGAATGTTCAGCTCTGTTAGTTCAATCCAATGATCACTAAGAATTGTCTGTGAATGCTTCCGTTTGGTTTTTAGATGAAGTTATTTCCTTTACTACAGTAGGCCTCAAAGCAGTCCAAATCTCCAATCGCAGATTCTACAAAAAGATTGTTTACAACCTGCTCTATCTATAGGAGTGTTCAACTCTGTGAGTCGAATGCAATCATCACAGAGTAGTTTCTGAGAATGCTTCCATCTAGTTTTTATGTGAAGATTTTCCTTTTCCACCACAGGCCTCAAAGACCTCCAAATGTCCACTTGCAGATTCTAGAATAAGAGGGTTGCAGAGCTGCTCTGTCAAGAGGAAAGTTCAATTCCTGAAGTGGAACACAAACATCACAAAGCAGTTTCTGAGAATGCTTCTGTTTAGTTTTTCTGTGAAAATGAACCCGTTTCCAACGAAATCTTCACAGAGGTCCACATATCCACTTGCAGAATCCAAAGAAAGAGAGATTCAAAACTGCTCCATCAACAGGATTGTTCACCTCTGTGAGTTGAATGCAGTCATCACAGGAAACATTCTGAGAATGCTTCTGTCTAGGTTTGATGTGAAGATATACCCGTTTCGAAGGAAGGCCACAAAGTGGTCCAAATATCCACTTGCAGATTCTACAAAAAGAGTGTTTGAAAGCTGAACTATGAAAGCAAGGTTCAACTCTGTGAGTTGAATGCAAACATCACAAAGAAGTTTCTCACAATGCTTCCGTGTAGTTCTGGGAATTTTATCCCGTTTCCAACGAAATCCTCAGAGAGGTCCAAATATCCACTTGCAGATTCTACAGAAAGTGTGTTTGGAAACTGCGCCATCTAAAGGAATGTTCAGCTCTGTTAGTTCAATGCAATGATCACTAAGAATTGTCTGTGAATGCTTCCGTTTGGTTTTTAGATGAAGTTATTTCCTTTACTACAGTAGGCCTCAAAGCAGTCCAAATCTCCAATCGCAGATTCTACAAAAACATTGTTTACAACCTGCTCTATCTATAGGAATGTTCAACTCTGTGAGTCGAATGCAATCATCACAAAGTAGTTTCTGAGAATGCTTCCATCTAGTTTTTATGTGAAGATTTTCCTTTTCCACCACAGGCCTCAAAGCCCTCCAAATGTCCACTTGCAGATTCTAGAAAAAGAGGGTTTCAGAGCTGCTCTGTCAAGAGGAAAGTTCAATTCCTGAAGTGGAACACAAACATCACAAAGCAGTTTCTGAGAATGCTCCTGTTTACTTTTTCTGTGAAGATGAACCCGTTTCCAACGAAATCTTCACAGAGGTCCACATATCCACTTGCAGAATCCAAAGAAAGAGAGTTTCAAAACTGCTCCATCAGCAGGATTGTTCACCTCTGTGAGTTGAATGCAGTCATCACAGGAAACATTCTGAGAATGCTTCTGTCTAGGTTTGATGTGAAGATATACCCTTTTCGAAGGAAGGCCACAAAGTGGTCCAAATATCCACTTGCAGATTCTACAAAAAGAGTGTTTGAAAGCTGAACTATGAAAGCAAGGTGCAAATCCTGTGAGTTGAATGCAAACATCACAAAGAAGTTTCTCAGAATGCTTTCCGTGTAGTTCTGGGAAGTTTATCCCGTTTCCAACGAAATCCTCAGAGACGTCCAAATATCCACTTGCAGATTCTACAGAAAGTGTGTTTGGAAACTGCGCCATCTACAGGAATGTTCAGCTCTGTTAGTTCAATGCAATGATCACTAAGTATTGTCTGTGAATGCTTCCGTTTGGTTTTTAGATGAGTTATTTCCTTTACTACAGTAGGCCTCAATGCAGTCCAAATCTCCAATCGCAGATTCTACAAAAAGATTGTTTACAACCTGCTCTATCTATAGGAATGTTCAACTCTGTGAGTCGAATGCAATCATCACAAAGTAGTTTCTGAGAATGCTTCCATCTAGTTTTTATGTGAAGATTTTCCTTTTGCACCACAGGCCTCAAAGCCCTCCAAATGTCCACTTGCAGATTCTAGAAAAAGAGGGTTTCAGAGCTGCTGTCAAGAGGAAAGTTCAATTCTTGAAGTGGAACACAAACATCACAAAGCAGTTTCTGAGAATGCTCCTTTTAGTTTTTCTGTGAAGATGAACCCGTTTCCAACGAAATCTTCACAGAGGTCCACATATCCACTTGCAGAATCCAAAGAAAGAGAGTTTCAAAACTGCTCCATCAGCAGGATTGTTCACCTCTGTGAGTTGAATGCAGTCATCACAGGAAGCATTCTGAGAATGCTTCTGTCTAGGTTTGATGTGAAGATATACCCGTTTCGAAGGAAGGCCACAAAGTGGTCCAAATATCCACTTGCAGATTCCACAAAAAGAGTGTCTGAAAGCTGAACTATGAAAGCAAGGTTCAACTCTGTGAGTTGAATGCAAACATCACAAAGAAGTTTCTCAGCATGCTTCCCTGTAGTTCTGGGAAGCATATCCCGTTTCCAACGAAATCCTCAGAGAAGTCCAAATATCCACTTGCAGATTCTACATAAAGTGGGTTTGGAAACTGCTCCATCTAAAGGAATGTTCAGCTCTGTTAGTTCAATCCAATGATCACTAAGAATTGTCTGTGAATGCTTCCGTTTGGTTTTTAGATGAAGTTATTTCCTTTACTACAGTAGGCCTCAAAGCAGTCCAAATCTCCAATCGCAGATTCTACAAAAAGATTGTTTACAACCTGCTCTATCTATAGGAATGTTCAACTCTGTGAGTCGAATGCAATCATCACAAAGTAGTTTCTGAGAATGCTTCCATCTAGTTTTTATGTGAAGATTTTCCTTTTGCACCACAGGCCTCAAAGCCCTCCAAATGTCCACTTGCAGATTCTAGAAAAAGAGGGTTTCAGAGCTGCTCTGTCAAGAGGAAAGTTCAATTCTTGAAGTGGAACACAAACATCACAAAGCAGTTTCTGAGAATGCTTCTGTTTAGTTTTTCTGTGAAGATGAACCCGTTTCCAACGAAATCTTCACAGAGGTCCACATATCCACTTGCAGAATCCAAAGAAAGAGAGTTTCAAAACTGCTCCATCAGCAGGATTGTTCACCTCTGTGAGTTGAATGCAGTCATCACAGGAAACATTCTGAGAATGCTTCTGTCTAGGTTTGATGTGAAGATATACCCGTTTCGAAGGAAGGCCACAAAGTGGTCCAAATATCCACTTGCAGATTCTACAAAAAGAGTGTTTGAAAGCAGAACTATGAAAGCAAGGTTCAACTCTGTGAGTTGAATGCAAACATCACAAAGAAGTTTCTCAGAATGCTTCCGTGTAGTTCTGGGAAGTTTATCCCGTTTCCAACGAAATCCTCAGAGAGGTCCAAATATCCACTTGCAGATTCTACAGAAAGTGTGTTTGGAAACTGCGCCATCTAAAGGAATGTTCAGCTCTGTTAGTTCAATGCAATGATCACTAAGAATTGTCTGTGAATGCTTCCGTTTGGTTTTTAGATGAAGTTCTTTCCTTTACTACAGTAGGCCTCAAAGCAGTCCAAATCTCCAATCGCAGATTCTACAAAAAGATTGTTTACAACCTGCACTATCTATAGGAATGTTCAACTCTGTGAGTCGAATGCAATCATCACAAAGTAGTTTCTGAGAATGCTTCCATCTAGTTTTTATGTGAAGATTTTCCTTTTCCACCACAGGCCTCAAAGCCCTCCAAATGTCCACTTGCAGATTCTAGAATAAGAGGGTTTCAGAGCTGCTCTGTCAAGAGGAAAGTTCAATTCTTGAAGTGGAACACAAATATCACAAAGCAGTTTCTGAGAATGCTTCTGTTTAGTTTTTCTGTGAAGATGAACCCGTTTCCAACGAAATGTTCTCAGAGGTCCACATATCAACTTGCAGAATCCAAAGAAAGAGAGTTTCAAAAGTGCTCCATCAACAGGATTGTTCACCTCTGTGAGTTGAATGCAGTCATCACAGGAAACATTCTGAGAATGCTTCTGTCTAGGTTTGATGTGAAGATATACCCGTTTCGAAGGAAGGCCACAAAGTGGTCCAAATATCCACTTGCAGATTCTACAAAAAGAGTGTTTGAAAGCTGAACTATGAAAGCAAGGTTCAACTCTGTGAGTTGAATGCAAACATCACAAAGAAGTTTCTCAGCATGCTTCCGTGTAGTTCTGGGAAGTTTATCCCGTTTCCAACGAAATCCTCAGAGAAGTCCAAATATCCACTTGCAGATTCTACAGAAAGTGTGTTTGGAAACTGCTCCATCTAAAGGAGTGTTCAGCTCTGTTACTTCAATCCAATGATCACTAAGAATTGTCTGTGAATGCTTCCGTTTGGTTTTTCGATGAAGTTATTTCCTTTACAACAGTAGGCCTCAAAGCAGTCCAAATCTCCAATCGCAGATTCTACAAAAAGATTGTTTACAACCTGCTCTCCCTATAGGAATGTTGAACTCTGTGAGTCGAATGCAATCATCACAAAGTAGTTTCTGAGAATGCTTCCATCTAGTTTTTATGTGAAGATTTTCCTTTTCCACCACAGGCCTCAAAGCCCTCCAAATGTCCACTTGCAGATTCTAGAAAAAGAGGGTTTCAGAGCTGCTCTGTCGAGAGGAAAGTTCAATTCTTGAAGTGGAACACAAACATCACAAAGCAGTTTACTGAGAATGCTTCGGTTTAGTTTTTCTGTGAAGATGAACCCGTTTCCAACGAAATCTTCACAGAGGTCCACATATCAACTTGCGGAATCCAAAGAAAGAGAGTTTCAAAAGTGCTCCATCAACAGGATTGTTCACCTCTGTGAGTTGAATGCAGTCATCACAGGAAACATTCTGAGAATGCTTCTGTCTAGGTTTGATGTGAAGATATACCCGTTTCGAAGGAAGGCCACAAAGTGGTCCAAATATCCACTTGCAGATTCTACAAAAAGAGTGTTTGAAAGCTGAACTATGAAAGCAAGGTTCAACTCTGTGAGTTGAATGCAAACATCACAAAGAAGTTTCTCAGAATGCTTCCGTGTAGTTCTGGGAAGTTTATCCCGTTTCCAACGAAATCCTCAGAGAGGTCCAAATATCCACTTGCAGATTCTACAGAAAGTGTGTTTGGAAACTGCTCCATCTAAAGGAATGTTCAGCTCTGTTAGTTCAATCCAATGATCACTAAGAATTGTCTGTGAATGCTTCCGTTTGGTTTTTAGATGAAGTTATTTCCTTTACTACAGTAGGCCTCAAAGCAGTCCAAATCTCCAATCGCAGATTCTACAAAAAGATTGTTTACAACCTGCTCTATCTATAGGAATGTTCAACTCTGTGAGTCGAATGCAATCATCACAAAGTAGTTTCTGAGAATGCTTCCATCTAGTTTTTATGTGAAGATTTTCCTTTCCCACCACAGGCCTCAAAGCCCTCCAAATGTCCACTTGCAGATCCTAGAAAAAGAGGGTTTCAGAGCTGCTCTATCAAGAGGAAAGTTCAATTCCTGAAGTGGAACACAAACATCACAAAGCAGTTTCTGAGAATGCTTCTGTTTAGTTTTTCTGTGAAGATGAACCCGTTTCCAACGAAATCTTCACAGAGGTCCACATATCCACTTGCAGAATCCAAAGAAAGAGAGTTTCAAAACTGCTCCATCAGCAGGATTGTTCACCTCTGTGAGTTGAATGCAGTCATCACAGGAAACATTCTGAGAATGCTTCTGTCTAGGTTTGATGTGAAGATATACCCGTTTCGAAGGAAGGCCACAAAGTGGTCCAAATATCCACTTGCAGATTCTACAAAAAGAGTGTATGAAAACTGAACTATGAAAGCAAGGTTCAACTCTGTGAGTTGAATGCAAACATCACAAAGAAGTTTCTCAGAATGCTTCCGTGTAGTTCTGGGAAGTTTATCCCGTTTCCAACGAAATCCTCACAGAAGTCCAAATATCCACTTGCAGATTCTACAGAAAGTGTGTTTGTAAACTGCTCTATCTAAAGGAATGTTCAGCTCTGTTTGTTCAATCCAATGATCACTAAGTATTGTCTGTGAATGCTTCCGTTTGGTTTTTAGATGAAGTTATTTCCTTTACTACAGTAGGCCTCAAAGCAGTCCAAATCTCCAATCGCAGATTCTACAAAAAGATTGTTTTCAACCTGCTCAATCTATAGGAATGTTCAACTCTGTGAGTCGAATGCAATCATCACAAAGCAGTTTCTGAGAATGCTTCCATCTAGTTTTATGTGAAGATTTTCCTTTTCCACCACAGGCCTCAAAGCCCTCCAAATGTCCACTTGCAGATTCTAGAAAAAGAGGGTTTCAGAGCTGCTCTGTCAAGAGGAAAGTTCATTTCCTGAAGTGGAACACAAACATCACAAAGCAGTTTCTGAGAATGCTCCTGTAATTTTTTCTGTGAAGATGAACCCGTTTCCAACGAAATCTTCACAGAGGTCCACATATCCACCTGCAGAATCCAAAGAAAGAGAGTTTCAAAACTGCTCCATCAGCAGGATTGTTCACCTCTGTGAGTTGAATGCAGTCATCACAGGAAACATTCTGAGAATGCTTCTGTCTAGATTTGATGTGAAGATATACCCGTTTCGAAGGAAGGCCACAAAGTGGTCCAAATATCCACTTGCAGATTCTACAAAAAGAGGGTTTGAAAGCTGAACTATGAAAGCAAGGTTCAACTCTCTGAGTTGAAAGCAAACATCACAAAGAAGTTTCTCAGAATGCTTCCGTGTAGTTCTGGGAAGTTTATCCCGTTTCCAACGAAATCCTCAGAGAAGTCCAAATATCCACTTGCAGATTCTACAGAAAGTGTGTTTGGAAACAGCGCCATCTAAAGGAGTGTTCAGCTCTGTTAGTTCAATCCAATGATCACTAAGAATTGTCTGTGAATGCTTCCGTTTGGTTTTTAGATGAAGTTATTTCCTTTACTACAGTAGGCCTCAAAGCAGTCCAAATCTCCAATCACAGATTCTACAAAAAGACTGTTTACAACCTGCTCTATCTATAGGAATGTTCAACTCTGTGAGTCGAATGCAATCATCACAAAGTAGTTTCTGAGAATGCTTCCATCTAGTTTTTATGTGAAGATTTTCCTTTTCCACCACAGGCCTCAAAGCCCTCCAAATGTCCACTTGCAGATTCTAGAAAAAGAGGGTTTCAGAGCTGCTCTGTCAAGAGGAAAGTTCAATTCTTGAAGTGGAACACAAACATCACAAAGCAGTTTCTGAGAATGCTCCTGTTTAGTTTTTCTGTGAAGATGAACCCGTTTCCAACGAAATCTTCACAGAGGTCCACATATCCACCTGCAGAATCCAAAGAAAGAGAGTTTCAAAACTGCTCCATCAGCAGGATTGTTCACCTCTGTGAGTTGAATGCAGTCATCACAGGAAACATTCTGAGAATGCTTCTGTCTAGGTTTGATGTGAAGATATACCCGTTTCGAAGGAAGGCCTCAAAATGGTCCAAATATCCACTTGCAGATTCTACAAAAAGAGTGTTTGAAAGCTGAACTATGAAAGCAAGGTTCAACTCTGTGAGTTGAATGCAAACATCACAAAGAAGTTTCTCAGAATGCTTCCGTGTAGTTCTGGGAAGTTTATCCCGTTTCCAACGAAATCCTCAGAGAAGTCCAAATATCCACTTGCAGATTCTACAGAAAGTGTGTTTGGAAACTGCTCCATCTAAAGGAATGTTCAGCTCTGTTAGTTCAATGCAATGATCACTAAGAATTGTCTGTGAATGCTTCCGTTTGGTTTTTAGATGAAGTTATTTCCTTTACTACAGTAGGCCTCAAAGCAGTCCAAATCTCCAATCGCAGATTCTACAAAAAGATTGTTTACAACCTGCTCTATCTATAGGAATGTTCAACTCTGTGAGTCGAATGCAATCATCACAAAGTAGTTTCTGAGAATGCTTCCATGTAGTTTTTATGTGAAGATTTTCCTTTTCCACCACAGGCCTCAAAGCCCTCCAAATGTCCACTTGCAGATTCTAGAATAAGAGGGTTTCAGAGCTGCTCTGTCAAGAGGAAAGTTCAATTCCTGAAGTGGAACACAAACATCACAAAGCAGTTTCTGAGAATGCTTCTGTTTAGTTTTTATGTGAAGATGAACCCGTTTCCAACGAAATCTTCAAAGAGGTCCACATATCCACTTGCAGATTCCAAAGAAAGAGAGTTTCAAAACTGCTCCATCAGCAGGATTGTTCACCTCTGTGCGTTGAATGCAGTCATCACAGGAAACATTCTGAGAATGCTTCTGTCTAGGTTTGATGTGAAGATATACCCGTTTCGAAGGAAGGCCAAAAAGTGGTCCAAATATCCACTTGCAGATTCTGCAAAAAGAGTGTTTGAAAGCTGAACTATGAAAGCAAGGTTCAACTCTGTGAGTTGAATGCAAACATCACAAAGAAGTTTCTGAGAATGCTTCCGTGTAGTTCTGGGAAGTTTATCCCGTTTCCAACGAAATCCTCAGACAAGTCCAAATATCCACTTGCAGATTCTACAGAAAGTGTGTTTGGAAACTGCTCCATCTAAAGGAGTGTTCAGCTCTGTTAGTTCAATCCAATGATCACTAAGAATTGTCTGTGAATGCTTCCGTTTGGTTTTTAGATGAAGTTATTTCCTTTACTACAGTAGGCCACAAAGCAGTCCAAATCTCCAATCGCAGATTCTACAAAAAGATTGTTTTCAACCTGCTCTATCTATAGGAATGTACAACTCTGTGAGTCGAATGCAATCATCACAAAGTAGTTTCTGAGAATGCTTCCATCTAGTTTTTATGTGAAGATTTTCCTTTTCCACCACAGGCCTAAAAGCCCTCCAAATGTCCACTTGCAGATTCTAGAAAAAGAGGGTTTCAGAGCTGCTCTGTCAAGAGGAAAGTTCAATTCCTGAAGTGGAACACAAACATCACAAAGCAGTTTCTGGGAATGCTCCTGTTTAGTTTTTCTGTGAAGATGAACCCATTTCCAACGAAATCTTCACAAAGGTCCACATATCCACCTGCAGAATCCAAAGAAAGAGAGTTTCAAAACTGCTCCATCAGCAGGATTGTTCACCTCTGTGAGTTGAATGCAGTCATCACAGGAAACATTCTGAGAATGCTTCTGTCTAGGTTTGATGTGAAGATATACCCGTTTCGAAGGAAGGCCACAAATTGGTCAAAATATCCACTTGCAGATTTTACAAAAAGAGTGTTTGAAAGCTGAACTATGAAAGCAAGGTTCAACTCTGTGAGTTGAATGCAAACATCACAAAGAAGTTTCTCAGAATGGTTCCGTGTAGTTCTGGGAAGTTTATCCCGTTTCCAACGAAATCCTCAGAGAAGTCCAAATATCCACTTGCAGATTCTACAGAAAGTGGGTTTGGAAACTGCTCCATCTAAAGGAATGTTCAGCTCTGTTAGTTCAATCCAATGATCACTAAGAATTGTCTGTGAATGCTTCCGTTTGGTTTTTAGATGAAGTTATTTCCTTTAGTACAGTAGGCCTCAAAGCAGTCCAAATCTCCAATCGCAGATTCTACAAAAAGATTGTTTACAACCTGCTCTATCTATAGGAATGTTCAACTCTGTGAGTTGAATGCAATCATCACAAAGTAGTTTCTGAGAATGCTTCCATCTAGTTTTTATGTGAAGATTTTCCTTTTCCACCACAGGCCTCAAAGCCCTCCAAATGTCCACTTGCAGATTCTAGAATAAGAGGGTTTCAGAGCTGCTCTGTCAAGAGGAAAGTTCAATTCCTGAAGTGGAACACAAACATCACAAAGCAGTTTCTGAGAATGCTCCTGTTTAGTTTTTCTGTGAAAATGAACACGTTTCCAACGAAATCTTCACAGAGGTCCACATATCCACTTGCAGAATCCAAAGAAAGAGAGTTTCAAAACTGCTCCATCAGCAGGATTGTTCACCTCTGTGAGTTGAATGCAGTCATCACAGGAAACATTCTGAGAATGCTTCTGTCTAGGTTTGATGTGAAGATATACCCGTTTCGAAGGAAGGCCACAAAGTGGTCCAAATATCCACTTGCAGATTCTACAAAAAGAGTGTTTGAAAGCTGAACTATGAAAGCAAGGTTCAACTCTGTGAGTTGAATGCAAACATCACAAAGAAGTTTTTCAGAATGCTTCCGTGTAGTTCTGGGAAGTTTATCCCGTTTCCAACGAAATCCTCAGAGAAGTCCAAATATCCACTTGCAGATTCTACAGAAAGTGTGTTTGGAAACTGCGCCATCTAAAGGAATGTTCAGCTCTGTTAGTTCAATGCAATGATCACTAAGAATTGTCTGTGAATGCTTCCGTTTGGTTTTTAGATGAAGTTATTTCCTTTACTACAGTAGGCCTCAAAGCAGTCCAAATCTCCAATCGCAGATTCTACAAAAAGATTGTTTACAACCTGCTCTATCTATAGGAATGTTCAACTCTGTGAGTCGAATGCAATCATCACAAAGTAGTTTCTGAGAATGCTTCCATCTAGTTTTTATGTGAAGATTTTCCTTTTCCACCACAGGCCTCAAAGCCCTCCAAATGTCCACTTGCAGATTCTAGAATAAGAGGGTTTTAGAGCTGCTCTGTCAAGAGGAAAGTTCAATTCCTGAAGTGGAACACAAACATCACAAAGCAGTTTCTGAGAATGCTCCTGTTAATTTTTCTGTGAAGATGAACCCGTTTCCAACGAAATCTTCACAGAGGTCCACATATCCACTTGCAGAATCCAAAGAAAGAGAGTTTCAAAACTGCTCCATCAGCAGGATTGTTCACCTCTGTGAGTTGAATGCAGTCATCACAGGAAACATTCTGAGAATGCTTCTGTCTAGGTTTGATGTGAAGATATAACCGTTTCGAAGGAAGGCCACAAAGTGGTCCAAATATCCAGTTGCAGATTCTACAAAAAGAGTGTTTGAAAGCTGAACTATGAAAGCAAGTTTCAACTCTGTGAGTTGAATGCAAACATCACAAAGAAGTTTCTCAGAATGCTTCCGTGTAGTTCTGGGAAGTTTATCCCGTTTCCAACGAAATCCTCACAGAAGTCCAAATATCCACTTGCAGAATCTACAGAAAGTGGGTTTGGAAACTGCTCCATCTAAAGGAATGTTCAGCTCTGTTAGTTCAATGCAATGATCACTAAGAATTGTCTGTGAATGCTTCCGTTTGGTTTTTAGATGAAGTTATTTCCTTTACTACAGTAGGCCTCAAAGCAGTCCAAATCTCCAATCGCAGATTCTACAAAAAGATTGTTTACAACCTGCTCTATCTATAGGAATGTTCAACTCTGTGAGTCGAATGCAATCATCACAAAGTAGTTTCTGAGAATGCTTCCATCTAGTATTTATGTGAAGATTTTCCTTTTCCACCACAGGCCTCAAAGCCCTCCAAATGTCCACTTGCAGATTCTAGAAAAAGAGGGTTTCAGAGCTGCTCTGTCAAGAGGAAAGTTCAATTCTTGAAGTGGAACACAAACATCACAAAGCAGTTTCTGAGAATGCTTCTGTTTAGTTTTTCTGTGAAGATGAACCCGTTTCCAACGAAATCTTCACAGAGGTCCACATATCCACTTGCAGAATCCAAAGAAAGAGAGTTTCAAAACTGCTCCATCAGCAGGATTGTTCACCTCTGTGAGTTGAATGCAGTCATCACAGGAAACATTCTGAGAATGCTTCTGTCTAGGTTTGATGTGAAGATATACCCGTTTCGAAGGAAGGCCACAAAGTGGTCCAAATATCCACTTGCAGATTCTACAAAAAGAGTGTTTGAAAGCTGAACTAGGAAAGCAAGGTTCAACTCGGTGAGTTGAATGCAAACATCACAAAGAAGTTTCTCAGAATGCTTCCGTGTAGTTCTGGGAAGTTTATCCCGTTTCCAACGAAATCCTCAGAGAGGTCCAAATATCCACTTGCAGATTCTACAGAAAGTGTGTTTGGAAACTGCGCCATCTAAAGGAATGTTCAGCTCTGTTAGTTCAATGCAATGATCACTAAGAATTGTCTGTGAATGCTTCCGTTTGGTTTTTAGATGAAGTTATTTCCTTTACTACAGTAGGCCTCAAAGCAATCCAAATCTCCAATCGCAGATTCTACAAAAACATTGTTTACAACCTGCTCTATCTATAGGAATGTTCAACTGCTGTGAGTCGAATGCAATCATCACAAAGTAGTTTGCTGAGAATGCTTCCATCTAGTTTTTATGTGAAGATTTTCTTTCTCCACCACAGGCCTCAAAGCCCTCCAAATGTCCACTTGCAGATTCTAGAAAAAGAGGGTTTCAGAGCTGCTCTGTCAAGAGGAAAGTTCAATTCCTGAAGTGGAACACAAACATCACAAAGCAGTTTCTGAGAATGCTTCTGTTTAGTTTTTCTGTGAAGATGAACCCGTTTCCAACGAAATCTTCACAGAGGTCCACATATCAACTTGCAGAATCCAAAGAAAGAGAGTTTCAAAAGTGCTCCATCAACAGGATTGTTCACCTCTGTGAGTTGAATGCAGTCATCACAGGAAACATTCTGAGAATGCTTCTGTCTAGGTTTGATGTGAAGATATACCCGTTTCGAAGGAAGGCCACAAAGTGGTCCAAATATCCACTTGCAGATTCTACAAAAAGAGTGTTTGAAAGCTGAACTATGAAAGCAAGGTTCAACTCTGTGAGTTGAATGCAAACATCACAAAGAAGTTTCTCACAATGCTTCCGTGTAGTTCTGGGAAGTTTATCCCGTTTCCAACAAAATCCTCAGAGAGGTCCAAATATCCACCTGCAGATTCTACAGAAAGTGTGTTTGGAAACTGCTCCATCTAAAGGAATGTTCAGCTCTGTTAGTTCAATCCAATGATCACTAAGAATTGTCTGTGAATGCTTCCGTTTGGTTTTTAGATGAAGTTATTTCCTTTACTACAGTAGGCCTCAAAGCAGTCCAAGTCTCCAATCGCAGATTCTACAAAAAGATTGTTTACAACCTGCTCTATCTATAGGAATGTTCAACTCTGTGAGTCGAATGCAATCATCGCAAAGTAGTTTCTGAGAATGCTTCCATCTAGTTTTTATGTGAAGATATTCCTTTTCCACCACAGGCCTCAAAGCCCTCCAAATGTCCACTTGCAGATTCTAGAAAAAGAGGGTTTCAGAGCTGCTCTGTCAAGATGAAAGTTCAATTCTTGAAGTGGAACACAAACATCACAAAGTAGTTTCTGAGAATGCTTCTGTTTAGTTTTTCTTTGAAGATGAACCCTTTTCCAACGAAATCTTCAAAGAGGTCCACATATCCACTTGCACATTCCAGAGAAAGAGAGATTCAAAACTGCTCCATCAACAGGATTGTTCACCTCTGTGCGTTGAATGCAGTCATCACAGGAAAACATTCTGAGAATGCTTCTGTCTAGGTTTGATGTGAAGATATACCCCTTTCGAAGGAAGGCCACAAAGTGGTCCAAATATCCACTTGCAGATTCTACAAAAAGAGTGTTTGAAAGCTGAACTATGAAAGCAAGGTTCAAGTCTGTGAGTTGAATGCAAACATCACAAAGAAGTTTCTCAGAATGCTTCCGTGTAGTTCTGGGAAGTTTATCCCGTTTCCAACGAAATCCTCAGAGAGGTCCAAATATCCACTTGCAGATTCTACAGAAAGTGTGTTTGGAAGCTGCGCCATCTAAAGGAATGTTCAGCTCTGTTAGTTCAATCCAATGATCACTAAGAATTGTCTGTGAATGCTTCCGTTTGGTTTTTAGATGAAGTTATTTCCTTTACTACAGTAGGCCTCAAAGCAGTCCAAATCTCCAATCGCAGATTCTACAAAAAGATTGTTTACAACCTGCTCTATCTATAGGAATGTTCAACTCTGTGAGTCGAATGCAATCATCACAAAGTAGTTTCTGAGAATGCTTCTATCTAGGTTTTATGTGAAGATATTTCCTTTTCCACCACAGGCCTCAAAGCCCTCCAAATGTCCACTTGCAGATTCTAGAAAAAGAGGGTTTCAGAGCTGCTCTGTCAAGAGGAAAGTTCAATTCTTGAAGTGGAACACAAACATCACAAAGCAGTTTCTGAGAATGCTTCTGTTTAGTTTTTATGTGAAGATGAACCCGTTTCCAAGGAAATCTTCAAAGAGGTCCACATATCC
Source organism: Homo sapiens (assembly GCF_000001405.40). Classification (NCBI taxonomy): domain Eukaryota; kingdom Metazoa; phylum Chordata; class Mammalia; order Primates; family Hominidae; genus Homo; species Homo sapiens. The sequence continues at coordinate 53,634,767 of NC_000011.10, read as the reverse complement.
ACTTGCAGATTCCAAAGAAAGAGAGTTTCAAAACTGCTCCATCAACAGGATTGTTCACCTCTGTGCGTTGAATGGAGTCATCACAGGAAACATTCTGAGAATGCTTCTGTCTAGGTTTGATGTGAAGACATACCCGTATCGAACGAAGGCCACAAGGTGGTCCAAATATCCACTTGCAGATTCTACAAAAAGAGTGTTTGAAAGCTGAACTATGAAAGCAAGGTTCAACCCTGTGAGTTGAATGCAAACATCACAAAGAAGTTTCTCAGAATGCTTCCGTGTAGTTCTGGGAAGTTTATCCCGTTTCCAACGAAATCCTCAGAGAGGTCCAAATATCCACTTGCAGATTCTACAGAAAGTGTGTTTGGAAACTGCTCCATCTAAAGGAATGTTCAGCTCTGTTAGTTCAATCCAATGATCACTAAGAATTGTCTGTGAATGCTTCCGTTTTGTTTTTAGATGAAGTTATTTCCTTTACTACAGTAGGCCTCAAAGCAGTCCAAATCTCCAATCGCAGATTCTACAAAAAGATTGTTTACAACCTGCTCTATCTATGGGAATGTTCAACTCTGTGAGTCGAATGCAATCATCACAAAGTAGGTTCTGAGAATGCTTCCATCTAGTTTTTATGTGAAGATTTTCCTTTTCCACCACAGGCCTCAAAGCCCTCCAAATGTCCACTTGCAGATTCTAGAAAAAGAGGGTTTCAGAGCTGCTCTGTCAAGAGGAAAGTTCAATTCTTGAAGTGGAACACAAACATCACAAAGCAGTTTCTGAGAATGCTTCTGTTTAGTTTTTCTGTGAAGATGAACCCGTTTCCAACGAAATCTTCACAGAGGTCCACATATCAACTTGCAGAATCCAAAGAAAGAGAGTTTCAAAAGTGCTCCATCAACAGGATTGTTCACCTCTGTGAGTTGAATGCAGTCATCACAGGAAACATTCTGAGAATGCTTCTGTCTAGGTTTGATGTGAAGATATACCCGTTTCGAAGGAAGGCCACAAAGTGGTCCTAATATCCACTTGCAGATTCTACAAAAAGAGTGTTTGAAAGCTGAACTATGAAAGCAAGGTTCAACTCTGTGAGTTGAATGTAAACATCACAAAGAAGTTTCTCAGAATGCTTCCGTGTAGTTCTGGGAAGTTTATCCCTTTTCCAACGAAATCCTCAGAGAGGTCCAAATATCCACTTGCAGATTCTACAGAAAGTGTGTTTGGAAACTGCTCCATCTAAAGGAATGTGCAGCTCTGTTAGTTCAATCCAATGATCACTAAGAATTTTCTGTGAATGCTTCCGTTTGGTTTTTTGATGAAGTTATTTCCTTTACTACAGTAGGCCTCAAAGCAGTCCAAATCTCCAATCGCAGATTCTACAAAAAGATTGTTTACAACCTGCTCTATCTATAGGAATGTTCAACTCTTTGAGTCGAATGCAATCATCACAAAGTAGTTTCTGAGAATGCTTCCATCTAGTTTTTATGTGAAGATTTTCCTTTTCCACCACAGGCCTCAAAGCCCTCCAAATGTCCACTTGCAGATTCAGGAAAAAGAGGGTTTCAGAGCTGCTCTGTCAAGAGGAAAGTTCAATTCTTGAAGTGGAACACAAACATCACAAAGCAGTTTCTGAGAATGCTCCTGTTTAGTTTTTCTGTGAAGATGAACCCGTTTCCAACGAAATCTTCACAGAGGTCCACATATCCACCTGCAGAATCCAAAGAAAGAGAGTTTCAAAACTGCTCCATCAGCAGGATTGTTCACCTCTGTGAGTTGAATGCAGTCATCACAGGAAACATTCTGAGAATGCTTCTGTCTAGGTTTGATGTGAAGATATACCCGTTTCGAAGGAAGGCCACAAAGTGGTCTAAATATCCACTTGCAGATTCTACAAAAAGAGTGTTTGAAAGCTGAACTATGAAAGCAAGGTTCAACACTGTGAGTTGAATGGAAACATCACAAAGAAGTTTCTCAGAATACTTCCGTGTAGTTCTGGGAAGTTTATCCCGTTTCCAACGAAATCCTCAGAGAAGTCCAAATATCCACTTGCAGATTCTACAGAAAGTGTGTTTGGAAACTGCGCCATCTAAAGGAATGTTCAGCTCTGTTAGTTCAATGCAATGATCACTAAGAATTGTCTGTGAATGCTTCCGTTTGGTTTTTAGATGAAGTTATTTCCTTTACTACAGTAGGCCTCAAAGCAGTCCAAATCTCCAATCGCAGATTCTACAAAAAGATTGTTTACAACCTGCTCTATCTATGGGAATGTTCAACTCTGTGAGTCGAATGCAATTATCACAAAGTAGTTTCTGAGAATGCTTCCATCTAGTTTTTATGTGAAGATTTTCCTTTTCCACCACAGGCCTCAAAGCCCTCCAAATGTCCACTTGCAGATTCTAGAATAAGAGGATTTCAGAGCTGCTCTGTCAAGAGGAAAGTTCAATTCCTGAAGTGGAACACAAACATCACAAAGCAGTTTCTGAGAATGCTTCTGTTTAGTTTTTCTGTGAAGATGAACCCGTTTCCAACGAAATCTTCACAGAGGTCCACATATCCACTTGCAGAATCCAAAGAAAGAGAGTTTCAAAACTGCTCCATCAGCAGGATTGTTCACCTCTGTGAGTTGAATGCAGTCATCACAGGAAACATTCTGAGAATGCTTCTGTCTAGGTTTGATGTGAAGATATACCCGTTTCGAAGGAAGGCCACAAAGTGGTCCAAATATCCACTTGCAGATTCTACGAAAAGAGTGTTTGAAAGCTGAACTATGAAAGCAAGGTTCAACTCTGTGAGTTGAATGCAAACATCATAAAGATGTTTCTCAGAATGCTTCCGTGTAGTTCTGGGAAGTTTATCCCGTTTCCAACGAAATCCTCAGGAGAGGTCCAAATATCCACTTGCAGATTCTACAGAAAGTGTGTTTGGAAACTGCGCCATCTAAAGCAATGTTCAGCTCTGTTAGTTCAATGCAATGAACACTAAGAATTGTCTGTGAATGCTTCCGTTTGGTTTTTAGATGAAGTTATTTCCTTTACTACAGTAGGCCTCAAAGCAGTCCAAATCTCCAATCGCAGATTCTACAAAAAGATTGTTTACAACCTGCTCTATCTATAGGAATGTTCAACTCTGTGAGTCGAATGCAATCATCACAAAGTAGTTTCTGAGAATGCTTCCATCTAGTTTTTATGTGAAGATTTTCCTTTTCCACCACAGGCCTCAAAGCCCCCCAAATGTCCACTTGCAGATTCTAGAAAAAGAGGGTTTCAGAGCTGCTCTGTCAAGAGGAAAGCTCAATTCTTGAAGTGGAACACAAACATCACAAAGCAGTTTCTGAGAATGCCCCTGTTTAGTTTTTCTGTGAAGATGAACCCGTTTCCAACGAAATCTTCACAGAGGTTCACATATCCACTTGCAGAATCCAAAGAAAGAGAGTTTCAAAACTGCTCCATCAGCAGGATTGTTCACCACTGTGAGTTGAATGCAGTCATCACAGGAAACATTCTGAGAATGCTTCTGTCTAGGTTTGATGTGAAGATATACCCGTTTCGAAGGAAGGCCACAAAGTGGTCCAAATATCCACTTGCAGATTCTACAAAAAGAGTGTTTGAAAGCTGAACTATGAAATCAAGTTTCAACTCTGTGAGTTGAATGCAAACATCACAAAGAAGTTTCTCAGAATACTTCCGTGTAGTTCTGGGAAGTTTATCCCGTTTCCAACGAAATCCTCAGAGAAGTCCAAATATCCACTTGCAGATTCTACAGAAAGTGGGTTTGGAAACTGCTCCATCTAAAGGAATGTTCAGTTCTGTTAGTTCAATCCAATGATCACTAAGAATTGTCTGTGATTGCTTCCGTTTGGTTTTTAGATGAAGTTATTTCCTTTACTACAGTAGGCCTCAAAGCAGTCCAAATCTCCAATCGCAGATTCTACAAAAAGATTGTTTACAACCTGCTCTATCTATAGGAATGTTCAACTCTGTGAGTCGTATGCAATCATTACAAAGTAGTTTCTGAGAATGCTTCCATCTAGTTTTTATGTGAAGATTTTCCTTTTCCACCACAGGCCTCAAAGCCCTCCAAATGTCCACTTGCAGATTCTAGAAAAAGAGGGTTTCAGAGCTGCTCTGTCAAGAGGAAAGTTCAATTCTTGAAGTGGAACACAAACATCACAAAGCAGTTTCTGAGAATGCTTCTGTTTAGTTTTTCTGTGAAGATGAACCCGTTTCCAACGAAATCTTCACAGAGGTCCACATATCAACTTGCAGAATCCAAAGAAAGAGAGTTTCAAAAGTGCTCCATCAACAGGATTGTTCACCTCTGTGAGTTGAATGCAGTCATCACAGGAAACATTCTGAGAATGCTTCTCTCTAGGTTTGATGTGAAGATATACCCGTTTCGAAGGAAGGCCACAAAGTGGTCCAAATATCCACTTGCAGATTCTACAAAAAGAGTGTTTGAAAGCTGAACTATGAAAGCAAGGTTCAACTCTGTGGGTTGAATGCAAACATCACAAAGAAGTTTCTCAGAATGCTTCCGTGTAGTTCTGGGAAGTTTATCCCGTTTCCAACGAAATCCTCAGAGAAGTCCAAATATCCACTTGCAGATTCTACAGAAAGTGTGTTTGGAAACTGCGCCATCTAAAGGAATGTTCAGCTCTGTTAGTTCAATGCAATGATCACTAAGAATTGTCTGTGAATGCTTCCGTTTGGTTTTTAGATGAAGTTATTTCCTTTACTACAGTAGGCCTCAAAGCAGTCCAAATCTCCAATCGCAGATTCTACAAAAAGATTGTTTACAACCTGCTCTACCTATAGGAATGTTCAACTCTGTGAGTCGAATGCAATCATCACAAAGTAGTTTCTGAGAATGCTTCCATCTAGTTTTTATGTGAAGATTTTCCTTTTCCACCACAGGCCTCAAAGCCCTCCAAATGTCCACTTGCAGATTCTAGAATAAGAGGGTTTCAGAGCTGCTCTGTCAAGAGGAAAGTTCAATTCCTGAAGTGGAACACAAACATCACAAAGCAGTTTCCTGAGTATGCTTCTGTTTAGTTTTTCTGTGAAGATGAACCCGTTTCCAACGAAATCTTCACAGAGGTCCACATATCCACTTGCAGAATCCAAAGAAGGAGAGTTTCAAAACTGCTCCATCAGCAGGATTGTTCACCTCTGTGAGTTGAATGCAGTCATCACAGGAAACATTCTGAGAATGCTTCTGTCTAGGTTTGATGTGAAGATATTCCCGTTTCGAAGGAAGGCCACAAAGTGGTCCAAATATCCACTTGCAGATTCTACAAAAAGAGTGTTTGGAAGCTGAACTATGAAAGCAAGGTTCAAGTCTGTGAGTTGAATGCAACATCACAAAGAAGTTTCTGAGAATGCTTCCGTGTAGTTCTGGGAAGTTTATCCCGTTTCCAACGAAATCCTCAGAGAGGTCCAAATATCCACTTGCAGATTCTACAGAAAGTGTGTTTGGAAACTGCGCCATCTACAGGAATGTTCAGCTCTGTTAGTTCAATGCAATGATCACTAAGAATTGTCTGTGAATGCTTCCGTTTGGTTTTTAGATGAAGTTATTTCCTTTACTACAGTAGGCCTCAAAGCAGTCCAAATCTCCAATCGCAGATTCTACAAAAAGATTGTTTACAACCTGCTCTATCTATAGGAATGTTCAACTCTGTGAGTCGAATGCAATCATCACAAAGTAGTTTCTGAGAATGCTTCTATAAAGTTTTTATGTGAAGATTTTCCTTTTCCACCACAGGCCTCAAAGCCCTCCAAATGTCCACTTGCACATTCTAGAAAAAGAGGGTTTCAGAGCTGCTCTGTCAAGAGGAAAGTTCAATTCTTGAAGTGGAACACAAACATGACAATGCAGTTTCTGAGAATGCTCCTGTTTAGTTTTTCTGTGAAGATGAACCCGTTTCCAACGAAATCTTCACAGAGGTCCACATATCCACTTGCAGAATCCAAAGAAAGAGAGTTTCAAAACTGCTCCATCAACAGGATTGTTCACCTCTGTGAGTTGAACGCAGTCATCACAGGAAACATTCTGAGAATGCTTCTGTCTAGGTTTGATGTGAAGATATACCCGTTTCGAAGGAAGGCCACAAAGTGGTCCAAATATCCACTTGCAGATTCTACAAAAAGAGTGTTTGAAAGCTGAACTATGAAAGCAAGGTTCAACTCTGTGAGTTGAATGCAAACATCACAAAGAAGTTTCTCAGAATGCTTCCGTGTAGTTCTGGGAAGTTTATCCCGTTTCCAACGAAATCCTCAGAGAAGTCCAAATATCCACTTGCAGATTCTACAGAAAGTGGGTTTGGAAACTGCGCCATCTAAACTAATGTTCAGCTCTGTTAGTTCAATCCAATGATCACTAAGAATTGTCTTTGAATACCTCCGTTTGGTTTTTAGATGAAGTTATTTCCTTTACTACAGTATGCCTCAAAGCAGTCCAAATCTCCAATCGCAGATTCTACAAAAAGATTGTTTACAACCTGCTCTATCTATAGGAATGTTCAACTCTGTGAGTCGAATGCAATCATCACAAAGTAGTTTCTGAGAATGCTTCCATCTAGTTTTTATGTGAAGATTTTCCTTTTCCACCACAGGCCTCAAAGCCCTCCAAATGTCCACTTGTAGATTCTAGAATTCTGTCAAGAGGAAAGTTCAATTCCTGAAATGGAACACAAACATCACAAAGCAGTTTCTGAGAATGCTTCTGTTTAGTTTTTCTGTGACGATGAACCCGTTTCCAACGAAATCTTCACAGAGGTCCACATATCCACTTGCAGAATCCAAAGAAAGAGAGTTTCAAAACTGCTCCAGCAGCAGGATTGTTCACCTCTGTGAGTTGAATGCAGTCATCACAGGAAACATTCTGAGAATGCTTCTGTCTATGTTTGATGTGAAGATATACCCGTTTCGAAGGAAGGCCACAAAGTGGTCCAAATATCCACTTGCAGATTCTACAAAAAGAGTATTTGAAAGCTGAACTATGAAAGCAAGGTTCAACTCTGTGAGTTGAATGCAAACATCACAAAGAAGTTTCTCAGAATGCTTCCGTGTAGTTCTGGGAAGTTTATCCCGTTTCCAACGAAATCCTCAGAGAAGTCCAAATATCCACTTGCAGATTCTACAGAAAGTGTGTTTGGAAACTGCGCCATCTAAAGGAATGTTCAGCTCTGTTAGTTCAATGCAATGATCACTAAGAATTGTCTGTGAATGCTTCCGTTTGGTTTTTAGATGAAGTTATTTCCTTTACTACAGTAGGCCTCAAAGCAGTCCAAATCTCCAATCGCAGATTCTACAAATAGATTGTTTACAACCTGCTCTATCTATAGGAATGTTCAACTCTGTGAGTCGAATGCAATCATCACAAAGTAGTTTCTGAGAATGCTTCCATCTAGTTTTTATGTGAAGATTTTCCTTTTCCACCACAGGCCTCAAAGCCCTCCAAATGTCCACTTGCAGATTCTAGAATAAGAGGGTTTCAGAGCTGCTCTGTCAAGAGGAAAGTTCAATTCCTGAAGTGGAACACAAACATCACAAAGCAGTTTCTGAGAATGCTCCTGTTTCGTTTTTCTGTGAAGATGAACCCGTTTCCAACGAAATCTTCACAGAGGTCCACATATCCACTTGCAGAATCCAAAGAAAGAGAGTTTCAAAAGTGCTCCATCAGCAGGATTGTTCACCTCTTGTGAGTTGAATGCAGTCATCACAGGAAACATTCTGAGAATGCTTCTGTCTAGGTTTGATGTGAAGATATACCCGTTTCGAAGGAAGGCCACAAAGTGGTCCAAATATCCACTTGCAGATTCTACAAAAAGAGTGTTTGAAAGCTGAACTATGAAAGCAAGGTTCAACTCTGTGAGTTGAATGCAAACATCACAAAGAAGTTTCTCAGCATGCTTCCGTATAGTTCTGGGAAGTTTATCCCGTTTCCAACGAAATCCTCAGAGAGGTCCAAATATCCACTTGCAGATTCTACAGAAAGTGTGTTTGGAAACTGCTCCATCTAAAGGAATGTTCAGCTCTGTTAGTTCAATCCAATGATCACTAAGAATTGTCTGTGAATGCTTCCGTTTGGTTTTTAGATGAAGTTATTTCCTTTACTACAGTAGGCCTCAAAGCAGTCCAAATCTCCAATCGCAGATTCTACAAAAAGATTGTTTTCAACCTGCTCTATCTATAGGAATGTTCAACTCTGTGAGTCGAATGCAATCATCACAAAGTAGTTTCTGAGAATGCTTCCATCTAGTTTTTATGTGAAGATTTTCCTTTTCCACCACAGGCCTCAAAGCCCTCCAAATGTCCACTTGCAGATTCTAGAATAAGAGGGTTTCAGAGCTGCTCTGTCAAGAGGAAAGTTCAATTCCTGAAGTGGAACACAAACATCACAAAGCAGTTTCTGAGAATGTTTCTGTTTAGTTTTTCTGTGAAGATGAACCCGTTTCCAACGAAATCTTCACAGAGGTCCACATATCCACTTGCAGAATCCAAAGAAAGAGAGTTTCAAAACTGCTCCATCAACAGGATTGTTCACCTCTGTGAGTTGAATGCAGTCATCACAGGAAACATTCTGAGAATGCTTCTGTCTAGCTTTGATGGGAACATAAACCCGTTTCGAAGGAAGGCCACAAAGTGGTCCAAATATCCACTTGCAGATTCTACAGAAAGAGTGTTTGAAAGCTGAACTATGAAAGCAAGGTTCAACTCTGTGAGTTGAATGAAAACATCACAAAGAAGTTTCTCAGAATGCTTCCGTGTAGTTCTGAGAAGTTTCTCCAGTTTCCAACGAAATCCTCAGAGAGGTCCAAATATCCACTTTCAGATTCTACAGAAAGTGTGTTTGGAAACTGCGCCATCTAAAGGAATGTTCAGCTCTGTTAGTTCAATGCAATGATCACTAAGAATTGTCTGTGAATGCTTCCGTTTCGTTTTTAGATGAAGTTATTTCCTTTACTACTGTAGGCCTCAAAGCAGTCCAAATCTCCAATCGCAGATTCTACAAAAAGATTGTTTACAACCTGCTCTATCTATAGGAATGTTCAACTCTGTGAGTCGAATGCAATCATCACAAAGGAGTTTCTGAGAATGCTTCCATCTAGTTTTTATGGGAAGATTTTCCTTTTCCACCACAGGCCTCAAAGCCCTCCTAATGTCCACTTGCAGATTCTAGAAAAAGAGGGTTTCAGAGCTGCTCTGTCAAGAGGAAAGTTCAATTCTTGAAGTGGAACACAAACATCACAAAGCAGTTTCTGAGAATGCTCCTGTTTAGTTTTTCTGTGAAGATGAACCCGTTTCCAACGAAATCTTCACAGAGGTCCACATATCCACTTGCAGAATCCAAAGAAAGAGAGTTTCAAAACTGCTCCATCAGAAGGATTGTTCACCTCTGTGAGTTGAATGCAGTCATCACAGGAAACATTCTGAGAATGCTTCTGTCTAGGTTTGATGTGAAGATATACCCGTTTCGAAGGAAGGCCACAAAGTGGTCCAAATATCCACTTGCAGATTCTACAAAAAGAGTGTTTGAAAGCTGAACTATGAAAGCAAGGTTCAACTCTGTGAGTTGAATGCAAACATCACAAAGAAGTTTCTCACAATGCTTCCCTGTAGTTCTGGGAAGCATACCCCGTTTCCAACGAAATCCTCAGAGAAGTCCAAATATCCACTTGCTGATTCTACAGAAAGTGTGTTTGGAAACTGCGCCATCTGAAGGAATGTTCAGCTCTGTTAGTTCAATGCAATGATCACTAAGAATTGTCTGTGAATGCTTCCGTTTGGTTTTTAGATGAAGTTATTTCCTTTACTACAGTAGGCCTCAAAGCAGTCCAAATCTCCAATCGCAGATTCTACAAAAAGATTGTTTACAACCTGCTCTATCTATAGGAATGTTCAACTCTGTGAGTCGAATGCAATCATCACAAAGTAGTTTCTGAGAATGCTTCCATCTAATTTTTATGTGAAGATTTTCCTTTTCCACCACAGGCCTCAAAGCCCTCCAAATGACCACTTGCAGATTCTAGAAAAAGAGGGTTTCAGAGCTGCTCTGTCAAGAGGAAAGTTCAATTCCTGAAGTGGAACACAAACATCACAGAGCAGTTTCTGAGAATGCTTCTGTTTAGTTTTTCTGTGAAGATGAACCCGTTTCCAACGAAATCTTCACAGAGGTCCACATATCCACTTGCAGAATCCAAAGAAAGAGAGTTTCAAAACTGCTCCATCAGCAGGATTGTTCACCTCTGTGAGTTGAATGCAGTCATCACAGGAAACATTCTGAGAATGCTTCTGTCTAGGTTTGATGTGAAGATATACCCGTTTCGAAGGAAGGCCACAAAGTGGTCCAAATATCCACTTGCAGATTCTACAAAAAGAGTGTTTGAAAGCTGAACTATAAAACCAAGGTTCAACTCTGTGAGTTGAATGCAAACATCACAAAGAAGTTTCTCAGAATGCTTCCGTGTAGTTCTGGGAAGTTTATCCCGTTTCCAACGAAATCCTCAGAGAGGTCCAAATATCCACTTGCAGATTCTACAGAAAGTGTGTTTGGAAACTGCGCCATCTAAACGAATGTTCAGCTCTGTTAGTTCAATCCAATGATCACTAAGAATTGTCTGTGAATGCTTCCGTTTGGTTTTTAGATGAAGTTATTTCCTTTACTACAGTAGGCCTCAAAGCAGTCCAAATCTCCAATCGCAGATTCTACAAAAAGATTGTTTACAACCTGCTCTATGTATAGGAATGTTCAACTCTGTGAGTCGAATGCAATCATCACAAAGTAGTTTCTGAGAATGCTTCCATCTAGTTTTTATGTGAAGATTTTCCTTTTCCACCACAGGCCTCAAAGCCCTCCAAATGTCCACTTGCAGATTCTAGAAAAAGAGGGTTTCAGAGCTGCTCTGTCAAGAGGAAAGTTCAATTCCTGAAGTGGAACACAAACATCACAAAGCAGTTTCTGAGAATGCTCCTGTTTAGTTTTTCTGTGAAGATGAACCCGTTTCCAACGAAATCTTCACAGAGGTCCACATATCAACTTGCAGAATCCAAAGAAAGAGAGTTTCAAAACTGCTCCATCAACCGGATTGTTCACCTCTGTGAGTTGAATGCAGTCATCACAGGAAACATTCTGAGAATGCTTCTGTCTAGGTTTGATGTGAAGATATACCCGTTTCGAAGGAAGGCCACAAAGTGGTCCAAATATCCACTTGCAGATTCTACAAAAAGAGTGTTTGAAAGCTGAACTATGAAAGCAAGGTTCAACTCTGTGAGTTGAATGCAAACATCACAAAGAAGTTTCTCCCAATGCTTCCGTGTAGTTCTGGGAAGTTTATCCCGTTTCCAACGAAATCCTCAGAGAGGTTCAAATATCCACTTTCAGATTCTACAGAAAGTGTGTTTGGAAACTGCGCCATCTAAAGGAATGTTCAGCTCTGGTAGTTCAATCCAATGATCACTAAGAATTGTCTGTGAATGCTTCCGTTTGGTTTTTAGATGAAGTTATTTCCTTTACTACAGTAGGCCTCAAAGCAGTCGAAATCTCCAATCGCAGATTCTACAAAAAGATTGTTTACAACCTGCTCTATCTATAGGAATGTTCAACTCTGTGAGTCGAATGCAATCATCACAAAGGAGTTTCTGAGAATGCTTCCATCTAGTTTTTATGTGAAGATTTTCCTTTTCCACCACAGGCCTCAAAGCCCTCCAAATGTCCACTTGCAGATTCTAGAATAAGAGGGTTTCAGAGCTGCTCTGTCAAGAGGAAAGTTCAATTCCTGAAGTGGAACACAAACATCACAAAGCAGTTTCTGAGAATGTTCCTGTTTGGTTTTTCTGTGAAGATGAACCCGTTTCCAACGAAATCTTCACAGAGGTCCACATATCCACTTGCAGAATCCAAAGAAAGAGAGTTTCAAAACTGCTCCATCAACAGGATTGTTCACCTCTGTGAGTTGAATGCAGTCATCACAGGAAACATTCTGAGAATGCTTCTGTCTAGGTTTGATGTGAAGATATACCCGTTTCGAAGGAAGGCCACAAAGTGGTCCAAATATTCACTTGCAGATTCTACAAAAAGAGTGTTTGAAAGCTGAACTATGAAAGCAAGGTTCAACTCTGTGAGTTGAATGCAAACATCACAAAGAAGTTTCTCAGAATGCTTCCGTGTAGTCCTGGGAAGTTTATCCCGTTTCCAAAGAAATCCTCAGAGAGGTCCAAATATCCACGTGCAGATTCTACAGAAAGTGGGTTTGGAAACTGCTCCATCTAAAGGAATGTTCAGCTCTGTTAGTTCAATCCAATGATCACTAAGAATTGTCTGTGAATGCTTCCGTTTGGTTTTTAGATGAAGTTATTTCCTTTACTACAGTAGGCCTCAAAGCAGTCCAAATCTCCAATCGCAGATTCTACAAAAAGATTGTTTACAACCTGCTCTATGTATAGGAATGTTCAACTCTGTGAGTCGAATGCAATCATCACAAAGTAGTTTCTGAGAATGCTTCCATCTAGTTTTTATGTGAAGATTTTCCTTTTCCACCACAGGCCTCAAAGCCCTCCAAATGTCCACTTGCAGATTCTAGAATAAGAGGGTTTCAGAGCTGCTCTGTCAAGAGGAAAGTTCAATTCCTGAAGTGGAACACAAACATCACAAAGCAGTTTCTGAGAATGCTTCTGTTTAGTTTTTCTGTGAAGATGAACCCGTTTCCAACGAAATATTCACAGAGGTCCACATATCCACTTGCAGAATCCAAAGAAGGAGATTTTCAAAACTGCTCCATCAGCAGGATTGTTCACCTCTGTGAGTTGAATGCAGTCATCACAGGAAACATTCTGAGAATGCTTCTGTCTAGGTTTGATGTGAAGATATACCCGTTTCGAAGGAAGGCCACAAAGTGGTCCAAATATCCACTTGCAGATTCTACAAAAAGAGTGTTTGAAAGCTGAACTATGAAAGCAAGGTTCAACTCTGTGAGTTGAATGCAAACATCACAAAGAAGTTTCTCAGAATGCTTCCGTGTAGTTCTGGGAAGTTTATCCCGTTTCCAACGAAATCCTCAGAGAAGTCCAAATATCCACTTGCAGATTCTACAGAAAGTGTGTTTGGAAACTGCTCCATCTAAAGGAATGTTCAGCTCTGTTAGTTCAATCCAATGATCACTAAGAATTGTCTGTGAATGCTTCCGTTTGGTTTTCAGATGAAGTTATTTCCTTTACTACAGTAGGCCTCAAAGCAGTCCAAATCTCCAATCGCAGATTCTACAAAAAGATTGTTTACAACCTGCTCTATCTATAGGAATGTTCAACTCTGTGAGTCGAATGCAATCATCACAAAGTAGTTTACTGAGAATGCTTTCCATCTAGTTTTTATGTGAAGATTTTCCTTTTCCACCACAGGCCTCAAAGCCCTCCAAATGTCCACTTGCAGATTCTAGAAAAACAGGGTTTCAGAGCTGCTCTGTCAAGAGGAAAGTTCAATTCTTGAAGTGGAACACAAACATCACAAAGCAGTTTCTGAGAATGCTTCTGTTTAGTTTTTCTGTGAAGATGAACCCGTTTCCAACGAAATCTTCACAGAGGTCCACATATCCACTTGCAGAATCCAAAGAAAGAGAGTTTCAAAACTGCTCCATCAGCAGGATTGTTCACCTCTGTGAGTTGAATGCAGTCATCACAGGAAACATTCTGAGAATGCTTCTGTCTAGGTTTGATGTGAAGATATACCCGTTTCGAAGGAAGGCCACAAAGTGGTCCAAATATCCACTTGCAGATTCTACAAAAAGAGTGTTTGAAAGCTGAACTATGAAAGCAAGGTTCAACTCTGTGAGTTGAATGCAAACATCACAAAGAAGTTTCTCACAATGCTTCCGTGTAGTTCTGGGAAGTTTATCCCGTTTCCAACGAAATCCTCAGAGAAGTCCAAATATCCACTTGCAGATTCTACAGAAAGTTTGTTTGGAAACTGCTCCATCTAAAGGAATGTTCAGCTCTGTTAGTTCAATCCAATGATCACTAAGAATTGTCTGTGAATGCTTCCGTTTGGTTTTTAGATGAAGTTATTTCCTTTACTACGGTAGGCCTCAAAGCAGTCCAAATCTCCTATTGCAGATTCTACAAAAAGATTGTTTACAACCTGCTCTATCTATAGGAATGTTCAACTCTTTGAGTCGAATGCAATCATCACAAAGTAGTTTCTGAGAATTCTTCCATCTAGTTTTTATGTGAAGATTTTCCTTTTCCACCACAGGCCTCAAAGCCCTCCAAATGTCCACTTGCAGATTCTAGAATAAGAGGGTTTTAGAGCTGCTCTGTCAAGAGGAAAGTTCAATTCCTGAAGTGGAACACAAACATCACAAAGCAGTTTCTGAGAATGCTTCTGTTTAGTTTTTCTGTGAAGATGAACCCGTTTCCAACGAAATCTTCACAGAGGTCCACATATCCACTTGCAGAATCCAAAGAAAGAGAGTTTCAAAACTGCTCCATCAGCAGGATTGTTCACCTCTGTGAGTTGAATGCAGTCATCACAGGAAACATTCTGAGAATGCTTCTGTCTAGGTTTGATGTGAAGATATACCCGTTTCGAAGGAAGGCCACAAAGTGGTCCAAATATCCACTTGCAGATTCTACAAAAAGAGTGTTTGAAAGCTGAACTATGAAAGCAAGGTTCAACTCTGTGAGTTGAATGCAAACATCACAAAGAAGTTTCTCACAATGCTTCCGTGTAGTTCTGGGAAGTTTATCCCGTTTCCAACGAAATCCTCAGAGAAGTCCAAATATCCACTTGCAGATTCTACAGAAAGTGTGTTTGGAAACTGCTCCATCTAAAGGAATGTTCAGCTCTGTTAGTTCAATCCAATGATCACTAAGAATTGTCTGTGAATGCTTCCGTTTGGTTTTTAGATGAAGTTATTTCCTTTACTACAGTATGCCTCAAAGCAGTCCAAATCTCCAATCGCATATTCTACAAAAAGATTGTTTACAACCTGCTCTATCTATAGGAATGTTCAACTCTGTGAGTCGAATGCAATCATCACAAAGTAGTTTCTGAGAATGCTTCCATCTAGTTTTTATGTGAAGATTTTCCTTTTGCACCACAGGCCTCAAAGCCCTCCAAATGTCCACTTGCAGATTCTAGAAAAAGAGGGTTTCAGAGCTGCTCTGTCAAGAGGAAAGTTCAATTCTTGAAGTGGAACACAAACATCACAAAGCAGTTTCTGAGAATGCTTCTGTTTAGTTTTTCTGTGAAGATGAACCCGTTTCCAACGAAATCTTCACAGAGGTCCACATATCCACTTGCAGAATCCAAAGAAAGAGAGTTTCAAAACTGCTCCATCAGCAGGATTGTTCACCTCTGTGAGTTGAATGCAGTCATCACAGGAAACATTCTGAGAATGCTTCTGTCTAGGTTTGATGTGAAGATATACCCGTTTCGAAGGAAGGCCACAAAGTGGTCCAAATATCCACTTGCAGATTCTACAAAAAGAGTGTTTGAAAGCTGAACTATGAAAGCAAGGTTCAACTCTGTGAGTTGAATGCAAACATCACAAAGAAGTTTCTCACAATGCTTCCGTGTAGTTCTGGGAAGTTTATCCCGCTTCCAACGAAATCCTCAGAGAGGTACAAATATCCACTTGCAGATTCTACAGAAAGTGTGTTTGGAAACTGCGCCATCTAAAGGAATATTCAGCTCTGTTAGTTCAATCCAATGATCACTAAGAATTGTCTGGGAATGCTTCCGTTTGGTTTTTAGATGAAGTTATTTCCTTTACTACAGTAGGCCTCAAAGCAGTCCAAATCTCCAATCGCAGATTCTACAAAAAGATTGTTTACAACCTGCTCTATGTATAGGAATGTTCAACTCTGTGAGTCGAATGCAATCATCACAAAGTAGTTTCTGAGAATGCTTCCATCTAGTTTTTATGTGAAGATTTTCCTTTTCCACCACAGGCCTCAAAGCCCTCCAAATGTCCACTTGCAGATTCTAGAAAAAGAGGGTATCAGAGCTGCTCTGTCAAGAGGAAAGTTCAATTCTTGAAGTGGAACACAAACATCACAAAGCAGTTTCTGAGAATGCTCCTGTTTAGTTTTTCTGTGAAGATGAACCCGTTTCCAACGAAATCTTCACAGATGTCCACATATCCACTTGCAGAATCCAAAGAAAGAGAGTTTCAAAACTGCTCCATCAGCAGGATTGTTCACCTCTGTGAGTTGAATGCAGTCATCACAGGAAACATTCTGAGAATGCTTCTGTCTAGGTTTGATGTGAAGATATACCCGTTTCGAAGGAAGGCCACAAAGTGGTCCAAATATCCACTTGCAGATTCTACAAAAAGAGTGTTTGAAAGCTGAACTATGAAAGCAAGGTTCAACTCTGTGAGTTGAATGCAAACATCACAAAGAAGTTTCTCAGAATGCTTCCGTGTAGTTCTGGGAAGTTTATCCCGTTTCCAACGAAATCCTCAGAGAGGTCCAAATATCCACTTGCAGATTCTACAGAAAGTGTGTTTGGAAACTGCTCCATCTAAAGGAATGTTCAGCTCTGTTAGTTCAATCCAATGATCACTAAGAATTGTCTGTGAATGCTTCCGTTTGGTTTTTAGATGAAGTTATTTCCTTTACTACAGTAGGCCTCAAAGCAGTCCAAATCTCCAATCGCAGATTCTACGAAAAGATTGTTTACAACCTGCTCTATCTATAGGAATGTTCAACTCTGTGAGTCGAATGCAATCATCACAAAGTAGTTTCTGAGAATGCTTCCATCTAGTTTTTATGTGAAGATTTTCCTTTTCCACCACAGGCCTCAAAGCCCTCCAAATGTCCACTTGCAGATTCTAGAATAAGAGGGTTTCAGAGCTGCTCTGTCAAGAGGAAAGTTCAATTCCTGAAGTGGAACAAAAACATCACAAAGCAGTTTCTGAGAATGCTCCTGTTTAGTTTTTCTGTGAAGATGAACCCGTTTCCAACGAAATCTTCACAGAGGTCCACATATCCACTTGCAGAATCCAAAGAAAGAGAGTTTCAAGACTGCTCCATCAGCAGGATTGTTCACCTCTGTGAGTTGAATGCAGTCATCACAGGAAACATTCTGAGAATGCTTCTGTCTAGGTTTGATGTGAAGATATACCCGTTTCGAAGGAAGGCCAGAAAGTGGTCCAAATATCCACTTGCAGATTCTACAAAAAGAGTGTTTGAAAGCTGAACTATGAAAGCAAGGTTCAACTCTGTGAGTTGAATGCAAACATCACAAAGAAGTTTCTCAGAATGCTTCCGTGTAGTTCTGGGAAGTTTATCCCGTTTCCAACGAAATCCTCAGAGAAGTCCAAATATCCACTTGCAGATTCTACAGAAAGTGGGTTTGGAAACTGCTCCATCTAAAGGAATGTTCAGCTCTGTTAGTTCAATCCAATGATCACTAAGAATTGTCTGTGAATGCTTCCGTTTGGTTTTTAGATGAAGTTATTTCCTTTACTACAGTAGGCCTCAAAGCAGTCCAAATCTCCAATCGCAGATTCTACAAAAAGATTGTTTACAACCTGCTCTATGTATAGGAATGTTCAACTCTGTGAGTCGAATGCAATCATCACAAAGTAGTTTCTGAGAATGCTTCCATCTAGTTTTTATGTGAAGATTTTCCTTTTCCACCACAGGCCTCAAAGCCCTCCAAATGTCCACTTGCAGATTCTAGAAAAAGAGGGTTTCAGAGCTGCTCTGTCAAGAGGAAAGTTCAATTCTTGAAGTGGAACACAAACATCACAAAGCAGTTTCTGGGAATGCTCCTGTTTAGTTTTTCTGTGAAGATGAACCCTTTTCCAACGAAATCTTCACAGAGGTCCACATATCCACTTGCAGAATCCAAAGAAAGAGAGTTTCAAAACTGCTCCATCAGAAGGATTGTTCACCTCTGTGAGTTGAATGCAGTCATCACAGGAAACATTCTGAGAATGCTTCTGTCTAGGTTTGATGTGAAGATATACCCGTTTCGAAGGAAGGCCACAAAGTGGTCCAAATATCCACTTGCAGATTCTACAAAAAGAGTGTTTGAAAGCTGAACTATGAAAGCAAGGTTCAACTCTGTGAGTTGAATGCAAACATCACAAATAAGTTTCTCAGCATGCTTCCGTGTAGTTCTGGGAAGTTTATCCCGTTTCCAACGAAATCCTCAGAGAAGTCCAAATATCCACTTGCAGATTCTACAGAAAGTGTGTTTGGAAACTGCTCCATCTAAAGGAATGTTCAGCTCTGTTAGTTCAATCCAATGATCACTAAGAATTGTCTGTGAATGCTTCCGTTTGGTTTTTAGATGAAGTTATTTCCTTTACTACAGTAGGCCTCAAAGCAGTCCAAATCTCCAATCGCAGATTCTACAAAA
Source organism: Homo sapiens (assembly GCF_000001405.40). Classification (NCBI taxonomy): domain Eukaryota; kingdom Metazoa; phylum Chordata; class Mammalia; order Primates; family Hominidae; genus Homo; species Homo sapiens. The sequence continues at coordinate 53,616,404 of NC_000011.10, read as the reverse complement.
AGATTGTTTACAACCTGCTCTATCTATAGGAATGTTCAACTCTGTGAGTCGAATGCAATCATCACAAAGTAGTTTCTGAGAATGCTTCCATCTAGTTTTTATGTGAAGATTTTCCTTTTCCACCACAGGCCTCAAAGCCCTCCAAATGTCCACTTGCAGATTCTAGAAAAAGAGGGTTTCAGAGCTGCTCTGTCAAGAGGAAAGTTCAATTCCTGAAGTGGAACGCAAACATCACAAAGCAGTTTCTGAGAATGCTTCTGTTTAGTTTTTCTGTGAAGATGAACCCGTTTCCAACGAAATCTTCACAGAGGTCCACATATCAACTTGCAGAATCCAAAGAAAGAGAGTTTCAAAAGTGCTCCATCAACAGGATTGTTCACCTCTGTGAGTTGAATGCAGTCATCACAGGAAACATTCTGAGAATGCTTCTGTCTAGGTTTGATGTGAAGATATACCCGTTTCGAAGGAAGGCCACAAAGTGGTCCAAATATCCACTTGCAGATTCTACAAAAAGAGTGTTTGAAAGCTGAACTATGAAAGCAAGGTTCAACTCTGTGAGTTGAATGCAAACATCACAAAGAAGTTTCTCACAATGCTTCCGTGTAGTTCTGGGAAGTTTATCCTGTTTCCAACGAAATCCTCAGAGAGGTCCAAATATCCAGTTGCAGATTCTACAGAAAGTGTGTTTGGAAACTGCGCCATCTAAAGGAATGTTCAGCTCTGTTGGTTCAATCCAATGATCACTAAGAATTGTCTGTGAATGCTTCCGTTTGGTTTTTAGATGAAGTTATTTCCTTTACTACTGTAGGCCTCAAAGCAGTCCAAATCTCCAATCGCAGATTCTACAAAAAGATTGTTTACAACCTGCTCTATCTATAGGAATGTTCAACTCTGTGAGTCGAATGCAATCATCACAAAGGAGTTTCTGAGAATGCTTCCATACTAGTTTTTATGTGAAGATTTTCCTTTTCCACCACATGCCTCAAAGCCCTCCAAATGTCCACTTGCAGATTCTAGAAAAAGAGGGTTTCAGAGCTGCTCTGTCAAGAGGAAAGTTCAATTCCTGAAGTGGAACACAAACATCACAAAGCAGTTTCTGAGAATGCTCCTGTTTAGTTTTTCTGTGAAGATGAACCCGTTTCCAACGAAATCTTCACAGAGGTCCACATATCCACTTGCAGAATCCAAAGAAAGAGAGTTTCAAAACTGCTTCATCAGCAGGATTGTTCACCTCTGTGAGTTGAATGCAGTCATCACAGGAAACATTCTGAAAATGCTTCTGTCTAGGTTTGATGTGAAGATATACCCGTTTCGAAGGAAGGCCACAAAGTGGTCCAAATATCCACTTGCAGATTCTACAAAAAGAGTGTTTGAAAGCTGAACTATGAAAGCAAGGTTCAACTCTGTGAGTTGAATGCAAACATCACAAAGAAGTTTCTCAGAATGCTTCCGTGTAGTTCTGGGAAGTTTATCACATTTCCAACGAAATCCTCAGAGAGGTCCAAATATCCACTTGCAGATTCTTCATAAAGTCTGTTTGGAAACTGCGCCATCTAAAGGAATGTTCAGCTCTCTTAGTTCAATCCAATCATCACAAAGAATTTTACTGTGAATGCTTCCGTTTGGTTTTTAGATGAAGTTATTTCCTTTACTACAGTAGGCCTCAAAGCAGTCCAAATCTCCAATCGCAGATTCTACAAAAAGATTGTTTACAACCTGCTCTATCTATAGGAATGTTCAACTCTGTGAGTCGAATGCAATCATCACAAAGTAGTTTCTGAGAATGCTTCCATCTAGTTTTTATGTGAAGATTTTCCTTTTCCACCACAGGCCTCAAAGCCCTCCAAATGTCCACTTGCAGATTCTAGAAAAAGAGGGTTTCAGAGCTGCTCTGTCAAGAGGAAAGTTCAATTCTTGAAGAGGAACACAAACATCACAAAGCAGTTTCTGAGAATGCTTCTGTTTAGTTTTTCTGTGAAGATGAACCCGTTTCCAACGAAATCTTCACAGAGGTCCACATATCAACTTGCAGAATCCAAAGAAAGAGAGTTTCAAAACTGCTCCATCAACAGGATTGTTCACCTCTGTGAGTTGAATGCAGTCATCACAGGAAACATTCTGAGAATGCTTCTGTCTAGGTTTGATGTGAAGATATACCCGTTTCGAAGGAAGGCCACAAAGTGGTCCAAATATCCACTTGCAGATTCTACAAAAAGAGTGTTTGAAAGCTGAACTATGAAAGCAAGGTTCAACTCTGTGAGTTGAATGCAAACATCACAAAGAAGTTTCTCAGAATGCTTCCGTGTAGTTCTGGGAAGTTTATCCCGTTTCCAACGAAATCCTCAGAGAAGTCCAAATATCCACTTGCAGATTCTACAGAAATTGTGTTTGGAAACTGCGCCATCTAAACTAATGTTCAGCTCTGTTAGTTCAATCCAATGATCACTAAGAATTGTCTTTGAATACCTCCGTTTGGTTTTTAGATGAAGTTATTTCCTTTACTACAGTAGGCCTCAAAGCAGTCCAAATCTCCAATCGCAGATTCTACAAAAAGATTGTTTACAACCTGCGCTATCTATAGGAATGTTCAACTCTGTGAGTCGAATGCAATCATCACAAAGTAGTTTCTGAGAATGCTTCCATCTAGTTTTGATGTGAAGATTTTCCTTTTCCACCACAGGCCTCAAAGCCCTCCAAATGTCCACTTGCAGATTCTAGAAAAAGAGGGTTTCAGAGCTGCTCTATCAAGAGGAAAGTTCAATTCCTGAAGTGGAACACAAACATCACAAAGCAGTTTCTGAGAATGCTTCTGTTTACTTTTTCTGTGAAGATGAACCCGTTTCCAACGAAATCTTCACAGAGGTCCACATATCCACTTGCAGAATCCAAAGAAAGAGAGTTTCAAAACTGCTCCATCAGCAGGATTGTTCACCTCAGTGAGTTGAATGCAGTCATCACAGGAAACATTCTGAGAATGCTTCTGTCTACGTTTGATGTGAAGATATACCTGTTTCGAAGGAAGGCCACAAAGTGGTCCAAATATCCACTTGCAGATTCTACAAAAAGAGTGTTTGAAAGCTGAACTATGAAAGCAAGGTTCAACTCTGTGAGTTTAATGCAAACATCACAAAGAAGTTTCTCAGAATGCTTCCGTGTAGTTCTGGGAAGTTTATCCCTTTTCCAACGAAATCCTCAGAGAGGTCCAAATATCCACTTGCAGAATCTACAGAAAGTGTGTTTGGAAACTGCTCCATCTAAAGGAATGTTCAGCTCTGTTAGTTCAATCCAATGATCACTAAGAATTGTCTGTGAATGCTTCCGTTTGGTTTTTAGATGAAGTTATTTCCTTTACTACAGTAGGCCTCAAAGCAGTCCAAATCTCCAATCGCAGATTCTACAAAAAGATTGTTTACAACCTGCTCTATCTATAGGAATGTTCAACTCTGTGAGTCGAATGCAGTCATCACAAAGTAGTTTCTGAGAATGCTTCCATCTAGTTTTTATGTGAAGATTTTCCTTTTCCACCACAGGCCTCAAAGCCCTCCAAATGTCCACTTGCAGATTCTAGAAAAAGAGGGTTTCAGAGATGCTCTGTCAAGAGGAAAGTTCAATTCCTGAAGTGGAACACAAACATCACAAAGCAGTTTCTGAGAATGCTTCTGTTTAGTTTTTCTGTGAAGATGAACCCGTTTCCAACGAAATCTTCACAGAGGTCCACATATCCACTTGCAAAATCCAAAGAAAGAGAGTTTCAAAACTGCTCCATCAGCAGGATTGTTCACCTTCTGTGAGTTGAATGCAGTCATCACAGGAAACATTCTGAGAATGCTTCTGTCTAGGTTTGATGTGAAGATATACCCGTTTCGAAGGAAGGCCACAAAGTGGTCCAAATATCCACTTGCAGATTCTACAAAAAGAGTGTTTGAAAGCTGAACTATGAAAGCAAGGTTCAACTCTGTGAGTTGAATGCAAACATCACAAAGAAGTTTCTCAGAATGCTTCCGTGTAGTTCTGGGAAGTTTATCCCGTTTCCAACGAAATCCTCAGAGAAGTCCAAATATCCACTTGCAGATTCTACAGAAAGTGTGTTTGGAAACTGCTCCATCTAAAGGAATGTTCAGCTCTGTTAGTTCAATCCAATGATCACTAAGAATTGTCTGTGAATGCTTCCGTTTGGTTTTTAGATGAAGTAATTTCCTTTACTACAGTAGGCCTCAAAGCAGTCCAAATCTCCAATCGCAGATTCTACAAAAAGATTGTTTACAACCTGCTCTATCTATAGGAATGTTCAACTCTTGTGAGTCGAATGCAATCATCACAAAGAAGTTTCTGAGAATGCTTCCATCTAGTTTTTATGTGAAGATTTTCCTTTTCCACCACAGGCCTCAAAGCCCTCCAAATGTCCACTTGCAGATTCTAGAATAAGAGGGTTTCAGAGCTGCTCTGTCAAGAGGAAAGTACAATTCCTGAAGTGGAACACAAACATCACAAAGCAGTTTCTGAGAATGCTCCTGTTTAGTTTTTCTGTGAAGATGAACCCGTTTCCAACGAAATCTTCACAGAGGTCCACATATCCACTTGCAGAATCCAAAGATAGAGAGTTTCAAAACTGCTCCATCAGCAGGATTGTTCACCTCTGTGAGTTGAATGCAGTCATCACAGGAAACATTCTGAGAATGCTTCTGTCTAGGTTTGATGTGAAGATATACCCGTTTCGAAGGAAGGCCACAAAGTGGTCCAAATATCCACTTGCAGATTCTACAAAAAGAGTGTTTGAAAGCTGAACTATGAAAGCAACGTTCAACTCTGTGAGTTGAATGCAAACATCACAAAGAAGTTTCTCACAATGCTTCCCTGTAGTTCTGGGAAGTTTATCCCGTTTCCAACGAAATCCTCAGAGAAGTCCAAATATCCACTTGCAGATTCTACAGAAAGTGTGTTTGGAAGCTGCTCCATCTAAAGGAATGTTCAGCTCTGTTACTTCAATCCAATGATCACTAAGAATTGTCTGTGAATGCTTCCGTTTGGTTTTTAGATGAAGTTATTTCCTTTACTACAGTAGGCCTCAAAGCAGTCCAAATCTCCAATCGCAGATTCTACAAAAAGATTGTTTACAACCTGCTCTATCTATAGGAATGTTCAACTCTGTGAGTCGAATGCAATCATCACAAAGTAGTTTCTGAGAATGCTTCCATCTAGTTTTTATGGGAAGATTTTCCTTTTCCACCACAGGCCTCAAAGCCCTCCAAATGTCCACTTGCAGATTCTAGAAAAAGAGGGTTTCAGAGCTGCTCTGTCAAGAGGAAAGTTCAATTCTTGAAGTGGAACAGAAACATCACAAAGCAGTTTCTGAGAATGCTCCTGTTTAGTTTTTCTGTGAAGATGAACCCGTTTCCAACGAAATCTTCACAGAGGTCCACATATCCACTTGCAGAATCCAAAGAAAGAGAGTTTCAAAACTGCTCCATCAGCAGGATTGTTCACCCCTGTGAGTTGAATGCAGTCATCACAGGAAACATTCTGAGAATGCTTCTGTCTAGGTTTGATGTGAAGATATACCCGTTTTGAAGGAAGGCCACAAAGTGGTCCAAATATCCACTTGCAGATTCTACAAAAAGAGTGTTTGAAAGCTGAACTATGAAAGCAAGGTTCAACTCTGTGAGTTGAATGCAAACATCACAAAGAAGTTTCTCAGAATGCTTCCGTGTAGTTCTGGGAAGTTTATCCCGTTTCCAACGAAATCCTCAGAGAGGTCCAAATATCCACTTGCGGATTCTACAGAAAGTGTGTTTGGAAACTGCTCCATCTAAAGGAATGTTCAGCTCTGTTAGTTCAATGCAATGATCACTAAGAATTGTCTGTGAATGCTTCCGTTTGGTTTTTAGATGAAGTTATTTCCTTTACTACAGTAGGCCTCAAAGCAGTCCAAATCTCCAATCGCAGATTCTACAAAAAGATTGTTTACAACCTGCTCTATCTATAGGAATGTTCAACTCTGTGAGTCGAATGCAATCATCACAAAGTAGTTTCCTGAGAATGCTTTCCATCTAGTTTTTATGTGAAGATTTTCCTTTTCCACCACAGGCCTCAAAGCCCTCCAAATGTCCACTTGCAGATTCTAGAAAAAGAGGGTTTCAGAGCTGCTCTGTCAAGAGGAAAGTTCAATTCTTGAAGTGGAACACAAACATCACAAAGCAGTTTCTGAGAATGCTTCTGTTTAGTTTTTCTGTGAAGATGAACCCGTTTCCAGCGAAGTCTTCACAGAGGTCCACATATCCACTTGCAGAATCCAAAGAAAGAGAGTTTCAAAACTGCTCCATCAACAGGATTGTTCACCTCTGTGAGTTGAATGCAGTCATCACAGGAAACATTCTGAGAATGCTTCTGTCTAGGTTTGATGTGAAGATATACCCGTTTCGAAGGAAGGCCACAAAGTGGTCCAAATATCCACTTGCAGATTCTACAAAAAGAGTGTTTGAAAGCTGAACTATGAAAGCAAGGTTCAACTCTGTGAGTTGAATGCAAACATCACAAAGAAGTTTCTCACAATGCTTCTGTGTAGTTCTGGGAAGTTTATCCCGTTTCCAACGAAATCCTCAGAGAGATCCAAATATCCAGTTGCAGATTCTACAGAAAGTGTGTTTGGAATCTGCTCCATCTAAACAAATGTTCAGCTCTGTTAGTTCAATCCAATGATCACTAAGAATTTTCTGTGAATGCTTCCGTTTGGTTTTTAGATGAAGTTATTTCCCTTACTACAGTAGGCCTCAAAGCAGTCCAAATCTCCAATCGCAGATTCTACAAAAAGATTGTTTTCAACCTGCTCTATCTATAGGAATGTTCAACTCTGTGAGTCGAATGCAATCATCACAAAGTAGTTTCTGAGAATGCTTCCATCTAGTTTTTATGTGAAGATTTTCCTTTTCCACCACAGGCCTCAAAGCCCTCCAAATGTCCACTTGCAGATTCTAGAAAAAGAGGGTTTCAGAGCTGCTCTGTCAAGAGGAAAGTTCAATTCTTGAAGTGGAACACAAACATCACAAAGCAGTTTCTGAGAATGCTGCTGTTTAGTTTTTCTGTGAAGATGAACCAGTTTCCAACGAAATCTTCACAGAGGTGCACATATCCACTTGCAGAATCCAAAGAAAGAGAGTTTCAAAACTGCTCCATCAACAGGATTTTTCACCTCTGTGAGTTGAATGCAGTCATCACAGGAAACATTCTGAGAATTCTTCTGTCTAGGTTTGATGTGAAGATATACCCGTTTCGAAGGAAGGCCACAAAGTGGTCCAAATATCCACTTGCAGATTCTACAAAAAGAGTGTTTGAAAGCTGAACTATGAAAGCAAGGTTCAACTCTGTGAGTTGAATGCAAACATCACAAAGAAGTTTCTCAGAATGCTTCCGTGTAGTTCTGGGAAGTTTATCCCGTTTCCAACGAAATCCTCAGAGAGGTCCAAATATCCACTTGCAGATTCTACAGAAAGTGTGTTTGGAAACTGCTCCATCTGAAGGAATGTTCAGCTCTGTTAGTTCAATCCAGTGATCACTAAGAATTGTCTGTGAATGCTTCCGTTTGGTTTTTAGATGAAGTTATTTCCTTTACTACAGTAGGCCTCAAAGCAGTCCAAATCTCCAATCGCAGATTCTACAAAAAGATTGTTTACAACCTGCTCTATCTATAGGAATGTTCAACTCTGTGAGTCGAATGCAATCATCACAAAGTAGTTTCTGAGAATGCTTCCATCTAGTTTTTATGTGAAGATTTCCTTTTCCACCACAGGACCCAAAACCCTCCAAATGTCCACTTGCAGATTCTAGAAAAAGAGGGTTTCAGAGCTGCTCTATCAAGAGGAAAGTTCAATTCCTGAAGTGGAACACAAACATCACAAAGCAGTTTCTGAGAATGCTTCTGTTTAGTTTTTCTGTGAAGATGAACCCGTTTCCAACGAAATCTTCACAGAGGTCCACATATCCACTTGCAGAATCCAAAGAAAGAGAGTTTCAAAACTGCTCCATCAGCAGGATTGTTCACCTCTGTGAGTTGAATGCAGTCATCACAGGAAACATTCTGAGAATGCTTCTGTCTAGGTTTGATGTGAAGATATACCCGTTTCGAAGGAAGGCCACAAAGTGGTCCAAATATCCACTTGCAGATTCTACAAAAAGAGTGTTTGAAAGCTGAACTATGAAAGCGAGGTTCAACTCTGTGAGTTGAATGCAAACATCACAAAGAAGTTTCTCAGAATGCTTCCGTGTAGTTCTGGGAAGTTTATCCCGTTTCCAACGAAATCCTCAGAGAAGTCCAAATATCCACTTGCAGATTCTACAGAAATTGTGTTTGGAAACTGCGCCATCTAAACTAATGTTCAGCTCTGTTAGTTCAATCCAATGATCACTAAGAATTGTCTTTGAATACCTCCGTTTGGTTTTTAGATGAAGTTATTTCCTTTACTACAGTAGGCCTCAAAGCAGTCCAAATCTCCAATCGCAGATTCTACAAAAGATTGTTTACAACCTGCTCTATCTATAGGAATGTTCAACTCTGTGAGTCGAATGCAATCATCACAAAGTAGTTTCTGAGAATGCTTCCATCTAGTTTTTATGTGAAGATTTTCCTTTTCCACCACAGGCCTCAAAGCCCTCCAAATGTCCACTTGCAGATTCTAGAAAAAGAGGGTTTGAGAGCTGCTCGGTCAAGAGGAAAGTTCAATTCTTGAAGTGGAACACAAACATCAGAAAGCAGTTTCTGAGAATGCTCCTGTTATTTTTTCTGTGAAGATGAACCCGTTTCCAACGAAATCTTCACAGAGTTCCACATATCCACTTGCAGAATCCAAAGAAAGGGAGTTTCAAAACTGCTCCATCAACAGGATTGTTCACCTCTGTGAGTTGAATGCAGTTATCACAGGAAACATTCTGAGAATGCTTCTGTCTAGGTTTGATGTGAAGATATACCCGTTTCGAAGGAAGGCCACAAAGTGGTCCAAATATCCACTTGCAGATTCTACAAATAGAGTGTTTGAAAGCTGAACTATGAAAGGAAGGTTCAACTCTGTGAGTTGAATGCAAAAGTGAGAAAGATATTTCTGAGAATGCTTCCGTGTAGTTCTGGGAAGTTTATCCCGTTTCCAACGAAATCCTCAGAGATGTCCAAATATCCACTTGCAGATTCTACAGAAAGTGTGTTTGGAAAATGCTCCATCTAAAGGAATGTTCAGCTCTGTTAGTTCAATGCAATGATCACTAAGAATTGTCTGTGAATGCTTCCGTTTGGTTTTTAGATGAAGTTATTTCCTTTACTACAGTAGGCCTCAAAGCAGTCCAAATCTCCAATCGCAGATTCTACAAAAAGATTGTTTACAACCTGCTCTATCTATAGGAATGTTCAACTCTGTGAGTCGAATGCAATCATCACAAAGTAGTTTCTGAGAATGCTTCCATCTAGTTTTTATGGGAAGATTTTCCTTTTCCACCACAGGCCTCAAAGCCCTCCAAATGTCCACTTGCAGATTCTAGAAAAAGAGGGTTTCAGAGCTGCTCTGTCAAGAGGAAAGTTCAATTCTTGAAGTGGAACACAAACATCACAAAGCAGTTTCTGAGAATGCTCCCGTTTAGTTTTTCTGTGAAGATGAACCCGTTTCCAACGAAATCTTCACAGAGGTCCACATATCCACTTGCAGAATCCAAAGAAAGAGAGTTTCAAAACTGCTCCATCAGCAGGATTGTTCACCTCTGTGAGTTGAATGCAGTCATCACAGGAAACATTCTGAGAATGCTTCTGTCTAGGTTTGATGTGAAGATATACCCGTTTCGAAGGAAGGCCACAAAGTGGTCCAAATATCCACTTGCAGATTCTACAAAAGGAGTGTTTGAAAGCTGAACTATGAAAGCAAGGTTCAACTCTGTGAGTTGAATGCAAACATCACAAAGAAGTTTCTCACAATGCTTCCGTGTAGTTCTGGGAAGTTTATCCCGTTTCCAACGAAATCCTCAGAGAAGTCCAAATATCCACTTGCAGATTCTACAGAAAGTGGGTTTGGAAACTGCTCCATCTAAAGGAATGTTCAGCTCTGTTAGTTCAATCCAATGATCACTAAGAATTGTCTGTGAATGCTTCCGTTTGGTTTTTAGATGAAGTTATTTCCTTTACTACAGTAGGCCTCAAAGCAGTCCAAATCTCCAATCGCAGATTCTACAAAAAGATTGTTTACAACCTGCTCTATCTATAGGAATGTTCAACTCTGTGAGTCGAAAGCCATCATCACAAAGTAGTTTCTGAGAATGCTTCCATCTAGTTTTTATGTGAAGATTTTCCTTTTCCACCACAGGCCTCAAAGCCCTCCAAATGTCCACTTGCAGATTCTAGAAAAAGAGGGTTTCAGAGCTGCTCTGTCAAGAGGAAAGTTCAATTCTTGAAGTGGAACACAAACATCACAAAGCAGTTTCTGAGAATGCTTCTGTTTAGTTTTTCTGTGAAGATGAACCCGTTTCCAACGAAATCTTCACAGAGGTCCACATATCCACTTGCAGAATCCAAAGAAAGAGAGTTTCAAAACTGCTCCATCAGCAGGATTGTTCACCTCTGTGAGTTGAATGCAGTCATCACAGGAAACATTCTGAGAATGCTTCTGTCTAGGTTTGATGTGAAGATATACCCGTTTCGAAGGAAGGCCACAAAATGGTCCAAATATCCACTTGCAGATTCTACAAAAAGAGTGTTTGAAAGCTGAACTATGAAAGCAAGGTTCAACTCTGTGAGTTGAATGCAAACATCACAAAGAAGTTTCTCACAATGCTTCCGTGTAGTTCTGGGAAGTTTATCCCTTTTCCAACGAAATCCTCAGAGAGGTCCAAATATCCACTTGCAGATTCTACAGAAAGTGTGTTTGGAAACTGCTCCATCTAAAGGAATGTTCAGCTCTGTTAGTTCAATCCAATGATCACTAAGAATTGTCTGTGAATGCTTCCGTTTGGTTTTTAGATGAAGTTATTTCCTTTACTACAGTAGGCCTCAAAGCATTCCAAATCTCCAATCGCAGATTGTACAAAAAGATTGTTTACAACCTGCTCTATCTATAGGAATGTTCAACTCTGTGAGTCGAATGCAATCATCACAAAGTAGTTTCTGAGAATGCTTCCATCTAGTTTTTATGTGAAGATTTTCCTTTTCCACCACAGGCCTCAAAGCCCTCCAAATGTCCACTTGCAGATTCTAGAATAAGAGGGTTTCAGAGCTGCTCTGTCAAGAGGAAAGTTCAATTCCTGAAGTGGAACACAAACATCACAAAGCAGTTTCCGAGAATGCTTCCCCTGTTTAGTTTTTCTGTGAAGATGAAACCGTTTCCAACGAAATCTTCACAGAGGTCCACATATCCACTTGCAGAATCCAAAGAAAGAGAGTTTCAAAACTGCTCCATCAGCAGGATTGTTCACCTACTGTGAGTTGAATGCAGTCATCACAGGAAACATTCTGAGAATGCTTCTGTCTAGGTTTGATGTGAAGATATACCCGTTTCGAAGGAAGGCCACAAAGTGGTCCCAATATCCACTTGCAGATTCTACAAAAAGAGTGTTTGAAAGCTGAACTATGAAAGCAAGGTTCAACTCTGTGAGTTGAATGCAAACATCCAAAGAAGTTTCTCACAATGCTTCCGTGTAGTACTGGGAAGTTTATCCCGTTTCCAACGAAATCCTCAGAGAGGTCCAAATATCCACTTGCAGATTCTACAGAAAGTGTGTTTGGAAACTGCGCCATCTACAGGAATGTTCAGGTCTGTTAGTTCAATGCAATGATCACTAAGAATTGTCTGTGAATGCTTCCGTTTGGTTTTTAGATGAAGTTATTTCCTTTACTACAGTAGGCCTCAAAGCAGTCCAAATCTCCAATCGCAGATTCTACAAGAAGACTGTTTACAACCTGCTCTATCTATAGGAATGTTCAACTCTGTGAGTCGAATGCAATCATCACAAAGTAGTTTCTGAGAATGCTTCCATCTAGTTTTTATGTGAAGATTTTCCTTTTCCACCACAGTCCTCAAAGCCCTCCAAATGTCCACTTGCAGATTCTAGAAAAAGAGGGTTTCAGAGCTGCTCTGTCAAGAGGAAAGTTCAATTCTTGAAGTGGAACACAAACATCACAAAGCAGTTTCTGAGAAAGCTCCTGTTTACTTTTTCTGTGAAGATGAACCCGTTTCCAACGAAATCTTCACAGAGGTCCACATATCCACTTGCAGAATCCAAAGAAAGAGAGTTTCAAAACAGCTCCATCAGCAGGATTGTTCACCTCTGTGAGTTGAATGCAGTCATCACAGGAAACATTCTGAGAATGCTTCTGTCTAGGTTTGATGTGAAGATATACCCGTTTCGAAGGAAGGCCACAAAGTGGTCCAAATATCCACTTGCAGATTCTACAAAAAGAGTGTTTGAAAGCTGAACTATGAAAGCAAGGTTCAACTCTGTGAGTTGAATGCAAACATCACAAAGAAGTTTCTCACAATGCTTCCCTGTAGTTCTGGGAAGTTTATCCCGTTTCCAACGAAATCCTCAGAGAAGTCCAAATATCCACTTGCAGATTCTACAGAAAGTGTGTTTGGAAACTGCTCCATCTAAAGGAATGTTCAGCTCTGTTAGTTCAATCCAATGATCACTAAGAATTGTCTGTGAATGCTTCCGTTTGGTTTTTAGATGAAGTAATTTCCTTTACTACAGTAGGCCTCAAAGCAGTCCAAATCTCCAATCGCAGATTCTACAAAAAGATTGTTTACAACCTGCTCTATCTATAGGAATGTTCAACTCTGTGAGTCGAATGCAATCATCAGAAAGTAGTTTCTGAGAATGCTTCCATCTAGTTTTTATGTGAAGATTTTCCTTTTCCACCACAGGCCTCAAAGCCCTCCAAATGTCCACTTGCAGATTCTAGAAAAAGAGGGTTTCAGAGCTGCTCTGTCAAGAGGAAAGTTCAATTCTTGAAGTGGAACACAAACATCACAAAGCAGTTTCTGAGAATGCTTCTGTTTAGTTTTTCTGTGAAGATGAACCCGTTTCCAACGAAATCTTCACAGAGGTCCACATATCCACTTGCAGAATCCAAAGAAAGAGAGTTTCAAAACTGCTCCATCAGCAGGATTGTTCACCTCTGTGAGTTGAATGCAGTCATCACAGGAAACATTCTCAGAATGCTTCTGTCTAGGTTTGATGTGAAGATATACCCGTTTCGAAGGAAGGCCAGAAAGTGGTCCAAATATCCACTTGCAGATTCTACAAAAAGAGTGTTTGAAAGCTGAACTATGAAAGCAAGGTTCAACTCTGTGAGTTGAATGCAAACATCACAAAGAAGTTTCTCAGAATGCTTCCGTGTAGTTCTGGGAAGTTTATCCCGTTTCCAACGAAATCCTCAGTAGAAGTCCAAATATCCACTTGCAGATTCTACAGAAAGTGGGTTTGGCAACTGCTCCATCTAAAGGAATGTTCAGCTCTGTTAGTTCAATCCAATGATCACTAAGAATTGTCTGTGAATGCTTCCGTTTGGTTTTTAGATGAAGTTATTTCCTTTACTACAGTAGGCCTCAAAGCAGTCCAAATCTCCAATCGCAGATTCTACAAAAAGATTGTTTACAACCTGCTCTATCTATAGGAATGTTCAACTCTGTGAGTCGAATGCAATCATCACAAAGTAGTTTCTGAGAATGCTTCCATCTAGTTTTTATGTGAAGATTTTCCTTTTCCACCACAGGCCTCAAAGCCCTCCAAATGTCCACTTGCAGATTCTAGAAAAAGAGGGTTTCAGAGCTGCTCTGTCAACAGGAAAGTTCAATTCTTGAAGTGGAACACAAACATCACAAAGTAGTTTCTGAGAATGCTTCTGTTTAGTTTTTCTGTGAAGATGAACCCGTTTCCAATGAAATCTTCACAGAGGTCCACATATCAACTTGCGGAATCCAAAGAAAGAGAGTTTGAAAAGTGCTCCATCAACAGGATTGTTCACCTCTGTGAGTTGAATGCAGTCATCACAGGAAACATTCTGAGAATGCTTCTGTCTAGGTTTGATGTGAAGATATACCCGTTTCGAAGGAAGGCCTCAAAGTGGTCCAAATATCCACTCAGCAGATTCTACAAAAAGAGTGTTTGAAAGCTGAACTATGAAAGCAAGGTTCAACTCTGTGAGTTGAATGCAAACATCACAACGAAGTTTTTGAGAATGCATTCCGTGTAGTTCTGGGAAGTTTATCCCGTTTCCAACGAAATCTTCAGAGAGGTCCAAATATCCACTTGCAGATTCTACAGAAAGTGTGTTTGGAAACTGCGCCATCTAAAGGAATGTTCAGCTCTCTGAGTTCAAACCAACCATCACAAAGAATTGTCTGTGAATGCTTCCGTTTGGTTTTTAGATGAAGTTATTTCCTTTACTACAGTAGGCCTCAAAGCAGTCCAAATCTCCAATCGCAGATTCTACAAAAAGATTGTTTACAACCTGCTCTATGTATAGGAATGTTCAACTCTGTGAGTCGAATGCAATCATCACAAAGTAGTTTCTGAGAATGCTTCCATCTAGTTTTTATGTGAAGATTTTACTTTTCCACCACAGGCCTCAAAGCCCTCCAAATGTCCACTTGCAGATTCTAGAAAAAGAGGGTTTCAGAGCTGCTCTGTCAAGAGGAAAGTTCAATTCTTGAAGTGGAACACAAACATCACAAAGCAGTTTCTGAGAATGCTTCTGTTTAGTTTTTCTGTGAAGATGAACCAGTTTCCAACGAAATCTTCACAGAGGTCCACATATCAACTTGCAGAATCCAAAGAAAGAGAGTTACAAAACTGTTCCATCAACAGGATTGTTCACCTCTGTGAGTTGAATGCAGTCATCACAGGAAACATTCTGAGAATGCTTCTGTCTAGGTTTGATGTGAAGATATACCCTTTTCGAAGGAAGGCCACAAAGTGGTCCAAATATCCACTTGCAGATTCTACAAAAAGAGTGTTTGAAAGCTGAACTATGAAAGCAAGGTGCAAATCCTGTGAGTTGAATGCAAACATCACAAAGAAGTTTCTCAGAATGCTTTCCCTGTAGTTCTGGGAAGTTTATCCCGTTTCCAACGAAATCCTCAGAGAGGTCCAAATATCCACTTGCAGATTCTACAGAAAGTGTGTTTGGAAACTGCGCCATCTAAAGGAATGTTCAGCTCTGTTAGTTCAATCCAATGATCACTAAGAATTGTCTGTGAATGCTTCCGTTTGGTTTTTAGATGAAGTTATTTCCTTTACTACAGTAGGCCTCAAAGCAGTCCAAATCTCCAATCGCAGATTCTACAAAAAGATTGTTTACAACCTGCTCTATCTATAGGAATGTTCAACTCTGTGAGTCGAATGCAATCATCACAAAGTAGTTTCTGAGAATGCTTCCATCTAGTTTTTATGTGAAGATTTTCCTTTTCCACCACAGGCCTCAAAGCCCTCCAAATGTCCACTTGCACATTCTAGAAAAAGAGGGTTTCAGAGCTGCTCTGTCAAGAGGAAAGTTCAATTCTTGAAGTGGATCACAAACATCACAAAGCAGTTTCTGAGAATGCTTCTGTTTAGTTTTTCTGTGAAGATGAACCCGTTTCCAACGAAATCTTCACAGAGGTCCAGATATCCACTTGCAGAATCCAAAGAAAGAGAGTTTCAAAACTGCTCCATCAGCAGGATTGTTCACCTCTGTGAGTTGAATGCAGTCATCACAGGAAACATTCTGAGAATGCTTCTGTCTAGGTTTGATGTGAAGATATACCCGTTTCGAAGGAAGGCCACAAAGTGGTCCAAATGTCCACTTGCAGATTCTACAAAAAGAGTGTTTGAAAGCTGAACTATGAAAGCAAGGTTCAACTCTGTGAGTTGAATGCAAACATCACAAAGAAGTTTCTCACAATGCTTCCGTGTAGTTCTGGGAAGTTTATCCCGTTTCCAACGAAATCCTCAGAGAGGTCCAAATATCCACTTGCAGATTCTACAGAAAGTGTGTTTGGAAACTGCTCCATCTAAAGGAATGTTCAGCTCTGTTAGTTCAATCCAATGATCACTAAGAATTGTCTGTGAATGCTTCCGTTTGGTTTTTAGATGAAGTTATTTCCTTTACTACAGTAGGCCTCAAAGCAGTCCAAATCTCCAATCGCAGATTCTACAAAAAGATTGTTTACAACCTGCTCTATGTATAGGAATGTTCAACTCTGTGAGTCGAATGCAATCATCACAAAGTAGTTTCTGAGAATGCTTCCATCTAGTTTTTATGGGAAGATTTTCCTTTTCCACCACAGGCCTCAAAGCCCTCCAAATGTCCACTTGCAGATTCTAGAAAAAGAGGGTTTCAGAGCTGCTCTGTCAAGAGGAAAGTTCAATTCTTGAAGTGGAACACAAACATCACAAAGCAGTTTCTGAGAATGCTTCTGTTTAGTTTTTCTGTGAAGATGAACCCGTTTCCAACGAAATGTTCTCAGAGGTCCACATATCAACTTGCAGAATCCAAAGAAAGAGAGTTTCAAAAGTGCTCCATCAACAGGATTGTTCACCTCTGTGAGTTGAATGCAGTCATCACAGGAAACATTCTGAGAATGCTTCTGTCTAGGTTTGATGTGAAGATATACCCGTTTCGAAGGAAGGCCACAAAGTGGTCCAAATATCCACTTGCAGATTCTACAAAAAGAGTGTTTGAAAGCTGAACTATGAAAGCAAGGTTCAACTCTGTGAGTTGAATGCAAACATCACAAAGAAGTTTCTCAGAATGCTTCCGTGTAGTTCTGGGAAGTTTATCCCGTTTCCAACGAAATCCTCAGAGAAGTCCAAATATCCACTTGCAGATTCTACAGAAAGTGGGTTTGGCAACTGCTCCATCTAAAGGAATGTTCAGCTCTGTTAGTTCAATCCAATGATCACTAAGAATTGTCTGTGAATGCTTCCGTTTGGTTTTTAGATGAAGTTATTTCCTTTACTACAGTAGGCCTCACAGCAGTCCAAATCTCCAATCGCAGACTGTACAAAAAGATTGTTTACAACCTGCTCTATCTATAGGAATGTTCAACTCTGTGAGTCGAATGCAATCATCACAAAGTAGTTTCTGAGAATGCTTCCATCTAGTTTTTATGTGAAGATTTTCCTTTTCCACCACAGGCCTCAAAGCCCTCCAAATGTCCACTTGCAGATTCTAGAAAAAGAGGGTTTCAGAGCTGCTCTGTCAAGAGGAAAGTTCAATTCCTGAAGTGGAACACAAACATCACAAAGCAGTTTCTGAGAATGCTTCTGTTTAGTTTTTCTGTGAAGATGAACCCGTTTCCAACGAAATCTTCACAGAGGTCCACATATCCACTTGCAGAATCCAAAGAAAGAGAGTTTCAAAACTGCTCCATCAGCAGGATTGTTCACCTCTGTGAGTTGAATGCAGTCATCACAGGAAACATTCTGAGAATGCTTCTGTCTAGGTTTGATGTGAAGATATACCCGTTTCGAAGGAAGGCCACAAAGTGGTCCAAATATCCACTTGCAGTTTCTACAAAAAGAGTGTTTGAAAGCTGAACTATGAAAGCAAGGTTCAACTCTGTGAGTTGAATGCAAACATCACAAAGAAGTTTCTCAGAATGCTTCCCTGTAGTTCTGGGAAGTTTATCCCGTTTCCAACGAAATCCTCAGAGAAGTCCAAATATCCACTTGCAGATTCTACAGAAAGTGGGTTTGGAAACTGCGCCATCTAAAGTAATGTTCAGCGCTGTTAGTTCAATCCAATGATCACTAAGAATTGTCTGTGAATGCTTCCGTTTGGTTTTTAGATGAAGTTATTTCCTTTACTACAGTAGGCCTCAAAGCAGTCCAAATCTCCAATCGCAGATTCTACAAAAAGATTGTTTACAACCTGCTCTATCTATAGGAATGTTCAACTCTGTGAGTCGAATGCAATCATCACAAAGTAGTTTCTGAGAATGCTTCCATCTAGTTTTTATGTGAAGATTTTCCTTTTCCACCACAGGCCTCAAAGCCCTCCAAATGTCCACTTGCAGATTCTAGAAAAAGAGGGTTTCAGAGCTGCTCTGTCGAGAGGAAAGTTCAATTCCTGAAGTGGAACACAAACTTCACAAAGCAGTTTCTGAGAATGCTTCTGTTTAGTTTTTCTGTGAAGATGAACCCGTTTCCAACGAAATCTTCACAGAGGTCCACATATCCACTTGCAGAATCCAAAGAAAGAGAGTTTCAAAACTGCTCCATCAGCAGGATTGTTCACCTCTGTGAGTTGAATGCAGTCATCACAGGAAACATTCTGAGAATGCTTCTGTCTAGGTTTGATGTGAAGATATACCCGTTTCGAAGGAAGGCCACAAAGTGGTCCAAATATCCACTTGCAGATTCTACAAAAAGAGTGTTTGAAAGCTGAACTATGAAAGCAAGGTTCAACTCTGTGAGTTGAATGCAAACATCACAAAGAAGTTTCTCACAATGCTTCCGTGTAGTTCTGGGAAGTTTATCCCGTTTCCAACGAAATCCTCAGAGAAGTCCAAATATCCACTTGCAGATTCTACAGAAAGTGTGTTTGGAAACTGCGCCATCTAAAGGAATGTTCAGCTCTGTTAGTTCAATGCAATGATCACTAAGAATTGTCTGTGAATGCTTCCGTTTGGTTTTTAGATGAAGTTATTTCCTTTACTACAGTAGGCCTCAAAGCAGTCCAAATCTCCAATCGCAGATTCTACAAAAAGATTGTTTACAACCTGCTCTATCTATAGGAATGTTCAACTCTGTGAGTCGAATGCAATCATCACAAAGTAGTTTCTGAGAATGCTTCCATGTAGTTTTTATGTGAAGATTTTCCTTTTCCACCACAGGCCTCAAAGCCCTCCAAATGTCCACTTGCAGATTCTAGAATAAGAGGGTTTCAGAGCTGCTCTGTCAAGAGGAAAGTTCAATTCCTGAAGTGGAACACAAACATCACAAAGCAGTTTCTGAGAATGCTCCTGTTTAGTTTTTCTGTGAAGATGAACCCGTTTCCAACGAAATCTTCACAGGGGTCCACATATCCACTTGCAGAATCCAAAGAAAGAGAGTTTCAAAACTGCTCCATCAGCAGGATTGTTCACCTCTGTGAGTTGAATGCAGTCATCACAGGAAACATTCTGAGAATGCTTCTGTCTAGGTTTGATGTGAAGATATACCCGTTTCCAAGGAAGGCCACAAAGTGGTCCAAATATCCACTTGCAGATTCTACAAAAGGAGTGTTTGAAAGCTGAACTATGAAAGCAAGGTTCAACTCTGTGAGTTGAATGCAAACATCACAAAGAAGTTTCTCACAATGCTTCCGTGTAGTTCTGGGAAGTTTATCCCGTTTCCAACGAAATCCTCAGAGAGGTCCAAATATCCACCTGCAGATTCTACAGAAAGTCTGTTTGGAAACTGCGCCATCTAAACGAATGTTCAGCTCTGTTAGTTCAATGGAATGATCACTAAGAATTGTCTGTGAATGCTTCCGTTTGGTTTTTAGATGAAGTTATTTCCTTTACTACAGTAGGCCTCAAAGCAGTCCAAATCTCCAATCGCAGATTCTACAAAAAGATTGTTTACAACCTGCTCTATCTATAGGAATGTTCAACTCTGTGAGTCGAATGCAATCATCACAAAGTAGTTTCTGAGAATGCTTCCATCTAGTTTTTATGTGAAGATTTTCCTTTTCCACCACAGGCCTCAAAGCCCTCCAAATGTCCACTTGCAGATTCTAGAATAAGAGGATTTCAGAGCTGCTCTGTCAAGAGGAAAGTTCAATTCTTGAAGTGGAACACAAACATCACAAAGTAGTTTCTGAGAATGCTTCTGTTTAGTTTTTCTGTGAAGATGAACACGTTTCCAACGAAATCTTCACAGAGGTCCACATATCAACTTGCAGAATCCAAAGAAAGAGAGTTTCAAAAGTGCCCCATCAACAGGATTGTTCACCTCTGTGAGTTGAATGCAGTCATCACAGGAAACATTCTGAGAATGCTTCTGTCTAGGTTTGATGTGAAGATATACCCGTTTCGAAGGAAGGCCAGAAAGTGGTCCAAATATCCACTTGCAGATTCTACAAAAAGAGTGTTTGAAAGCTGAACTATGAAAGCAAGGTTCAACTCTGTGAGTTGAATGCAAACATCACAAAGAAGTTTCTCAGAATGCTTCCGTGTAGTTCTGGGAAGTTTATCTCGTTTCCAACGAAATCCTCAGAGAGGTCCAAATATCCACTTGCAGATTCTACAGAAAGTGTGTTTGGAAACTGCGCCATCTAAAGGAATGTTCAGCTCTGTTAGTTCAATCCAATGATCACTAAGAATTGTCTGTGAATGCTTCCGTTTCGTTTTTAGATGAAGTTATTTCCTTTACTACAGTAGGCCTCAAAGCAGTCCAAATCTCCAATCGCAGATTCTACAAAAAGATTGTTTACAACCTGCTCTATCTATAGGAATGTTCAACTCTGTGAGTCGAATGCAATCATCACAAAGTAGTTTCTGAGAATGCTTCCATCTAGTTTTTATGTGAAGATTTTCCTTTTCCACCACAGGCCTCAAAGCCCTCCAAATGTCCACTTGCAGATTCTAGAAAAAGAGGGTTTCAGAGCTGCTCTGTCAAGAGGAAAGTTCAATTCTTGAAGTGGAACACAAACATCACAAAGTAGTTTCTGAGAATGCTTCTGTTTAGTTTTTCTGTGAAGATGAACCCGTTTCCAACGAAATCTTCACAGAGGTCCACATATCCACTTGCAGAATCCAAAGAAAGAGAGTTTCAAAACTGCTCCATCAGCAGGATTGTTCACCTCTGTGAGTTGAATGCAGTCATCACAGGAAACATTCTGAGAATGCTTCTGTCTAGGTTTGATGTGAAGATATACCCGTTTCGAAGGAAGGCCACAAAGTGGTCCAAATATCCACTTGCAGATTCTACAAAAAGAGTGTTTGAAAGCTGAACTATGAAAGCAAGGTTCAACTCTGTGAGTTGAATGCAAACATCACAAAGAAGTTTCTCACAATGCTTCCGTGTAGTTCTGGGAAGTTTAGCCCGTTTCCAACGAAATCCTCAGAGAGGTCCAAATATCCACTTGCAGATTCTACAGAAAGTGTGTTTGGAAACTGCGCCATCTAAAGGAATGTTCAGCTCTGTTAGTACAATCCAATGATCACTGAGAATTGTCTGTGAATGCTTCCGTTTGGTTTTCAGATGAAGTTATTTCCTTTACTACAGTAGGCCTCAAAGCAGTCCAAATCTCCAATCGCAGATTCTACAAAAAGATTGTTTACAACCTGCTCTATCTATAGGAATGTTCAACTCTGTGAGTCGAATGCAATCATCACAAAGTAGTTTCTGAGAATGCTTCCATCTAGTTTTTATGTGAAGATTTTCCTTTTCCACCACAGGCCTCAAATCCCTCCAAATGTCCACTTGCAGATTCTAGAAAAAGAGGGTTTCAGAGCTGCTCTGTCAAGAGGAAAGTTCAATTCTTGAAGTGGAACACAAACATCACAAAGTAGTTTCTGAGAATGCTCCTGTTTAGTTTTTCTGTGAAGATGAACCCGTTTCCAACGAAATCTTCACAGAGGTCCACATATCCACTTGCAGAATCCAAAGAAAGAGAGTTTCAAAACTGCTCCATCAGCAGGATTGTTCACCTCTGTGAGTTGAATGCAGTCATCACAGGAAACATTCTGAGAATGCTTCTGTCTAGGTTTGATGTGAAGATATACCCGTTTCGAAGGAAGGCCACAAAGTGGTTCAAATATCCACTTGCAGATTCTACAAAAAGAGTGTTTGAAAGCTGAACTATGAAAGCAAGGTTCAACTCTGTGAGTTGAATGCAAACATCACAAAGAAGTTTCTCAGAATGCTTCCGTGTAGTTCTGGGAAGTTTATCCCGTTTCCAACGATATCCTCATAGAGGTCCAAATATCCACTTTCAGATTCTACAGAAAGTGTGTTTGGAAACTGCTCCATGTAAAGGAATGTTCAGCTCTGTTAGTTCAATGCAATGATCACTAAGAATTATCTGTGAATGCTTCCGTTTGGTTTTTAGATGAAGTTATTTCCTTTACTACAGTAGGCCTCAAAGCAGTCCAAATCTCCAATCGCAGATTCTACAAAAAGATTGTTTACAACCTGCTCTATCTATGGGAATGTTCAACTCTGTGAGTCGAATGCAATCATCACAAAGTAGTTTCTGGGAATGCTTCCATCTAGTTTTTATGTGAAGATTTTCCTTTTCCACCACAGGCCTCAAAGCCCTCCAAATGTCCACTTGCAGATTCTAGAAAAAGAGGGTTTCAGAGGTGCTCTGTCAAGAGGAAAGTTCAATTCTTGAAGTGGAACACAAACATCACAAAGTAGTTTCTGAGAATGCTCCTGTTTAGTTTTTCTGTGAAGATGAACCCGTTTCCAACGAAATCTTCACAGAGGTCCACATATCCACTTGCAGAATCCAAAGAAAGAGAGTTTCAAAACTGCTCCATCAGCAGGATTGTTCACCTCTGTGAGTTGAATGCAGTCATCACAGGAAACATTCTGAGAATGCTTCTGTCTAGGTTTGATGTGAAGATATACCCGTTTCGAAGGAAGGCCACAAAGTGGTCCAAATATCCACTTGCAGATTCTACAAAAAGAGTGTTTGAAAGCTGAACTATGAAAGCAAGGTTCAATTGCTGTGAGTTGAATGCAAACATCACAAAGAAGTTTCTCAGAATGCTTCCGTGTAGTTCTGGGAAGTTTATCCCGTTTCCAACGAAATCCTCAGAGAGGTCCAAATATCCACTTGCAGATTCTGCAGAAAGTGTGTTTGGAAACTGCTCCATCTAAAGGAATGTTCAGCTCTGTTAGTTCAATCCAATGATCACTAAGAATTGTCTGTGAATGCTTCCGTTTGGTTTTTAGATGATGTTATTTCCTTTACTACAGTAGGCCTCAAAGCAGTCCAAATCTCCAATCGCAGATTCTACAAAAAGATTGTTTACAACCTGCTCTATCTATAGGAATGTTCAACTCTGTGAGTCGAATGCAATCATCACAAAGTAGTTTCTGAGGAATGCTTCCATCTAGTTCTTATGTGAAGATTTTCCCTTTCCACCACAGGCCTCAAATCCCTCCAAATGTCCACTTGCAGATTCTAGAATAAGAGGGTTTCAGAGCTGCTCTGTCAAGAGGAAAGTTCAATTCCTGAAGTGGAACACAAACATCACAAAGCAGTTTCTGAGAATGCTCCTGTTTAGTTTTTCTGTGAAGATGAACCCGTTTCCAACGAAATCTTCACAGAGGTCCACATATCCACTTGCAGAATCCAAAGAAAGAGAGTTTCAAAACTGCTCCTATCAGCAGGAATGTTCACCTCTGTGAGTTGAATGCAGTCATCACAGGAAACATTCTGCGAATTCTTCTGTCTAGGTTTGATGTGAAGATATACCCGTTTCGAAGGAAGGCCACAAAGTGATCCAAATATCCACTTGCAGATTCTACAAAAAGAGTGTTTGAAAGCTGAACTATGAAAGCAAGGTTCAACTCTGTGAGTTGAATGCAAACATCACAAAGAAGTTTCTCAGAATACTTCCGTGTAGTTCTGGGAAGTTTATCCCGTTTCCAACGAAATCCTCAGAGAGGTCCAAATATCCACTTGCAGATTCTACAGAAAGTGGGTTTGGAAACTGCGCCATCTAAAGCAATGTTCAGCTCTGTTAGTTCAATGCAATGATCACTAAGAATTGTTCTGTGAATGCTTCCGTTTGGTTTTTAGATGAAGTTATTTCCTTTACTACAGTAGGCCTCAAAGCAGTCCAAATCTCCAATCGCAGATTCTACAAAAAGATTGTTTACAACCTGCTCTATCTATAGGAATGTTCAACTCTATGAGTCGAATGCAATCATCACAAAGCAGTTTCTGAGAATGCTTCCATCTAGTTTTTACGTGAAGATTTTCCTTTTCCACCACAGGCCTCAAAGCCCTCCAAATGTCCACATGCAGATTATAGAATAAGAGGGTTTCAGAGCTGCTCTGTCAAGAGGAAAGTTCAATTCCTGAAGTGGAACACAAACATCACAAAGCAGTTTCTGAGAATGCTTCTGTTTAGTTTTTCTGTGAAGATGAACCCGTTTCCAACGAAATCTTCACAGAGGTCCACATATCAACTTGCAGAATCCAAAGAAAGAGAGTTTCAAAACTGCTCCATCAACAGGATTGTTCACCTCTGTGAGTTGAATGCAGTCATCACAGGAAACATTCTGAGAATGCTTCTGTCTAGGTTTGATGTGAAGATATACCCGTTTCGAAGGAAGGCCACAAAGTGGTCCAAATATCCACTTGCAGATTCTACAAAAAGAGTGTTTGAAAGCTGAACTATGAAAGCAAGGTTCAACTCTGTGAGTTGAATGCAAACATCACAAAGAAGTTTCTCACAATGCTTCCGTGTAGTTCTGGGAAGTTTATCCCGTTTCCAACGAAATCCTCAGAGAAGTCCAAATATCCACTTGCAGATTCTACAGAAAGTGGGTTTGGAAACTGCTCCATCTAAAGGAATGTTCAGCTCTGTTAGTTCAATCCAATGATCACTAAGAATTGTCTGTGAATGCTTCCGTTTGGTTTTTAGATGAAGTTATTTCCTTTACTACAGTAGGCCTCAAAGCAGTCCAAATCTCCAATCGCAGATTCTACAAAAAGATTGTTTACAACCTGCTCTATCTATAGGAATGTTCAACTCTGTGAGTCGAATGCAATCATCACAAAGTAGTTTCTGAGAATGCTTCCATCTAGTTTTTATGTGACGATTTTCCTTTTCCACCACAGGCCTCAAAGCCCTCCAAATGTCCACTTGCAGATTCTAGAAAAAGAGGGTTTCAGAGCTGCTCTGTCAAGAGGAAAGTTCAATTCTTGAAGTGGAACACAAACATCACAAAGCAGTTTCTGAGAATGCTCCTGTTTAGTTTTTCTGTGAAGATGAACCCGTTTCCAATGAAATCTTCACAGAGGTCCACATATCCACTTGCAGAATCCAAAGGAAGAGAGTTTCAAAACTGCTCCATCAGCAGGATTGTTCACCTCTGTGAGTTGAATGCAGTCATCACAGGAAACATTCTGAGAATGCTTCTGTCTAGGTTTGATGTGAAGATATAGCCGTTTCGAAGGAAGGCCACAAAGTGGTCCAAATATCCACTTGCAGATTCTACAAAAAGAGTGTTTGAAAGCTGAACTATGAAAGCAAGGTTCAACTCTGTGAGTTGAATGCAAACATCACAAAGAAGTTTCTCACAATGCTTCCGTGTAGTTCTGGGAAGTTTATCCCTTTTCCAACGAAATCCTCAGAGAAGTCCAAATATCCACTTGCAGATTCTACAGAAAGTGTGTTTGGAAACTGCTCCATCTAAAGGAATGTTCAGCTCTGTTAGTTCAATCCAATGATCACTAAGAATTGTACTGTGAATGCTTCCGTTTGGTTTTTAGATGAAGTTATTTCCTTTACTACAGTATGCCTCAAAGCAGTCCAAATCTCCAATCGCAGATTCTACAAAAAGATTGTTTACAACCTGCTCTATCTATGGGAATGTTCAACTCTGTGAGTCGAATGCAATCATCATACAGTAGTTTCTGAGAATGCTTCCATCTAGTTTTTATGTGAAGATTTTCCTTTTCCACCACAGGCCTCAAAGCCCTCCAAATGTCCACTTGCAGATTCTAGAAAAAGAGGGTTTCAGAGCTGCTCTGTCAAGAGGAAAGTTCAATTCTTGAAGTGGAACACAAACATCACAAAGTAGTTTCTGAGAATGCTTCTTTTTAGTTTTTCTGGGAAGATGAACCCGTTTCCAACGAAATCTTCACAGAGGTCCACATATCCACTTGCAGAATCCAAAGAAAGAGAGTTTCAAAACTGCTCCATCAGCAGGATTGTTCACCTCTGTGAGTTGAATGCAGTCATCACAGGAAACATTCTGAGAATGCTTCTGTCTAGGTTTGATGTGAAGATATACCCGTTTCGAAGGAAGGCCACAAAGTGGTCCAAATATCCACTTGCAGATTCTACAAAAAGAGTGTTTGAAAGCTGAACTATGAAAGCAAGGTTCAACTCTGTGAGTTGAATGCAAACATCACAAAGAAGTTTCTCAGAATGCTTCCGTGTAGTTCTGGGAAGTTTATCCCGTTTCCAACGAAATCCTCAGAGAAGTCCAAATATCCACTTGCAGATTCTACAGAAAGTGTGTTTGGAAACTGCGCCATCTAAAGGAATGTTCAGCTCTGTTAGTTCAATGCAATGATCACTAAGAATTGTCTGTGAATGCTTCCGTTTGGTTTTTAGATGAAGTTATTTCCTTTACTACAGTAGGCCTCAAAGCAGTCCAAATCTCCAATCGCAGACTCTACAAAAAGATTGTTTACAACCTGCTCTATATATAGGAATGTTCAACTCTGTGAGTCGAATGCAGTCATCACAAAGTAGTTTCTGAGAATGCTTCCATCTAGTTTTTATGTGAAGATTTTCCTTTTCCACCACAGGCCTCAAAGCCCTCCAAATGTCCACTTGCAGATTCTAGAAAAAGAGGGTTTCAGAGCTGCTCTGTCAAGAGGAAAGTTCAATTCCTGAAGTGGAACACAAACATCACAAAGCAGTTTCTGAGAATGCTTCTGTTTAGTTTTTCTGTGAAGATGAACCCGTTTCCAACGAAATCTTCACAGAGGTCCACATATCCACTTGCAGAATCCAAAGAAAGAGAGTTTCAAAACTGCTCCATCAGCAGGATTGTTCACCTCTGTGAGTTGAATGCAGTCATCACAGGAAACATTCTGAGAATGCTTCTGTCTAGGTTTGATGTGAAGATATACCCGTTTCGAAGGAAGGCCACAAAGTGGTCCAAATATCCACTTGCAGATTCCACAAAAAGAGTGTTTGAAAGCTGAACTATGAAAGCAAGGTTCAACTCTGTGAGTTGAATGCAAACATCACAAAGAAGTTTCTCACAATGCTTTCCGTGTAGTTCTGGGAAGTTTATCCCGTTTCCAACGAAATCCTCAGAGAGGTCCAAATATCCACTTGCAGATTCTACAGAAAGTGTGTTTGGAAACTGCGCCATCTAAAGGAATGTTCAGCTCTGTTAGTTCAATGCAATGATCACTAAGAATTGTCTGTGAATGCTTCCGTTTGGTTTTTAGATGAAGTTATTTCCTTTACTACAGTATGCCTCAAAGCAGTCCAAATCTCCAATCGCAGATTCTACAAAAAGATTGTTTACAACCTGCTCTATCTATAGGAATGTTCAACTCTGTGAGTCGAATGCAATCATCACAAAGTAGTTTCTGAGAATGCTTCCATCTAGTTTTTATGTGAAGATTTTCCTTTTCCACCACAGGCCTCAAAGCCCTCCAAATGTCCACTTGCAGATTCTAGAATAAGAGGGTTTTAGAGCTGCTCTGTCAAGAGGAAAGTTCAATTCCTGAAGTGGAACACAAACATCACAAAGCAGTTTCTGAGAATGCTCCTGTTTAGTTTTTCTGTGAAGATGAACCCGTTTCCAACGAAATCTTCACAGAGGTCCACATATCCACTTGCAGAATCCAAAGAAAGAGAGTTTCAAAACTGCTCCATCAGCAGGATTGTTCACCTCTGTGAGTTGAATGCAGTCATCACAGGAAACATTCTGAGAATGCTTCTGTCTAGGTTTGATGTGAAGATATACCCGTTTCGAAGGAAGGCCACAAAGTGGTCCAAATATCCACTTGCAGATTCTACAAAAAGAGTGTTTGAAAGCTGAACTATGAAACCAAGGTTCAACTCTGTGAGTTGAATGCAAACTTCACAAAGAATTTTCTCACAATGCTTCCGTGTAGTTCTGGGAAGTTTATCCCGTTTCCAACGAAATCCTCAGAGAGGTCTAAATATCCACTTGCAGATTCTACAGAAAGTGTGTTTGGAAACTGCGCCATCTAAAGGAATGTTCAGCTCTGTTAGTTCAATGCAATGATCACTAAGAATTGTCTGTGAATGCTTCCGTTTGGTTTTTAGATGAAGTTATTTCCTTTACTACAGTAGGCCTCAAAGCAGTCCAAATCTCCAATCGCAGATTCTACAAAAAGATTGTTTACAACCTGCTCTATCTATAGGAATGTTCAACTCTGTGAGTCGAAAGCCATCATCACAAAGTAGTTTCTGAGAATGCTTCCATCTAGTTTTTATGTGAAGATTTTCCTTTTCCAACACAGACCTCAAAGCCCTCCAAATGTCCACTTGCAGATTCTAGAAAAAGAGGGTTTCAGAGCTGCTCTGTCAAGAGGAAAGTTCAATTCTTGAAGTGGAACACAAACATCACAAAGCAGTTTCTGAGAATGCTCCTGTTTAGTTTTTCTGTGAAGATGAACCCGTTTCCAACGAAATCTTCACATAGGTCCACATATCCACTTGCAGAATCCAAAGAAAGAGAGTTTCAAAACTGCTCCATCAGCAGGATTGTTCACCTCTGTGAGTTGAATGCAGTCATCACAGGAAACATTCTGAGAATGCTTCTGTCTAGGTTTGATGTGAAGATATACCCGTTTCGAAGGAAGGCCACAAAGTGGTCCAAATATCCACTTGCAGATTCTACAAATGAGTGTTTGAAAGCTGAACTATGAAAGCAAGGTTCAACTCTGTGAGTTGAATGCAAACATCACAAAGAAGTTTCTCAGCATGCTTCCGTGTAGTTCTGGGAAGTTTATCCCGTTTCCAACGAAATCCTCAGAGAGGTCCAAATATCCACTTGCAGATTCTACAGAAAGTGTGTTTGGAAACTGCTCCATCTAAAGGAATGTTCAGCTCTGTTAGTTCAATCCAATGATCACTAAGAATTGTCTGTGAATGCTTCCGTTTGGTTTTTAGATGAAGTTATTTCCTTTACTACAGTAGGCCTCAAAGCAGTCCAAATCTCCAATCGCAGATTCTACAAAAAGATTGTTTTCAACCTGCTCTATCTATAGGAATGTTCAACTCTGTGAGTCGAATGCAAACATCACAAAGTAGTTTCTGAGAATGCTTCCATCTAGTTTTTATGTGAAGATTTTCCTTTTCCACCACAGGCCTCAAAGCCCTCCAAATGTCCACTTGCAGATTCTAGAAAAAGAGGGTTTCAGAGCTGCTCAGTCAAGAGGAAAGTTCAATTCCTGAAGTGGAACACAAACATCACAAAGCAGTTTCTGAGAATGCTTCTGTTTAGTTTTTCTGTGAAGATGAACCCGTTTCCAACGAAATCTTCACAGAGGTCCACATATCCACTTGCAGAATCCAAAGAAAGAGAGTTTCAAAACTGCTCCATCAACAGGATTGTTCACCTCTGTGAGTTGAATGCAGTCATCACAGGAAACATGCTGAGAATGCTTCTGTCTAGGTTTGATGTGAAGATATACCCGTTTCGAAGGAAGGCCACAAAGTGGTCCAAATATCCACTTGCAGATTCTACAAAAAGAGTGTTTGAAAGCTGAACTATGAAAGCAAGGTTCAACTCTGTGAGTTGAATGCAAACATCACAAAGAAGTTTCTCAGAATGCTTCCGTGTAGTTCTGGGAAGTTTATCCCTTTTCCAACGAAATCCTCAGAGAGGTCCAAATATCCACTTGCAGATTCTACAGAAAGTGTGTTTGGAAACTACGCCATCTAAAGGAATGTTCAGCTCTGTTAGATCAATGCAATGATCACTAAGAATTGTCTGTGAATGCTTCCGTTTGGTTTTTAGATGAAGTTATTTCCTTTACTACAGTAGGCCTCAAAGCAGTCCAAATCTCCAATCGCAGATTCTACAAAAAGATTGTTTACAACCTGCTCTATCTGTAGGAATGTTCAACTCTGTGAGTCGAATGCAATCATCACAAAGTAGTTTCTGAGAATGCTTCCATCTAGTTTTTATGTGAAGATTTTCCTTTTCCACCACAGGCCTCAAAGCCCTCCAAATGTCAACTTGCAGATTCTAGAATAAGAGGGTTTCAGAGCTGCTCTGTCAAGAGGAAAGTTCAATTCCTGAAGTGGAACACAAACATCACAAAGCAGTTTCTGAGAATGCTTCTGTTTAATTTTTCTGTGAAGATGAACCCGTTTCCAACGAAATCTTCACAGAGGTTCACATATCCACTTGCAGAATGCAAAGAAAGAGAGTTTCAAAACTGCTCCATCAACAGGATTGTTCATCTCTGTGAGTTGAATGCAGTCATCACAGGAAACATTCTGAGAATGCTTCTGTCTAGGTTTGACGTGAACATATACCCGTTTCGAAGGAAGGCCACAAAGTGGTCCAAATATCCACTTGCAGATTCTACAAAAAGAGGGTTTGAAAGCTGAACTATGAAAGCAAGGTTCAACTCTGTGAGTTGAATGCAAACATCACAAAGAAGTTTCTCAGAATGCTTCCGTGTAGTTCTGGGAAGTTTATCCCGTTTCCAACGAAATCCTCAGAGAGGTCCAAATATCCACTTGCAGATTCAACAGAAAGTGTGTTTGGAAACTGCGCCACCTAAAGGAATGTTCAACTCTGTTAGTTCAATGCAATGATCACTAAGAATTGTCTGTGAATGCTTCCGTTTGGTTTTTAGATGATGTTATTTCCTTTACTACAGTAGGCCTCAAAGCAGTCCAAATCTCCAATCGCAGATTCTACAAAAAGATTGTTTACAACCTGCTCTATCTATAGGAATGTTCAACTCTGTGAGTCGAATGCAATCATCACAAAGTAGTTTCTGAGAATGCTTCCATAAAGTTTTTATGTGAAGATTTTCCTTTTCCACCACAGGCCTCAAAGCCCTCCAAATGTCCACTTGCAGATTCTAGAAAAAGAGGGTTTCAGAGCTGCTCTGTCAAGAGGAAAGTTCAATTCTTTAAGTGGAACACAAACATCACAAAGCAGTTTCTGAGAATGCTTCTGTTTAGTTTTTCTGTGAAGATGAACCCGTTTCCAACGAAATCTTCACAGAGGTCCACATATCCACTTGCAGAATCCAAAGAAAGAGAGTTTCAAAACTGCTCCATCAGCAGGATTGTTCACCTCTGTGAGTTGAATGCAGTCATCACAGGAAACATTCTGAGAATGCTTCTGTCTAGGTTTGATGTGAAGATATACCCGTTTCGAAGGAAGGCCACAAAGTGGTCCAAATATCCACTTGCAGATTCTACAAAAAGAGTGTTTGAAAGCTGAACTATGAAAGCAAGTTTCAACTCTGTGAGTTGAATGCAAACATCACAAAGAAGTTTCTCAGAATGCTTCCGTGTAGTTCTGGGAAGTTTATCCCGTTTCCAAAGAAATCCTCAGAGAGGTCCAAATATCCACTTGCAGATTCTACAGAAAGTGTGTTTGGAAACTGCGCCATCTAAAGGAATGTTCAGCTCTGTTAGTTCAATGCAATGATCACTAAGAATTGTCTGTGAATGCTTCCGTTTGGTTTTTAGATGAAGTTATTTCCTTTACTACAGTAGGCCTCAAAGCAGTCCAAATCTCCAATCGCAGATTCTACAAAAACATTGTTTACAACCTGCTCTATCTATAGGAATGTTCAACTCTGTGAGTCGAATGCAATCATCACAAAGTAGTTTCTGAGAATGCTTCCATCTAGTTTTTATGTGAAGATTTTCCTTTTCCACCACAGGCCTCAAAGCCCTCCAAATGTCCACTTGCAGATTCTAGAAAAAGAGGGTTTCAGAGCTGCTCTGTCAAGAGGAAAGTTCAATTCTTGAAGTGGAAAACAAACATCACAAAGCAGTTTCTGAGAATGCTCCTGTTTATTTTTTCTGTGAAGATGAACCCGTTTCCAACGAAATCTTCACAGAGGTCCACATATCCACTTGCAGAATCCAAAGAAAGAGAGTTTCAAAACTGCTCCATCAGCAGGATTTTTCACCTCTGTGAGTTGAATGCAGTCATCACAGGAAACATTCTGAGAATGCTTCTGTCTAGGTTTGATGTGAAGATATACCCGTTTCGAAGGAAGGCCACAAAGTGGTCCAAATATCCACTTGCAGATTCTACAAAAAGAGTGTTTGAAAGCTGAACTATGAAAGCAAGGTTCAACTCTGTGAGTTGAATGCAAACATCACAAAGAAGTTTCTCAGAATGCTTCCGTGTAGTTGTGGGAAGTTTATCCCATTTCCAACGAAATCCTCAGAGAGGTCCAAATATCCAGTGGCAGATTCTACAGAAAGTGTGTTTGGAAACTGCGCCATCTAAAGGAATGTTCAGCTCTGTTAGTTCAATCCAATGATCACTAAGAATTGTCTGTGAATGCTTCCGTTTGGTTTTTAGATGAAGTTATTTCCTTTACTACAGTAGGCCTCAAAGCAGTCCAAATCTCCAATCGCAGATTCTACAAAAAGATTGTTTACAACCTGCTCTATCTATAGGAATGTTCAACTCTGTGAGTCGAATGCAATCATCACAAAGTAGTTTCTGAGAATGCTTCCATGTAGTTTTTATGTGAAGATTTTCCTTTTCCACCACAGGCCTCAAAGCCCTCCAAATGTCCACTTGCAGATTCTAGAAAAAGAGGGTTTCAGAGCTGCTCTGTCAAGAGAAAAGTTCAATTCTTGAAGTGGAACACAAACATCACAAAGCAGTTTCTGAGAATGCTTCTGTTTAGTTTTTCTGTGAAGATGAACCCGTTTCCAACGAAATCTTCACAGAGGTCCACATATCCACTTGCAGAATCCAAAGAAAGAGAGTTTCAAAACTGCTCCATCAGCAGGATTGTTCACCTCTGTGAGTTGAATGCAGTCATCACAGGAAACATTCTGAGAATGCTTCGGTCTAGGTTTGATGTGAAGATATACCCGTTTCGAAGGAAGGCCACAAAGTGGTCCAAATATCCACTTGCAGATTCTACGAAAAGAGTGTTTGAAAGCTGAACTATGAAAGCAAGGTTCAACTCTGTGAGTTGAATGCAAACATCACAAAGAAGTTTCTCACAATGCTTCCGTGTAGTTCTGGGAAGTTTATCCCGTTTCCAACGAAATCCTCAGAGAAGTCCAAATATCCACTTGCAGATTCTACAGAAAGTGTGTTTGGAAACTGCTCCATGTAAAGGAATGTTCAGCTCTGTTAGTTCAATGCATTGATCACTAAGAATTGTCTGTGAATGCTTCCGTTTGGTTTTTAGATGAAGTTATTTCCTTTACTACAGTAGGCCTCAAAGCAGTCCAAATCTCCAATCGCAGATTCTACAAAAAGATTGTTTACAACCTGCTCTATCTATAGGAATGTTCAACTCTGTGAGTCGAATGCAATCATCACAAAGTAGTTTCTGAGAATGCTTCCATCTAGTTTTTATGTGAAGATTTTCCTTTTCCACCACAGGCCTCAAAGCCCTCCAAATGTCCACTTGCAGATTCTAGAAAAAGAGGGTTTCAGAGCTGCTCTTTCAAGAGGAAAGTTCAATTCCTGAAGTGGAACACAAACATCACAAAGCAGTTTCTGAGAATGCTTCTGTTTAGTTTTTCTGTGAAGATGAACCCGTTTCCAACGAAATCTTCACAGAGGTCCACATATCCACTTGCAGAATCCAAAGAAAGAGAGTTTCAAAACTGCTCCATCAGCAGGATTGTTCACCTCTGTGAGTTGAATGCAGTCATCACAGGAAACATTCTGAGAATGCTTCTGTCTAGGTTTGATGTGAAGTATATACCCGTTTCGAAGGAAGGCCACAAAGTGGTCCAAATATCCACTTGCAGATTCCACAAAAAGAGTGTTTGAAAGCTGAACTATGAAAGCAAGGTTCAACTCTGTGAGTTGAATGCAAACATCACAAAGAAGTTTCTCACAATGCTTCCGTGTAGTTCTGGGAAGTATATCCCGTTTCCAACGAAATCCTCAGAGAAGTCCAAATATCCACTTGCAGATTCTACAGAAAGTGGGTTTGGAAACTGCTCCATCTAAAGGAATGTTCAGCTCTGTTAGTTCAATGCAATGATCACTAAGAATTGTCTGTGAATGCTTCCGTTTGGTTTTTAGATGAAGTTATTTCCTTTACTACAGTAGGCCTCAAAGCAGTCCAAATCTCCAATCGCAGATTCTACAAAAAGATTGTTTACAACCTGCTCTATGTATAGGAATGTTCAACTCTGTGAGTCGAATGCAATCATCACAAAGTAGTTTCTGAGAATGCTTCCATCTAGTTTTTATGTGAAGATTTTCCTTTTCCACCACAGGCCTCAAAGCCCTCCAAATGTCCACTTGCAGATTCTAGAAAAAGAGGGTTTCAGAGCTGCTCTGTCAAGAGGAAAGTTCAATTCTTGAAGTGGAACACAAACATCACAAAGTAGTTTCTGAGAATGCTTCTGTTTAGTTTTTCTGTGAAGATGAACCCGTTTCCAACGAAATCTTCACAGAGGTCCACATATCCACTTGCAGAATCCAAAGAAAGAGAATTTCAAAACTGCTCCATCAGCAGGATTGTTCACCTCTGTGAGTTGAATGCAGTCATCACAGGAAACATTCTGAGAATGCTTCTGTCTAGGTTTGATGTGAAGATATACCCGTTTCGAAGGAAGGCCAGAAAGTGGTCCAAATATCCACTTGCAGATTCTACAAAAAGAGTGTTTGAAAGCTGAACTATGAAAGCAAGGTTCAACTCTGTGAGTTGAATGCAAACATCACAAAGAAGTTTCTCAGAATGCTTTTCCGTGTAGTTCTGGGAAGTTTATCCCTTTTCCAACGAAATCCTCAGAGAGGTCCAAATATCCACTTGCAGATTCTACAGAAAGTGTGTTTGGAAACTGCGCCATCTAAAGGAATGTTCAGCTCTGTTAGTTCAATCCAATGATCACTAAGAATTGTCTGAGAATGCTTCCGTTTAGTTTTTAGATGAAGTTATTTCCTTTACTACAGTAGGCCTCAAAGCAGTCCAAATCTCCAATCGCAGATTCTACAAAAAGATTGTTTACAACCTGCTCTATCTATAGGAATATTCAACTCTGTGAGTCGAGTGCAATCATAACAAAGTAGTTTCTGAGAATGCTTCCATCTAGTTTTTATGTGAAGATTTTCCTTTTCCACCACAGGCCTCAAAGCCCTCCAAATGTCCACTTGCAGATTCTAGAAAAAGAGGGTTTCAGAGCTGCTCTGTCAAGAGGAAAGTTCAATTCTTGAAGTGGAACACAAACATCACAAAGCAGTTTCTGAGAATGCTCCTGTTTAGTTTTTCTGTGAAGATGAACCCGTTTCCAACGAAATCTTCACAGAGGTCCATCATATCCACTTGCAGAATCTAAAGAAAGAGAGTTTCAAAACTGCTCCATCAGCAGGATTGTTCACCTCTGTGAGTTGAATGCAGTCATCACAGGAAACATTCTGAGAATGCTTCTGTCTAGGTTTGATGTGAAGATATACCCGTTTCGAAGGAAGGCCACAAAGTGGTCCAAATATCCACTTGCAGATTCTACAAAAAGAGTGTTTGAAAGCTGAACTATGAAAGCAAGGTTCAACTCTGTGAGTTGAATGCAAACATCACAAAGAAGTTTCTCAGAATACTTCCGTGTAGTTCTGGGAAGTTTATCCCGTTTCCAACGAAATCCTCAGAGAGGTCCAAGTATCCACTTGCAGATTCTACAGAAAGTGTGTTTGGAAACTGCGCCATCTAAAGGAATGTTCAGCTCTGTTAGTTCAATGCAATGATCACTAAGAATTGTCTGTGAATGCTTCCGTTTGGTTTTTAGATGAAGTTATTTCCTTTACTACAGTAGGCCTCAAAGCAGTCCAAATCTCCAATCGCAGATTCTACAAAAAGATTGTTTACAACCTGCTCTATCTATAGGAATGTTCAACTCAGTGAGTCGAATGCAATCATCGCAAAGTAGTTTCTGAGAATGCTTCCATCTAGTTTTTATGTGAAGATTTCCTTTTCCACCACAGGACCCAAAACCCTCCAAATGTCCACTTGCAGATTCTAGAAAAAGAGGGTTTCAGAGCTGCTCTATCAAGAGGAAAGTTCAATTCCTGAAGTGGAACACAAACATCACAAAGCAGTTTCTGAGAATGCTCCTGTTTAGTTTTTCTGTGAAGATGAACCCGTTTCCAACGAAATCTTCACAGAGGTCCACATATCCACTTGCAGAATCCAAAGAAAGAGAGTTTCAAAACTGCTCCACCAACAGGATTGTTCACCTCTGTGAGTTGAATGCAGTCATCACAGGAAACATTCTGAGAATGCTTCTGTCTAGGTTTGAAGTGAAGATATACCCGTTTCGAAGGAAGGCCACAAAGTGGTCCAAATATCCACTTGCAGATTC
The DNA here is from genome assembly GCF_000001405.40 of Homo sapiens. Classification (NCBI taxonomy): domain Eukaryota; kingdom Metazoa; phylum Chordata; class Mammalia; order Primates; family Hominidae; genus Homo; species Homo sapiens. The sequence continues at coordinate 53,580,180 of NC_000011.10, read as the reverse complement.
TACAAAAAGAGTGTTTGAAAGCTGAACTATGAAAGCAAGGTTCAACTCTGTGAGTTGAATGCAAACATCACAAAGAAGTTTCTCAGCATGGTTCCGTGTAGTTCTGGGAAGTTTATCCCGTTTCCAACGAAATCCTCAGAGAGGTCCAAATATCCACTTGCAGATTCTACAGAAAGTGTGTTTGGAAACTGCGCCATCTAAAGGAATGTTCAGCTCTGTTAGTTCAATGCAATGATCACTAAGAATTGTCTGTGAATGTTTCCGTTTGGTTTTTAGATGAAGTTATTTCCTTTACTACAGTAGGCCTCAAAGCAGTCCAAATCTCCAATCGCAGATTCTACAAAAAGATTGTTTACAACCTGCTCTATCTATAGGAATGTTCAACTCTGTGAGTCGAATGCAATCATCACAAAGTAGTTTCTGAGAATGCTTCCATCTAGTTTTTATGTGAAGATTTTCCTTTTCCACCACAGGCCTCAAAGCCCTCAAAATGTCCACTTGCAGACTCTAGAAAAAGAGGGTTTCAGAGCTGCTCTGTCAAGAGGAAAGTTCAATTACTTGAAGTGGAACACAGACATCACAAAGCAGTTTCTGAGAATGCTTCTGTTTAATTTTTCTGTGAAGATGAACCCGTTTCCAACGAAATCTTCACAGAGGTCCACATATCCACTTGCAGAATCCAAAGAAAGAGAGTTTCAAAACTGTTCCATCAGCAGGATTGTTCACCTCTGTGAGTTGAATGCAGTCATCACAGGAAACATTCTGAGAATGCTTCTGTCTAGGTTTGATGTGAAGATATACCCGTTTCGAAGGAAGGCCACAAAGTGGTCGAAATATCCACTTGCAGATTCTACAAAAAGAGTGTTTGAAAGCTGAACTAGGAAAGCAAGGTTCAACTCGGTGAGTTGAATGCAAACATCACAAAGAAGTTTCTCAGAATGCTTCCGTGTAGTTCTGGGAAGTTTAGCACGTTTCCAACGAAATCCTCAGAGAGGTCCAAATATCCACTTGCAGATTCTACAGAAAGTGTGTTTGGAAACTGCTCCATCTAAAGGAATGTTCAGCTCTGTTAGTTCAATCCAATGATCACTAAGAATTGTCTGTGAATGCTTCCGTTTGGTTTTTAGATGAAGTTATTTCCTTTACTACAGTAGGCCTCAAAGCAGTCCAATTCTCCAATCGCAGATTCTACAAAAAGATTGTTTACAACCTGCTCTATCTATAGGAATGTTCAACTCTGTGAGTCGAATGCAATCATCACAAAGTAGTTTCTGAGAATGCTTCCATCTAGTTTTTATGTGAAGATTTTCCTTTTCCACCACAGGCCTCAAAGCCCTCCAAATGTCCACTTGCAGATTCTAGAAAAAGAGGGTTTCAGAGCTGCTCTGTCAAGAGGAAAGTTCAATTCTTGAAGTGGAACACAAACATCACAAAGCAGTTTCTGAGAATGTTTCTGTTTAGTTTTTCTGTGAAGATGAACCCGTTTCCAACGAAATCTTCACAGAGGTCCACATATCCACTTGCAGAATCCAAAGAAAGAGAGTTTCAAAACTGCTCCATCAACAGGATTGTTCACCTCTGTGAGTTGAATGCAGTCATCACAGGAAACATTCTGAGAATGCTTCTGTCTAGGTTTGATGTGAAGATATACCCGTTTCGAAGGAAGGCCACAAAGTGGTCCAAATATCCACTTGCAGATTCTACAAAAAGAGTGTTTGAAAGCTGAACTATGAAAGCAAGGTTCAACTCTGTGAGTTGAATGCAAACATTACAAAGAAGTTTCTCAGAATGCTTCCGTGTAGTTCTAGGAAGTTTATCCCGTTTCCAACGAAATCCTCAGAGAAGTCCAAATATCCACTTGCAGATTCTACAGAAAGTGGGTTTGGAAACTGCGCCATCTAAAGGAATGTTCAGCTCTGTTAGTTCAATCCAATAGATCACTAAGAATTGTCTGTGAATGCTTCCGTTTGGTTTTTAGATGAAGTTATTTCCTTTACTACAGTAGGCCTCGAAGCAGTCCAAATCTCCAATCGCAGATTCTACAAAAAGATTGTTTACAACCTGCTCTATCTATAGGAATGTTCAACTCTTTGAGTCGAATGCAATCATCACAAAGTAGTTTCTGAGAATGCTTCCATCTAGTTTTTATGTGAAGATTTTCCTTTTCCACCACAGGCCTCAAAGCCCTCCAAATGTCCACTTGCAGATTCTAGAAAAAGAGGGTTTCAGAGCTGCTCTGTAAAGAGGAAAGTTCAATTCTTGAAGTGGAACACAAACATCACAAAGCAGTTTCTGAGAATGCTCCTGTTTAGTTTTTCTGTGAAGATGAACCCGTTTCCAACGAAATCTTCACAGAGGTCCAAATATCCACTTGGAGAATCCAAAGAAAGAGAGTTTCAACACTGCTCCATCAGCAGGATTGTTCACCTCTGTGAGTTGAATGCAGTCATCACAGGAAACATTCTGAGAATGCTTCTGTCTAGGTTTGATGTGAAGATATACCCGTTTCGAAGGAAGGCCACAAAGTGGTCCAAATATCCACTTGCAGATTCTACAAAAAGAGTGTTTGAAAGCTGAACTATGAAAGCAAGGTTCAACTCTGTGAGTTGAATGCAACCATCACAAAGAAGTTTCTCAGAATGCTTCCGTGTAGTTCTGGGAAGTTTATCCCGTTTCCAACGAAATCCTCAGAGAGGTCCAAATATCCAGTGGCAGATTCTACAGAAAGTGTGTTTGGAAACTGCGCCATCTAAAGGAATGTTCAGCTCTGTTAGTTCAATCCAATGATCACTAAGAATTGTCTGTGAATGCTTCCGTTTGGTTTTTAGATTAAGTTATTTCCTTTACTACAGTAGGCCTCAAAGCAGTCCAAATCTCCAATCGCAGATTCTACAAAAAGATTGTTTTCAACCTGCTCTATCTATAGGAATGTTCAACTCTGTGAGTCGAATGCAATCATCACAAAGTAGTTTCTGAGAATGCTCCATCTAGTTTTTATGTGAAGATTTTCCTTTTCCACCACAGGCCTCAAAGCCCTCCAAATGTCCACTTGCAGATTCTGGAAAAAGAGGGTTTCAGAGCTGCTCTGTCAAGAGGAAAGTTCAATTCCTGAAGTGGATCACAAACATCACAAAGCAGTTTCTGAGAATGCTCTCTGTTTAGTTTTTCTGTGAAGATGAACCCGTTTCCAACGAAATCTTCACAGAGGTCCACATATCCACTTGCAGAATCCAAAGAAAGAGAGTTTCAAAACTGCTCCATCAGCAGGATTGTTCACCTCTGTGAGTTGAATGCAGTCATCACAGGAAACATTCTGAGAATGCTTCTGTCTAGGTTTGATGTGAAGATATACCCGTTTCGAAGGAAGGCCACAAAGTGGTCCAAATATCCACTTGCAGATTCTACAAAAAGAGTGTTTGAAAGCTGAACTATGAAAGCAAGGTTCAACCCTGTGAGTTGAATGCAACCATCACAAAGAAGTTTCTCAGAATGCTTCCGTGTAGTTCTGGGAAGTTTATCCCGTTTCTAACGAAATCCTCAGAGAAGTCCAAATATCCAGTTGCAGATTCTACAGAAAGTGTGTTTGAAAACTGCTCCATCTAAAGGAATGTTCAGCTCTGTTAGTTCAATCCAATGATCACTAAGTATTGTCTGTGAATGCTTCCGTTTGGTTTTTAGATGAAGTTATTTCCTTTACTACAGTAGACCTCAAAGCAGTCCAAATCTCCAATCGCAGATTCTACAAAAACATTGTTTACAACCTGCTCTATCTATAGTAATGTTCAACTCTGTGAGTCGAATGCAATCATCACAAAGTAGTTTCTGAGAATGCTTCCATCTAGTTTTTATGTGAAGATTTTCCTTTTGCACCACAGGCCTCAAAGCCCTCCAAATGTCCACTTGCAGATTCTAGAAAAAGAGGGTTTCAGAGCTGCTCTGTCAAGAGGAAAGTTCAATTCTTGATGTGGAACACAAACATCACAAAGCAGTTTCTGAGAATGCTCCTGTTTAGTTTTTCTGTGAAGATGAACCCGTTTCCAATGAAATCTTCACAGAGGTCCACATATCCACTTGCAGAATCCAAAGAAAGTGAGTTTCAAAACTGCTCCAACAGCAGGATTGTTCACCTCTGTGAGTTGAATGCAGTCATCACAGGAAACATTCTGAGAATGCTTCTGTCTAGGTTTGATGTGAAGATATACCCGTTTCGAAGGAAGGCCACAAAGTGGTCCAAATATCCACTTGCAGATTCTACAAAAAGAGTGTTTGAAAGCTGAACTATGAAAGCAAGGTTCAACTCTGTGAGTTGAATGCAAACATCACAAAGAAGTTTCTCACAATGCTTCCGTGTAGTTCTGGGAAATTTATCCCCTTTACAACGAAATCCTCAGAGAAGTCCAAATATCCACTTGCAGATTCTACAGAAAGTGTGTTTGGAAACTGCTCCATCTAAAGGAATGTTCAGCTCTGTTAGTTCAATGCAATGATCACTAAGAATTGTCTGTGAATGCTTCCGTTTGGTTTTTAGATGAAGTAATTTCCTTTACTACAGTAGGCCTCAAAGCAGTCCAAATCTCCAATCGCAGAATCTATAAAAAGATTGTTTACAACCTGCTCTCTCTATAGGAATGTTCAACTCTGTGAGTCGAATGCAATCATCACAAAGTAGTTTCTGAGAATGCTTCCATCTAGTTTTTATGTGAAGATTTTCCTTTTCCACCACAGGCCTCAAAGCCCTCCAAATGTCCACTTGCAGATTCTAGAAAAAGAGGGTTTCAGAGCTGCTCTGTCAAGAGGAAAGTTCAATTCTTGAAGTGGAACAGAAACATCACAAAGCAGTTTCTGGGAATGCTTCTGTTTAGTTTTTCTGTGAAGATGAACCCGTTTCCAACGAAATCTTCACAGAGGTCCACATATCCACTTGCAGAATCCAAAGAAAGAGAGTTTCAAAACTGCTCCATCAGCAGGATTGTTCACCTCTGTGAGTTGAATGCAGTCATCACAGGAAACATTCTGAGAATGCTTCTGTCTAGGTTTGATGTGAACATATACCCGTTTCGAAGGAAGGCCACAAAGTGGTCCAAATATCCACTTGCAGATTCTACAAAAAGAGTGTTTGAAAGCTGAACTATGAAAGCAAGGTTCAACTCTGTGAGTTGAATGCAAACATCACAAAGAAGTTTCTCAGAATGCTTCCGTGTAGTTCTGGGAATTTTATCCTGTTTCAAACGATATCCTCAGAGAGGTCCAAATATCCAGTTGCAGATTCTACAGAAAGTGTGTCTGGAAACTGCGCCATCTAAAGGAATGTTCAGCTCTGTTAGTTCAATCCAATGATCACTAAGAATTGTCTGTGAATGCTTCCGTTTGGTTTTTAGATGAAGTTATTTCCTTTACTACAGTAGGCCTCAAAGCAGTCCAAATCTCTAATCGCAGATTCTACAAAAAGATTGTTTACAACCTGCTCTCTCTATAGGAATGTTCAACTCTGTCAGTCGAATGCAATCATCACAAAGTAGTTTCTGAGAATGCTTCCATCTAGTTTTTATGTGAAGATTTTCCTTTTCCACCACAGGCCTCAAAGCCCTCCAAATGTCCACTTGCAGATTCTAGAAAAAGAGGGTTTCAGAGCTGCTCTGTCAAGACGAAAGTTCGATTCCTGAAGTGGAACACAAACATCACAAAGCAGTTTCTGAGAATGCTTCTGTTTAGTTTTTCTGTGAAGATGAACCCGTTTCCAACGAAATCTTCACAGAGGTCCACATATCCACTTGCAGAATCCAAAGAAAGAGAGTTTCAAAACTGCTCCATCAGCAGGATTGTTCACCTCTGTGAGTTGAATGCAGTCATCACAGGAAACATTCTGAGAATGCTTCTGTCTAGGTTTGATGTGAAGATATACCCGTTTCGAAGGAAGACCACAAATGGTCCAAATATCCACTTGCAGATTCTACAAAAAGAGTGTTTGAAAGCTGAACTATGAAAGCAAGGTTCAACTCTGTGAGTTGAATGCAAACATCACAAAGAAGTTTCTCAGAATGCTTCCGTGTAGTTCTGGGAAGTTTATCCCGTTTCCAACGAAATCCTCAGAGAAGTCCAAATATCCACTTGCAGATTCTACAGAAAGTGTGTTTGGAAACTGCTCCATCTAAAGGAATGTTCAGCTCTGTTAGTTCAATGCAATGATCACTAAGAATTGTCTGTGAATGCTTCCGTTTGGTTTTTAGATGAAGTTATTTCCTTTACTACAGTAGGCCTCAAAGCAGTCCAAATCTCCAATCGCAGATTCTACAAAAAGATTGTTTACAACCTGCTCTATCTATAGGAATGTTCAACTCTGTGAGTCGAATGCAATCATCACAAAGTAGTTTCTGAGAATGCTTCCATCTAGTTTTTATGGGAAGATTTTCCTTTTCCACCACAGGCCTCAAAGCCCTCCAAATGTCCACTTGCAGATTCTAGAAAAAGAGGGTTTCAGAGCTGCTCTGTCAAGAGGAAAGTTCAATTCTTGAAGTGGAACACAAACATCACAAAGCAGTTTCTGAGAATGCTTCTGTTTAGTTTTTCTGTGAAGATGAAACCGTTTCCAACGAAATCTTCACAGAGGTCCACATATCCACTTGCAGAATCCAAAGAAAGAGAGTTTCAAAACTGCTCCATCAGCAGGATTGTTCACCTCTGTGAGTTGAATGCAGTCATCACAGGAAACATTCTGAAAATGCTTCTGTCTAGGTTTGATGTGAAGATATACCCGTTTCTAAGGAAGGCCACAAAGTGGTCCAAATATCCACTTGCAGATTCTACAAAAAGAGTGTTTGAAAGCTGAACTATGAAAGCAAGGTTCAACTCTGTGAGTTGAATGCAAACATCACAAAGAAGTTTCTAAGAATGCTTCCGTGTAGTTCTGATAAGTTTATCCCGTTTCCAACGAAATCCTCAGAGAAGTCCAAATATCCACTTGCAGATTCTACAGAAAGTGTGTTTGGAAACTGCTCCATCTAAAGGAATGTTCAGCTCTGTTAGTTCAATCCAATATCACTAAGAATTATCTGTGAATGCTTCCGTTTGGTTTTTAGATGAAGTTATTTCCTTTACTACAGTAGGCCTCAAAGAAGTCCAAATCTCCAATCGCAGATTCTACAAAAAGATTGTTTACAACCTGCTCTATCTATAGGAATGTTCAACTCTGTGAGTCGAATGCAATCATCACAAAGGAGTTTCTGAGAATGCTTCCATCTAGTTTTTATGTGAAGATTTTCCTTTTCCACCACAGGCCTCAAAGCCCTCCAAATGTCCACTTGCAGATTCTAGAAAAAGAGGGTTTCAGAGCTGCTCTGTCAAGAGGAAAGTTCAATTCTTGAAGTGGAACACAAACATCACAAAGCAGTTTCTGAGAATGCTTCTGTTTAGTTTTTCTGTGAAGATGAACCCGTTTCCAACGAAATCTTCACAGAGGTCCACTTATCAACTTGCAGAATCCAAAGAAAGAGAGTTTCAAAAGTGCTCCATCAACAGGATTGTTCACCTCTGTGAGTTGAATGCAGTCATCACAGGAAACATTCTGAGAATGCTCTGTCTAGGTTTGATGTGAAGATATACCCGTTTCGAAGGAAGGCCACAAAGTGGTCCAAATATCCACTTGCAGATTCTACAAAAAGAGTGTTTGAAAGCTGAACTATGAAAGCAAGGTTCAACTCTGTGAGTTGAATGCAAACATCACAAAGAAGTTTCTCAGAATGCTTTCCGTGTAGTTCTGGGAAATTTAGCCCGTTTCCAACGAAATCCTCAGAGAGGTCCCAATATCCACTTGCAGATTCTACAGAAAGTGGGTTTGGAAACTGCTCCATCTAAAGGAATGTTCAGCTCTGTTAGTTCAATCCAATGATCACTAAGAATTGTCTGTGAATGCTTCCGTTTGGTTTTTAGATGAAGTTATTTCCTTTACTACAGTAGGCCTCAAAGCAGTCCAAATCTCCAATCGCAGATTCTACAAAAAGATTGTTTACAACCTGCTCTATGTATAGGAATGTTCAACTCTGTGAGTCGAATGCAATCATCACAAAGTAGTTTCTGAGAATGCTTCCATCTAGTTTTTATGTGAAGATTTTCCTTTTCCACCACAGGCCTCAAAGCCCTCCAAATGTCCACATGCAGATTATAGAATAAGAGGGTTTCAGAGCTGCTCTGTCAAGAGGAAAGTTCAATTCCTGAAGTGGAACACAAACATCACAAAGCAGTTTCTGAGAATGCTTCTGTTTAGTTTTTCTGTGAAGATGAACCCGTTTCCAACGAAATCTTCACAGAGGTCCACATATCAACTTGCAGAATCCAAAGAAAGAGAGTTTCAAAAGTGCTCCATCAACAGGATTGTTCACCTCTGTGAGTTGAATGCAGTCATCACAGGAAACATTCTGAGAATGCTTCTGTCTAGGTTTGATGTGAAGATATACCCGTTTCGAAGGAAGGCCAGAAAGTGGTCCAAATATCCACTTGCAGATTCTACAAAAAGAGTGTTTGAAAGCTGAACTATGAAAGCAAGGTTCAACTCTGTGAGTTGAATGCAAACATCACAAAGAAGTTTCTCAGAATGCTTCCGTGTAGTTCTGGGAAGTTTATCCCGTTTCCAACGAAATCCTCAGAGAAGTCCAAATATCCACTTGCAGATTCTACAGAAAGTGTGTTTGGTAACTGCTCCATCTAAAGGAGTGTTCAGCTCTGTTAGTTCAATCCAATGATCACTAAGAATTGTCTGTGAATGCTTCCGTTTGGTTTTTAGATGAAGTTATTTCCTTTACTACAGTAGGCCTCAAAGCAGTCCAAATCTCCAATCGCAGATTCTACAAAAAGATTGTTTACAACCTGCTCTATGTATAGGAATGTTCAACTCTGTGAGTCGAATGCAATCATCACAAAGTAGTTTCTGAGAATGCTTCCATCTAGTTTGTATGTGAAGATTTTCCTTTTCCACCACAGGCCTCAAAGCCCTCCAAATGTCCACTTGCAGACTCTAGAAAAAGAGGGTTTCAGAGCTGCTCTGTCAAGAGGAAAGTTCAATTCTTGAAGTGGAACACAAACATCACAAAGCAGTTTCTGAGAATACTTCTGTTTAGTTTTTCTGTGAAGATGAACCCGTTTCCAACCAAATCTTCACAGAGGTCCACATATCCACTTGCAGAATCCAAAGAAAGAGAGTTTCAAAACTGCTCCATCAACAGGATTGTTCACCTCTGTGAGTTGAATGCAGTCATCACAGGAAACATTCTGAGAATGCTTCTGTCTAGGTTTGATGTGAAGATATACCCGTTTCGAAAGAAGGCCACAAAGTGGTCCAAATATCCACTTGCAGATTCTTCAAAAAGAGTGTTTGAAAGCTGAACAATGAAAGCAAGTTTCAACTCTGTGAGTTGAATGCAAACATCACAAAGAAGTTTCTCACAATGCTTCCGTGTAGTTCTGGGAAGTTTATCCCGTTTCCAACGAAATCCTCAGAGAGGTCCAAATATCCACTTGCAGATTCTACAGAAAGTGTGTTTGGAAACTGCGCCATCTAAAGGAATGTTCAGCTCTGTTAGTTCAATGCAATGATCACTAAGAATTGTCTGTGAATGCTTCCGTTTGGTTTTTAGATGAAGTTATTTCCTTTACTACAGTAGGCCTCAAAGCAGTCCAAATCTCCAATCGCAGATTCTACAAAAAGATTGTTTACAACCTGCTCTATCTATAGGAATGTTCAACTCTGTGAGTCGAATGCAATCATCACAAAGTAGTTTCTGAGAATGCTTCCATCTAGTTTTTATGTGAAGATTTTCCTTTTCCACCACAGGCCTCTAAGCCCTCCAAATGTCCACTTGCAGTTTCTAGAAAAAGAGGGTTTCAGAGCTGCTCTGTCAAGAGGAAAGTTCAATTCTTGAAGTGGAACACAAACATCACAAAGCAGTTTCTGAGAATGCTCCTGTTTAGTTTTTCTGTGAAGATGAACCCGTTTCCAACGAAATCTTCACAGAGGTCCACATATCCACTTGCAGAATCCAAAGAAAGAGAGTTTCAAAACTGCTCCATCAACAGGATTGTTCACATCTGTGAGTTGAATGCAGTCATCACAGGAAACATTCTGAGAATGCTTCTGTCTAGGTTTGATGTGAAGATATACCCGTTTCGAAGGAAGGCCACAAAGTGGTCCAAATATCCACTTGCAGATTCTACAAAAAGAGTGTTTGAAAGCTGAACTATCAAAGCAAGGTTCAACTCTGTGAGTTGAATGCAAACATCACAAAGAAGTTTCTCAGAATGCTTCCGTGTAGTTCTGGGAAGTTTATCCCGTTTCCAACGAAATCCTCAGAGAGGTCCAAATATCCACTTGCAGATTCTACAGAAAGTGTGTTTGGAAACTGCTCCATCTAAAGGAATGTTCAGCTCTGTTAGTTCCATCCAATGATCACTAAGAATTGTCTGTGAATGCTTCCGTTTGGTTTTTAGAAGAAGTTATTTCCTTTACTGCAGTAGGCCTCAAAGCTGTCCAAATCTCCAATCGCGGATTCTACAAAAAGATTGTTTACAACCTGCTCTATCTATAGGAATGTTCAACTCTGTGAGTCGAATGCAATCATCACAAAGTAGTTTCTGAGAATGCTTCCATAAAGTTTTTATGTGAAGATTTTCCTTTTCCACCACAGGCCTCAAAGCCCTCCAAATGTCCACTTGCAGATTCTAGAAAAAGAGGGTTTCAGAGCTGCTCTGTCAAGAGGAAAGTTCAATTCTTTAAGTGGAACACAAACATCACAAAGCAGTTTCTGAGAATGCTCCTGTTTAGTTTTTCTGTGAAGATGAAACCGTTTCCAACGAAATCTTCACAGAGGTCCACATATCCACTTGCAGAATCCAAAGAAAGAGAGTTTCAAAACTGCTCCATCAACAGGATTGTTCACCTCTGTGAGTTGAATGCAGTCATCACAGGAAACATTCTGAGAATGCTTCTGTCTAGGTTTGATGTGAAGATATACCCGTTTCGAAGGAAGGCCACAAAGTGGTCCAAATATCCACTTGCAGATTCTACAAAAAGAGTGTTTGAAAGCTGAACTATGAAAGCAAGGTTCAACTCTGTGAGTTGAATGCAAACATCACAAAGAAGTTTCCCAGAATTCTGCCGTGTAGTTCTGGGATGTTTATCCCGTTTCCAGCGAAATCCTCAGAGAAGTCCAAATATCCACTTGCAGATTCTACATAAAGTGTGTTTGGAAACTGCTCCATCTAAAGGAATGTTCAGCTCTGTTAGTTCAATCCAATGATCACTAAGAATTGTCTGTGAATGCTTCCGTTTGGTTTTTAGATGAAGTTATTTCCTTTACTACAGTAGGCCTCAAAGCAGTCCAAATCTCCAATCGCAGTTTCTACAAAAAGATTTTTTACAACCTGCTCTATCTATAGGAATGTTCAACTCTGTGAGTCGAATGCAATCATCACAAAGTAGTTTCTGAGAATGCTTCCATCTAGTTTTTATGGGAAGATTTTCCTTTTCCACCACAGGCCTCAAAGCCCTCCAAATGTCCACTTGCAGATTCTAGAAAAAGAGGGTTTCAGAGCTGCTCTGTCAAGAGGAAAGTTCAATTCTTGAAGTGGAACACAAACATCACAAAGCAGTTTCTGAGAATGCTTCTGTTTAGTTTTTCTGTGAAGATGAACCCGTTTCCAACGAAATCTTCACAGAGGTCCACATATCAAGTTGCAGAATCCAAAGAAAGAGAGTTTCAAAAGTGCTCCATCAACAGGATTGTTCACCTCTGTGAGTTGAATGCAGTCATCACAGGAAACATTCTGAGAATGCTTCTGTCTAGGTTTGATGTGAAGATATACCCTTTTCAAAGGAAGGCCACAAAGTGGTCCAAATATCCACTTGCAGATTCTACAAAAAGAGTGTTTGAAAGCTGAACTATGAAAGCAAGGTTCAACTCTGTGAGTTGAATGCAAACATCACAAAGAAGTTTCTCACAATGCTTCCGTGTAGTTCTGGGAAGTTTATCCCGTTTCCATCGAAATCCTCAGAGAGGTCCAAATATCCACTTGCAGATTCTACGGAAAGTGTGTTTGGAAACTGCGCCATCTAAAGGAATGTTCAGCTCTGTTAGTTCAATGCAATGATCACTAAGAATTGTCTGTGAATGCTTCCGTTTGGTTTTTAGATGAAGTTATTTCCTTTACTACAGTAGGCCTCAAAGCAGTCCAAATCTCCAATCGCAGATTCTACAAAAGATTGTTTACAACCTGCTCTATCTATAGGAATGTTCAACTCTGTGAGTCGAATGCAATCATCACAAAGTAGTTTCTGAGAATGCTTCCATCTAGTTTTTATGTGAAGATTTTCCTTTTCCACCACAGGCCTCAAAGCCCTCCAAATGTCCACTTGCAGATTCTAGAATAAGAGGGTTTTAGAGCTGCTCTGTCAAGAGGAAAGTTCAATTCCTGAAGTGGAACACAAACATCACAAAGCAGTTTCTGAGAATGCTTCTGTTTAGTTTTTCTGTGAAGATGAACCCGTTTCCAACGAAATCTTCACAGAGGTCCACATATCCACTTGCAGAATCCAAAGAAAGAGAGTTTCAAAACTGCTCCATCAGCAGGATTGTTCACCTTTGTGAGTTGAATGCAGTCATCACAGGAAACATTCTGAGAATGCTTCTGTCTAGGTTTGATGTGAAGATATACCCGTTTCGAAGAAGGCCACAAAGTGGTCCAAATATCCACTTGCAGATTCTACAAAAAGAGTGTTTGAAAGCTGAACTATGAAAGCAAGGTTCAACTCTGTGAGTTGAATGCAAACATCACAAAGAAGTTTCTCACAATGCTTCCGTGTAGTTCTGGGAAGTTTATCCCGTTTCCAACGAAATCCTCAGAGAAGTCCAAATATCCACTTGCAGATTCTACAGAAATTGTGTTTGGAAACTGCGCCATCTAAACTAATGTTCAGCTCTGTTAGTTCAATCCAATGATCACGAAGAATTGTCTTTGAATACCTCCGTTTGGTTTTTAGATGAAGTTATTTCCTTTACTACAGTAGGCCTCAAAGCAGTCCAAATCTCCAATCGCAGATTCTACAAAAAGATTGTTTACAACCTGCTCTATCTATAGGAATGTTCAACTCTGTGAGTCGAATGCAGTCATCACAAAGTAGTTTCTGAGAATGCTTCCATCTAGTTTTTATGTGAAGATTTTCCTTTTCCACCACAGGCCTCAAAGCCCTCCAAATGTCCACTTGCAGATTCTAGAAAAAGAGGGTTTCAGAGCTGCTCTGTCAAGAGGAAAGTTCAATTCTTGAAGTGGAACAGAAACATCACAAAGCAGTTTCTGGGAATGCTTCTGTTTAGTTTTTCTGTGAAGATGAACCCGTTTCCAACGAAATCTTCACAGAGGTCCACATATCCACTTGCAGAATCCAAAGAAAGAGAGTTTCAAAACTGCTCCATCAACAGGATTGTTCACCTCTGTGAGTTGAATGCAGTCATCACAGGAAACATTCTGAGAATGCTTCTGTCTAGGTTTGATGTGAAGATATACCCGTTTCGAAGGAAGGCCACAAAGTGGTCCAAATATCCACTTGCAGATTCTACAAAAAGAGTGTTTGAAAGCTGAACTATGAAAGCAAGGTTCAACTCTGTGAGTTGAATGCAAACATCACAAAGAAGTTTCTCAGAATGCTTCCGTGTAGTTCTGGGAAGTTTAGCCCGTTTCCAACGAAATCCTCAGAGAGGTCCAAATATCCACTTGCAGATTCTACAGAAAGTGTGTTTGGAAACTGCTCCATCTAAAGGAATGTTCAGCTGTGTTAGTACAATCCAATGATCACTAAGAATTGTCTGTGAATGCTTCCGTTTGGTTTTTAGATGAAGTTATTTCCTTTACTACAGTAGGCCTCAAAGCAGTCCAAATCTCCAATCGCAGATTCTACAAAAAGATTGTTTACAACCTGCTCTATCTATACGAATGTTCAACTCTGGGAGTCGAATGCAATCATCACAGAGTAGTTTCTGAGAATCCTTCCATCTAGTTTTTATGTGAAGATTTTCCTTTTCCACCACAGGCCTCAAAGCCCTCTTAATGTCCACTTGCAGATTCTAGAAAAAGAGGGTTTCAGAGGTGCTCTGTCAAGAGGAAAGTTCAATTCTTGAAGTGGAACACAAACATCACAAAGCAGTTTCTGAGAATGCTTCTGTTTAGTTTTTCTGTGAAGATGAACCCGTTTCCAACGAAATCTTCACAGAGGTCCACATATCCACTTGCAGAATCCAAAGAAAGAGAGTTTCAAAACTGCTCCATCAGCAGGATTGTTCACCTCTGTGAGTTGAATGCAGTCATCACAGGAAACATTCTGAGAATGCTTCTGTCTAGGTTTGATGTGAAGATATAACCCGTTTCGAAGGAAGGCCACAAAGTGGTCCAAATATCCACTTGCAGATTCTACAAAAAGAGTGTTTGAAAGCTGAACTATGAAAGCAAGGTTCAACTCTGTGAGTTGAATGCAAACATCACAAAGAAGTTTCTCACAATGCTTCCGTGTAGTTCTGGGAATTTTATCCCGTTTCCAACGAAATCCTCAGAGAAGTCCAAATATCCACTTGCAGATTCTACAGAAAGTGTGTTTGGAAAATGCTCCATCTAAAGGAATGTTCAGCTCTGTTAGTTCAATGCAATGATCACTAAGAATTGTCTGTGAATGCTTCCGTTTGGTTTTTAGATGAAGTTATTTCCTTTACTACAGTAGGCCTCAAAGCAGTCCAAATCTCCAATCGCAGATTCTACAAAAAGATTGTTTACAACCTGCTCTATCTATAGGAATGTTCAACTCTGTGAGTCGAATGCAATCAACACAAAGTAGTTTCTGAGAATGCTTCCATCTAGTTTTTATGTGAAGATTTTCCTTTTCCACCACAGGCCTCAAAGCCCTCCAAATGTCCACTTGCAGATTCTAGAAAAAGAGGGTTTCAGAGCTGCTCTGTCAAGAGGAAAGTTCAATTCTTGAAGTGGAACACAAACATCACAAAGCAGTTTCTGAGAATGCTTCTTTTTAGTTTTTCTGGGAAGATGAACCCGTTTCCAACCAAATCTTCACAGAGGTCCACATATCCAGTTGCAGAATCCAAAGAAAGAGAGTTTCAAAACTGCTCCATCAACAGGATTGTTCACCTCTGTGAGTTGAATGCAGTCATCACAGGAAACATTCTGAGAATTCTTCTGTCTAGGTTTGATGTGAAGATATACCCGTTTCGAAGGAAGGCCACAAAGTGGTCCAAATATCCACTTGCAGATTCTACAAAAAGAGTGTTTGAAAGCTGAACTATGAAAGCAAGGTTCAACTCTGTGAGTTGAATGCAAACATCACAAAGAAGTTTCTCAGAATGCTTCCGTGTAGTTCTGAGAAGTTTATCCCGTTTCCAACGAAATCCTCAGAGAATTCCAAATATCCACTTGCAGATTCTACAGAAAGTGTGTTTGGAAACTGCTCCATCTAAAGGAATGTTCAGCTCTGTTAGTTCAATGCAATGATCACTAAGAATTGTCTGTGAATGCTTCCGTTTGGTTTTTAGATGAAGTTATTTCCTTTACTACAGTAGGCCTCAAAGCAGTCCAAATCTCCAATCGCAGATTCTACAAAAAGATTGTTTACAACCTGCTCTATCTATAGGAATGTTCAACTCTGTGAGTCGAATGCAATCATCACAAAGTAGTTTCTGAGAATGCTTCCATCTAGTTTTTATGTGAAGATTTTCCTTTTCCACCACAGGCCTCAAAGCCCTCCAAATGTCCACTTGCAGATTCTAGAATAAGAGGGTTTTAGAGCTGCTCTGTCAAGAGGAAAGTTCAATTCCTGAAGTGGAACACAAACATCACAAAGCAGTTTCTGAGAATGCTTCTGTTTAGTTTTTCTGTGAAGATGAACCCGTTTCCAACGAAATCTTCACAGAGGTCCACATATCAACTTGCAGAATCCAAAGAAAGAGAGTTTCAAAACTGCTCCATCAGCAGGATTGTTCACCTCTGTGAGTTGAATGCAGTCATCACAGGAAACATTCTGAGAATGCTTCTGTCTAGGTTTGATGTGAAGATATACCCGTTTCAAAGGAAAGCCACAAAGTGGTCCAAATATCCACTTGCAGATTCTACAAAAAGAGTGTTTGAAAGCTGAACTATGAAAGCAAGGTTCAACTCTGTGAGTTGAATGCAAACATCACAAAGAAGTTTCTCACAATGCTTCCGTGTAGTTCTGGGAAGTATATCCCGTTTCCAACGAAATCCTCCGAGAAGTCCAAATATCCACTTGCAGATTCTACAGAAAGTGGGTTTGGAAACTGCTCCATCTAAAGGAATGTTCAGCTCTGTTAGTTCAATCCAATGATCACTAAGAATTGTCTGTGAATGCTTCCGTTTGGTTTTTAGATGAAGTTATTTCCTTTACTACAGTAGGCCTCAAAGCAGTCCAAATCTCCAATCGTAGATTCTACAAAAAGATTGTTTACAACCTGCTCTATCTATAGGAATGTTGAACTCTGTGAGTCGAATGCAATCATCACAAAGAAGTTTCTGAGAATGCTTCCATCTAGTTTTTATGTGAAGATTTTCCTTTTCCACCACAGTCCTCAAAGCCCTCCAAATGTCCACTTGCAGATTCTAGAATAAGAGGGTTTCAGAGCTGCTCTGTCAAGAGGAAAGTTCAATTCCTGAAGTGGAACACAAACATCACAAAGCAGTTTCTGAGAATGCTTCTTTTTAGTTTTTCTGTGAAGATGAACCCGTTTCCAACGAAATCTTCACAGAGGTCCACATATCTACTTGCAGAATCCAAAGAAAGAGAGTTTCAAAACTGCTCCATCAGCAGAATTGTTCACCTCTGTGAGTTGAATGCAGTCATCACAGGAAACATTCTGAGAATGCTTCTGTCTAGGTTTGATGTGAAGATATACCCGTTTCGAAGGAAGGCCACAAAGTGGTCCAAATATCCACTTGCAGATTTTACAAAAAGAGTGTTTGAAAGCTGAAGTATGAAAGCAAGGTTCAACTCTGTGAGTTGAATGCAAACATCACAAAGAAGTTTCTCAGAATGCTTCCCTGTAGTTCTGGGAAGTTTATCCCGTTTCCAACGAAATCCTCAGAGAAGTCCAAATATCCACTTGCAGATTCTACAGAAAGTGGGTTTGGAAACTGCTCCATCTAAAGGAATGTTCAGCTCTGTTAGTTCAATGCAATGATCACTAAGAATTGTCTGTGAATGCTTCCGTTTGGTTTTTAGATGAAGTTATTTCCTTTACTACAGTAGGCCTCAAAGCAGTCCAAATCTCCAATCGCACATTCTACAAAAAGATTGTTTACAACCTGCTCTATCTATAGGAATATTCAACTCTGTGAGTCGAATGCAATCATCACAAAGTAGTTTCTGAGAATGCTTCCATCTGGTTTTTATGTGAAGATTTTCCTTTTCCACCACAGGCCTCAAAGCCCTCCAAATGTCCACTTGCAGATTCTAGAAAAAGAGGGTTTCAGAGCTGCTCTGTCAAGAGGAAAGTTCAATTCTTGAAGTGGAACACAAACATCACAAAGTAGTTTCTGAGAATGCTCCTGTTTAGTTTTTCTGTGAAGATGAACCCGTTTCCAACGAAATCTTCACAGAGGTCCACATATCCACTTGCAGAATCCAAAGAAAGAGAGTTTCAAAACTGCTCCATCAACAGGATTGTTCACCTCTGTGAGTTGAATGCAGTCATCACAGGAAACATTCTGAGAATGCTTCTGTCTAGGTTTGATGTGAAGATATACCCGTTTCGAAGGAAGGCCACAAAGTGGTCCAAATATCCACTTGCAGATTCTACAAAAAGAGTGTTTGAAAGCTGAACTATGAAAGCAAGGTTCAACTCTGTGAGTTGAATGCAAACATCACAAAGAAGTTTCTCAGAATGCTTCCGTGTAGTTCTGGGAAGTTTATCCCGTTTCCAACGAAATCCTCAGAGAAGTCCAAATATCCACTTGCAGATTCTACAGAAAGTGTGTTTGGAAACAGCGCCATCTAAAGGAGTGTTCAGCTCTGTTAGTTCAATCCAATGATCACTAAGAATTGTCTGTGAATGCTTCCGTTTGGTTTTTAGATGAAGTTATTTCCTTTACTACAGTAGGCCTCAAAGCAGTCCAAATCTCCAATCGCAGATTCTACAAAAAGATTGTTTACAACCTGCTCTATGTATAGGAATGTTCAACTCTGTGAGTCGAATGCAATCATCACAAAGTAGTTTCTGAGAATGCTTCCATCTAGTTTTTATGTGAAGATTTTCCTTTTCCACCACAGGCCTCAAAGCCCTCCAAATGTCCACTTGCAGATTCTAGAAAAAGAGGGTTTCAGAGCTGCTCTGTCAAGAGGAAAGTTCAATTCTTGAAGTGGAACACAAACATCACAAAGTAGTTTCTGAGAATGCTTCTGTTTAGTTTTTCTGTGAAAATGAACCCGTTTCCAACGAAATCTTCACAGAGGTCCACATATCCACTTGCAGAATCCAAAGAAAGAGAGATTCAAAACTGCTCCATCAACAGGATTGTTCACCTCTGTGAGTTGAATGCAGTCATCACATGAAACATTCTGAGAATGCTTCTGTCTAGGTTTGATGTGAAGATATACCCGTTTCGAAAGAAGGCCACAAAGTGGTCCAAATATCCACTTGCAGATTCTACAAAAAGAGTATTTGAAAGCTGAACTATGAAAGCAAGGTTCAACTCTGTGAGTTGAATGCAAACATCACAAAGAAGTTTCTCAGAATGCTTCCGTGTAGTTCTGGGAAGTTTATCCCGTTTCCAACGAAATCCTCAAAGAAGTCCAAATATCCACTTGCAGATTCTACAGAAAGTGGGTTTGGAAACTGCTCCATCTAAAGGAATGTTCAGCTCTGTTAGTTCAATCCAATAATCACTAAGAATTGTCTGTGAATGCTTCCGTTTGGTTTTTAGATGAAGTTATTTACTTTACTACAGTAGGCCTCAAAGCAGTCCAAATCTCCAATCGCAGATTCTACAAAAAGATTGTTTACAACCTGCTGTATCTATAGGAATGTTCAACTACTGTGAGTCGAATGCAATCATCACAAAGTAGTTTCTGAGAATGCTTCCATCTAGTTTTTATGTGAAGATTTTCCTTTTCCACCACAGGCCTCAAAGCCCTCCAAATGTCCACTTGCAGATTCTAGAAAAAGAGGGTTTCAGAGCTGCTCTGTCAAGTGGAAAGTTCAATTCTTGAAGTGGAACACAAACATCACAAAGCAGTTTCTGAGAATGCTCCTGTTTAGTTTTTCTGTGAAGATGAACCCGTTTCCAACGAAATCTTCACAGAGGTCCACATATCCACCTGCAGAATCCAAAGAAAGAGAGTTTCAAAACTGCTCCATCAGCAGGATTGTTCACCTCTGTGAGTTGAATGCAGTCATCACAGGAAACATTCTGAGAATGCTTCTGTCTAGGTTTGATGTGAAGATATACCCGTTTCGAAGGAAGGCCACAAAGTGGTCAAAATATCCACTTGCAGATTCTACAAAAAGAGTGTTTGAAAGCTGAACTATGAAAGCAAGGTTCAACTCTGTGAGTTGAATGCAAACATCACAAAGAAGTTTCTCAGAATGCTTCCGTGTAGTTCTGGGAAGTTTATCCCGTTTCCAACGAAATCCTCAGAGAAGTCCAAATATCCACTTGCAGATTCTACAGAAAGTGTGTTTGGAAACTGCTCCATCTAAAGGAATGTTCAGCTCTGTTAGTTCAATCCAATGATCACTAAGAATTGTCTGTGAATGCTTCCGTTTGGTTTTTAGATGAAGTTATTTCCTTTACTACAGTAGGCCTCAAAGCAGTCCAAATCTCCAATCGCAGATTCTACAAAAAGATTGTTTACAACCTGCTCTATGTATAGGAATGTTCAACTCTGTGAGTCGAATGCAATCATCACAAAGTAGTTTCTGAGAATGCTTCCATCTAGTTTTTATGTGAAGATTTTCCTTTTCCACCACAGGCCTCAAAGCCCTCCAAATGTCAACTTGCAGATTCTAGAATAAGAGGGTTTCAGAGCTGCTCTGTCAAGAGGAAAGTTCAATTCCTGAAGTGGAACACAAACATGACAAAGGAGTTTCTGAGAATGCTTCTGTTTAGTTTTTCTGTGAAGATGAAACCGTTTCCAACGAAATCTTCACAGAGGTCCACATATCCACTTGCAGAATCCAAAGAAAGAGAGTTTCAAAACTGCTCCATCAACAGGATTGTTCACCTCTGTGAGTTGAATGCAGTCATCACAGGAAACATTCTGAGAATGCTTCTGTCAAGGTTTGATGTGAAGATATACCCGTTTCGAAGGAAGGCCACAAAGTGGTCCAAATATCCACTTGCAGATTCTACAAAAAGAGTGTTTGAAAGCTGAACTATGAAAGCAAAGTTCAACTCTGTGAGTTGAATGCAAACATCACAAAGAAGTTTCTCAGAATACTTCCCTGTAGTTCTGGGAAGTTTATCCCGTTTCCAACGAAATCCTCAGAGAGGTCCAAATATCCACTTGCAGATTCTACAGAAAGTGGGTTTGGAAACTGCTCCATCTAAAGGAATGTTCAGCTCTGTTAGTTCAATCCAATGATCACTAAGAATTGTCTGTGAATGCTTCCGTTTGGTATTTAGATGAAGTTATTTCCTTTACTACAGTAGGCCTCAAAGCAGTCCAAATCTCCAATCGCAGATTGTACAAAAACATTGTTTACAACCTGCTCTATCTATAGGAATGTTCAACTCTGTGAGTCGAATGCAATCATCACAAAGTAGTTTCTGAGAATGCTTCCATGTAGTTTTTATGTGAAGATTTTCCTTTTCAACCACAGGCCTCAAAGCCCTCCAAATGTCCACTTGCATATTCTAGAAAAAGAGGGTTTCAGAGCTGCTCTATCAAGAGGAAAGTTCAATTCTTGAAGTGGAACACAAACATCACAAAGCAGTTTCTGAGAATGCTCCTGTTTAGTTTTTCTGTGAAGATGAACCCGTTTCCAACGAAATCTTCACAGAGGTCCACATATCCACTTGCAGAATCCAAAGAAAGAGAGTTTCAAAACTGCTCCATCAGCAGGATTGTTCACCTCTGTGAGTTGAATGCAGTCATCACAGGAAACATTCTGAGAATGCTTCTGTCTAGGTTTGATGTGAAGATATACCCGTTTCGAAGGAAGGCCAGAAAGTGGTCCAAATATCCACTTGCAGATTCTACAAAAAGAGTGTTTGAAAGCTGAACTATGAAAGCAAGGTTCAACTCTGTGAGTTGAATGCAAACATCACAAAGAAGTTTCTCAGAATGCTTCCGTGTAGTTCTGGGAAGTTTATCCCGTTTCCAACGAAATCCTCAGAGAAGTCCAAATATCCACTTGCAGATTCTACAGAAAGTGTGTTTGGAAACTGCTCCATCTAAAGGAATGTTCAGCTCTGTTAGTTCAATCCAATGATCACTAAGAATTGTCTGTGAATGCTTCCGTTTGGTTTTTAGATGAAGTTATTTCCTTTACTACAGTAGGCCTCAAAGCAGTCCAAATCTCCAATCGCAGATTCTACAAAAAGATTGTTTACAACCTGCTCTATGTATAGGAATGTTCAACTCTGTGAGTCGAATGCAATCATCACAAAGTAGTTTCTGAGAATGCTTCCATCTAGTTTTTATGTGAAGATTTTCCTTTTCCACCACAGGCCTCAAAGCCCTCCAAATGTCCACTTGCAGATTCTAGAATAAGAGGATTTCAGAGCTGCTCTGTCAAGAGGAAAGTTCAATTCCTGAAGTGGAACACAAACATCACAAAGCAGTTTCTGAGAATGCTTCTGTTTAGTTTTTCTGTGAAGATGAACCCGTTTCCAACGAAATCTTCACAGAGGTCCACCTATCCACTTGCAGAATCCAAAGAAAGAGAGTTTCAAAACTGCTCCATCAGCAGGATTGTTCACCTCTGTGAGTTGAATGCAGTCATCACAGGAAACATTCTGAGAATGCTTCTGTCTAGGTTTGAGGTGAAGATATACCCGTTTCGAAGGAAGGCCACAAAGTGGTCCAAATATCCACTTGCAGATTCTACAAAAAGAGTGTTTGAAAGCTGAACTATGAAAGCAAGGTTCAACTCTGTGAGTTGAATGCAAACATCACAAAGAAGTTTCTCAGAATGCTTCCGTGTAGTTCTGATAAGTTTATCCCGTTTCCAACGAAATCCTCAGAGAAGTCCAAATATCCACTTGCAGATTCTACAGAAAGTGTGTTTGGAAACTGCTCCATCTAAAGGAATGTTCAGCTCTGTTAGTTCAATCCAATATCACTAAGAATTATCTGTGAATGCTTCCGTTTGGTTTTTAGATGAAGTTATTTCCTTTACTACAGTAGGCCTCAAAGCAGTCCAAATCTCCAATCGCAGATTCTACAAAAACATTGTTTACAACCTGCTCTATCTATAGGAATGTTCAACTCTGTGAGTCGAATGCAATCATCACAAAGTAGTTTCTGAGAATGCTTCCATCTAGTGTTTATGTGAAGATTTTCCTTTTCCACCACAGGCCTCAAAGCCCTCCAAATGTCCACTTGCAGATTCTAGAATAAGAGGGTTTCAGAGCTGCTCTGTCAAGAGGAAAGTACAATTCCTGAAGTGGAACACAAACATCACAAAGCAGTTTCTGATAATGCTCCTGTTTAGTTTTTCTGTGAAGATGAACCCGTTTCCAACGAAATCTTCACAGAGGTCCACATATCCACTTGCAGAATCCAAAGAAAGAGAGTTTCAAAACTGCTCCATCAGCAGGATTGTTCACCTCTGTGAGTTGAATGCAGTCATCACAGGAAACATTCTGAGAATGCTTCTGTCTAGGTTTGATGTGAAGATATACCCGTTTCAAAGGAAGGCCACAAAGTGGTCCAAATATCCACTTGCAGATTCTACAAAAAGAGTGTTTGAAAGCTGAACTATGAAAGCAAGGTTCAACTCTGTGAGTTGAATGCAAACATCACAAAGAAGTTTCTCACAATGCTTCCGTGTAGTTCTGGGAAGTTTATCCCGTTTCCAACGAAATCCTCAGAGAAGTCCAAATATCCCCTTGCAGATTCTACAGAAAGTGGGTTTGGAAACTGCTCCATCTAAAGGAATGTTCAGCTCTGTTAGTTCAATCCAATAATCACTAAGAATTGTCTGTGAATGCTTCCGTTTGGTTTTTAGATGAAGTTATTTCCTTTACTACAGTAGGCCTCAAAGCAGTCCAAATCTCCAATCGCAGATTCTACAAAAAGATTGTTTACAACCTGCTCTATGTATAGGAATGTTCAACTCTGTGAGTCGAATGCAATCATCACAAAGTAGTTTCTGAGAATGCTTCCATCTAGTTTTTATGTGAAGATTTTCCTTTTCCACCACAGGCCTCAAAGCCCTCCAAATGTCCACTTGCAGATTCTAGAAAAAGAGGGTTTCAGAGCTGCTCTGTCAAGAGGAAAGATCAATTCTTGAAGTGGAACACAAACATCACAAAGCAGTTTCTGAGAATGCTCCTGTTTAGTTTTTCTGTGAAGATGAACCCGTTTCCAACGAAATCTTCAAAGAGGTTCACATATCCACTTGCAGAATCCAAAGAAAGAGAGTTTCAAAACTGCTCCATCAGCAGGATTGTTCACCTCTGTGAGTTGAATGCAGTCATCACAGGAAACATTCTGAGAATGCTTCTGTCTAGGTTTGATGTGAAGATATACCCGTTTCGAAGGAAGGCCACAAAGTGGTCCAAATATCCACTTGCAGATTCTACAAAAAGAGTGTTTGAAAGCTGAACTATGAAAGCAAGGTTCAACTCTGTGAGTTGAATGCAAACATCACAAAGAAGTTTCTCAGAATGCTTCCGTGTAGTTCTGGGAAGTTTATCCCGTTTCCAACGAAATCCTCAGAGAAGTCCAAATATCCACTTGCAGATTCTACAGAAAGTGGGTTTGGAAACTGCTCCATCTAAAGGAATGTTCAGCTCTGTTAGTTCAATCCAATGATCACTAAGAATTGTCTGTGAATGCTTCCGTTTGGTTTTTAGATGAAGTTATTTCCTTTACTACAGTAGGCCTCAAAGCAGTCCAAATCTCCAATCGCAGATTCTACAAAAAGATTGTTTACAACCTGCTCTATCTATAGGAATGTTCAACTCTGTGAGTCGAATGCAATCATCACAAAGTAGTTTCTGAGAATGCTTCCATCTAGTTTTTATGTGAAGATTTTCCTTTTCCACCACAGGCCTCAAAGCCCTCCAAATGTCCACTTGCAGATTCTAGAATAAGAGGGTTTCAGAGCTGCTCGGTCAAGAGGAAAGTTCAATTCTTGAAGTGGAACACAAACATCACAAAGCAGTTTCGGAGAATGCTCCTGTATAGTTTTTCTGTGAAGATGAACCCGTTTCCAACGAAATCTTCACAGAGGTCCACATATCCACTTGCAGAATCCAAAGAAAGAGAGTTTCAAAACTGCTCCATCAACAGGATTGTTCGCCTCTGTGAGTTGAATGCAGTCATCACAGGAAACATTCTGGGAATGCTTCTGTCTAGGTTTGATGTGAAGATATACCCGTTTCGAAGGAAGGCCACAAAGTGGTCCAAATATCCACTTGCAGATTCCACAAAAAGAGTGTTTGAAAGCTGAACTATGAAAGCAAGGTTCAACTCTGTGAGTTGAATGCAAACATCACAAAGAAGTTTCTCAAAATGCTTCCGTGTAGTTCTGGGAAGTTTATCCCGTTTCCAACGAAATCCTCAGATAAGTCCAAATATCCACTTGCAGATTCTACAGAAAGTGGGTTTGGAAACTGCTCCATCTAAAGGAATGTTCAGCTCTGTTAATTCAATCCAATGATCAGTAAGAATTGTCTGTGAATGCTTCCGTTTGGTTTTTAGATGAAGTTATTTCCTTTACTACAGTAGGCCTCAAAGCAGTCCAAATCTCCAATCGCAGATTCTACAAAAACATTGTTTACAACCTGCTCTATCTATAGGAATGTTCAACTCTGTGAGTCGAATGCAATCATCACAAAGTAGTTTCTGAGAATGCTTCCATCTAGTTTTTATGTGAAGATTTTCCTTTTCCACCACAGGCCTCAAAGCCTTCCAAATGTCCACTTGCAGATTCTAGAAAAAGAGGGTTTCAGAGCTGCTCTGTCAAGAGGAAAGTTCAATTCCTGAAGTGGAACACAAACATCACAAAGCAGTTTCTGAGAATGCTCCTGTTTAGTTTTTCTGTGAAGATGAACCCGTTTCCAACGAAATCTTCACAGAGGTCCACATATCCACTTGCAGAATCCAAAGAAAGAGAGTTTCAAAACTGCTCCATCAGCAGGATTGTTCACCTCTGTGAGTTGAATGCAGTCATCACAGGAAACATTCTGAGAATGCTTCTGTCTATGTTTGATGTGAAGATATACCCGTTTCGAAGGAAGGCCACAAAGTGGTCCAAATATCCACTTGCAGATTGATTCTACAAAAAGAGTGTTTGAAAGCTGAACTATGAAAGCAAGGTTCAACTCTGTGAGTTGAATGCAAACATCACAAAGAAGTTTCTCAGAATACTTCCGTGTAGTTCTGGGAAGTTTATCCCGTTTCCAACGAAATCCTCAGAGAGGTCCAAATATCCACTTGCAGATTCTACAGAAAGTGTGTTTGGAAACTGCGCCATCTAAAGGAATGTTCAGCTCTGTTAGTTCAATGCAATGATCACTAAGAATTGTCTGTGAATGCTTCCGTTTGGTTTTCAGATGAAGTTATTTCCTTTACTACAGTAGGCCTCAAAGCAGTCCAAATCTCCAATCGCAGATTCTACAAAAAGATTGTTTACAACCTGCTCTATCTATAGGAATGTTCAACTCTGTGAGTCGAATGCAATCATCACAAAGTAGTTTCTGAGAATGCTTCCATAAAGTTTTTATGTGAAGATTTTCCTTTTCCACCACAGGCCTCAAAGCCCTCCAAATGTCCACTTGCAGATTCTAGAAAAAGAGGGTTTCAGAGCTGCTCTGTCAAGAGGAAAGTTCAATTCTTTAAGTGGAACACAAACATCACAAAGCAGTTTCTGAGAATGCTCCTGTTTAGTTTTTCTGTGAAGATGAACCCGTTTCCAACGAAATCTTCACAGAGGTCCACATATCCACTTGCAGAATCCAAAGAAAGAGAGCTTCAAAACTGCTCCATCAGCAGGACTGTTCACCTCTGTGAGTTGAATGCAGTCATCACAGGAAACATTCTGAGAATGCTTCTCTCTAGGTTTGATGTGAAGATATACCCGTTTCGAAGGAAGGCCACAAAGTGGTCCAAATATCCACTTGCAGATTCTACAAAAAGAGTGTTTGAAAGCTGAACTATGAAAGCAAGGTTCAACTCGGTGTGTTGAATGCAAACATCACAAAGAAGTTTCTCAGAATGCTTCCGTGTAGTTCTGGGAAGTTTATCCCGTTTCCAACGAAATCCTCAGAGAGGTCCAAATATCCACTTGCAGATTCTACAGAAAGTGTGTTTGGAAACTACGCCATCTAAAGGAATGTTCAGCTCTGTTAGATCAATGCAATGATCACTAAGAATTGTCTGTGAATGCTTCCGTTTGGTTTTTAGATGAAGTTATTTCCTTTACTACAGTAGACCTCAAAGCAGTCCAAATCTCCAATCGCAGATTCTACAAAAAGATTGTTTACAACCTGCTCTATCTATAGGAATGTTCAACTCTGTGAGTCGAATACAATCATCACAAAGTAGTTTCTGAGAATGCTTCCATCTAGTTTTTATGTGAAGATTTTCCTTTTCCACCACAGGCCTCAAAGCCCTCCAAATGTCCACTTGCAGATTCTAGAAAAAGAGGGTTTCAGAGCTGCTCTGTCAAGAGGAAAGTTCAATTCTTGAAGTGGAACACAAACATCACAAAGTAGTTTCTGAGAATGCTTCTGTTTAGTTTTTCTGTGAAGATGAACCCGTTTCCAACGAAATCTTCACAGAGGTCCACATATCCACTTGCAGAATCCAAAGAAAGAGAGTTTCAAAACTGCTCCATCAGCAGGATTGTTCACCTCTGTGAGTTGAATGCAGTCATCACAGGAAACATTCTGAGAATGCTTCTGTCAAGGTTTGATGTGAAGATATACCCGTTTCGAAGGAAGGCCCCAAAGTGGTCCAAATATCCACTTGCAGATTCTACAAAAAGAGTGTTTGAAAGCTGAACTATGAAAGCAAGGTTCAACTCTGTGAGTTGAATGCAAACATGACAAAGAAGTTTCTCAGAATACTTCCGTGTAGTTCTGGGAAGTATATCCCGTTTCCAACGAAATCCTCAGAGAAGTCCAAATATCCACTTGCAGATTCTACAGAAAGTGTGTTTGGAAACTGCTCCATCTAAAGGAATGTTCAGCTCTGTTAGTTCAATCCAATGATCGCTAAGCATTGTCTGTGAATGCTCCGTTTGGTTTTTAGATGAAGTTATTTCCTTTACTACAGTAGGCCTCAAAGCAGTCCAAATCTCCAATCGCAGATTCTACAAAAAGATTGTTTACAACCTGCTCTATCTATAGGAATGTTCAACTCTGTGAGTCGAATGCAATCATCACAAAGTAGTTCTGAGAATGCTCTCCATCTAGTTTTTATGTGAAGATATTCCTTTTCCACCACAGGCCTCAAAGCCCTCCAAATGTCCACTTGCAGATTCTAGAAAAAGAGGGTTTCAGAGCTGCTCTGTCAAGAGGAAAGTTCAATTCTTGAAGTGGAACACAAACATCACAAAGCAGTTTCTGAGAATGCTTCTGTTTAGTTTTTCTGTGAAGATGAACCCGTTTCCAACGAAATCTTCACAGAGGTCCACATATCCACTTGCAGAATCCAAAGAAAGAGAGTTTCAAAACTGCTCCATCAGCAGGATTGTTCACCTCTGTGAGTTGAATGCAGTCATCACAGGAAACATTCTGAGAATGCTTCTGTCTAGGTTTGATGTGAAGATATACCCGTTTCGAAGGAAGGCCACAAAGTGGTCCAAATATCCACTTGCAGATTCTACAAAAAGAGTGTTTGAAAGCTGAACTATGAAAGCAAGGTTCAACTCTGTGAGTTGAATGCAAATATCACAAAGAAGTTTCTCACAATGCTTCCGTGTAGTTCTGGGAAGTTTATCCCGTTTCCAACGAAATCCTCAGAGAAGTCCAAATATCCACTTGCAGATTCTACAGAAAGTGGGTTTGGCAACTGCTCCATCTAAAGGAATGTTCAGCTCTGTTAGTTCAATCCAATGATCACTAAGAATTGTCTGTGAATGCTTCCGTTTGGTTTTTAGATGAAGTTATTTCCTTTACTACAGTAGGCCTCAAAGCAGTCCAAATCTCCAATCGCAGATTCTACAAAAAGATTGTTTACAACCTGCTCTATCTATAGGAATGTTCAACTCTGTGAGTCAAATGCAATCATCACAAAGTAGTTTCTGAGAATGCTTCCATCTAGTTTTTATGTGAACATTTTCCTTTTCCACCACAGGCCTCAAAGCCCTCCAAATGTCCACTTGCAGATTCTAGAAAAAGAGGGTTTCAGAGCTGCTCTGTCAAGAGGAATGTTCAATTCTTGAAGTGGAACACAAACATCACAAAGCAGTTTCTGAGAATGCTTCTGTTTAGTTTTTCTGTGAAGATGAACCCGTTTCCAACGAAATCTTCACAGAGGTCCACATATCGACTTGCAGAATCCAAAGAAGGAGAGTTTCAAAACTGCTCCATCAACAGGATTGTTCACCTCTGTGAGTTGAATGCACTCATCACAGGAAACATTCTGAGAATGCTTCTGTCTAGGTTTGATGTGAAGATATACCCGTTTCGAAGGAAGGCCACAAAGTGGTCCAAATATCCACTTGCAGATTCTACAAAAAGAGTTTTTGAAAGCTGAACTATGAAAGCAAGGTTCAACTCTGTGAGTTGAATGCAAACATCACAAAGAAGTTTCTCAGAATGCTTCCGTGTAGTTCTGGGAAGTTTATCCCTTTTCCAACGAAATCCTCAGAGAGGTCCAAATATCCACTTGCAGAATCTACAGAAAGTGTGTTTGGAAACTGCTCCATCTAAAGGAATGTTCAGCTCTGTTAGTTCAATCCAATGATCACTAAGAATTGTCTGTGAATGCTTCCGTTTGGTTTTTAGATGAAGTTATTTCCTTTACTACAGTAGGCCTCAAAGCAGTCCAAATCTCCAATCGCAGATTCTACAAAAAGATTGTTTACAACCTGCTCTATCTATAGGAATGTTCAACTCTGTGAGTCGAATGCAATCATCACAAAGTAGTTTCTGAGAATGCTTCCATCTAGTTTTTATGTGAAGATTTTCCTTTTCCACCACAGGCCTCAAAGCCCTCCAAATGTCCACTTGCAGATTCTAGAAAAAGAGGGTTTCAGAGCTGCTCTTTCAAGAGGAAAGTTCAATTCCTGAAGTGGAACACAAACATCACAAAGCAGTTTCTGAGAATGCTTCTGTTTAGTTTTTCTGTGAAGATGAACCCGTTTCCAACGAAATCTTCACAGAGGTCCACATATCCACTTGCAGAATCCAAAGAAAGAGAGTTTCAAAACTGCTCCATCAGCAGGATTGTTCACCTCTGTGAGTTGAATGCAGTCATCACAGGAAACATTCTGAGAATGCTTCTGTCTAGGTTTGATGTGAAGATATACCCGTTTCGGAGGAAGGCCACAAAGTGGTCCAAATATCCACTTGCAGATTCTACAAAAAGAGGGTTTGAAAGCTGAACTATGAAAGCAAGGTTCAACTCTGTGAGTTGAATGCAAACATCACAAAGAAGTTTCTCAGAATGCTTCCGTGTAGTTCTGGGAAGTTTATCCCGTTTCCAACGAAATCCTCAGAGAGGTCCAAATATCCACTTGCAGATTCTACAGAAAGTGTGTTTGGAAACTGCGCCATCTAAAGGAATGTTCAGCTCTGTTAGTTCAATGCAATGATCACTAAGGATTGTCTGTGAATGCT
This sequence comes from Homo sapiens, assembly GCF_000001405.40. NCBI lineage: Eukaryota > Metazoa > Chordata > Mammalia > Primates > Hominidae > Homo > Homo sapiens. The sequence continues at coordinate 53,550,168 of NC_000011.10, read as the reverse complement.
TCCGTTTGGTTTTTAGATGAAGTTATTTCCTTTACTACAGTAGGCCTCAAAGCAGTCCAAATCTCCAATCGCAGATTCTACAAAAAGATTGTTTACAACCTGCTCTATCTATAGGAATGTTCAACTCTGTGAGTCGAATGCAATCATCACAAAGTAGTTTCTGAGAATGCTTCCATTTAGTTTTTATGTGAAGATTTTCCTTTTCCACCACAGGCCTCAAAGCCCTCCAAATGTCCACTTGCAGATTCTAGAAAAAGAGGGTTTCAGAGCTGCTCTGTCAAGAGGAATGTTCAACTCTTGAAGTGGAACACAAACATGATAATGCAGTTTCTGAGAATGCTCCTGTTTAGTTTTTCTGTGAAGATGAACCCGTTTCCAACGAAATCTTCACAGAGGTCCACATATCCACTTGCAGAATCCAAAGAAAGAGAGTTTCAAAACTGCTCCATCAGCAGGATTGTTCACCTCTGTGAGTTGAATGCAGTCATCACAGGAAACATTCTGAGAATGCTTCTGTCTAGGTTTGATGTGAAGATATACCCGTTTCGAAGGAAGGCCACAAAGTGGTACAAATATCCACTTGCAGATTCTACAAAAAGAGTGTTTGAAAGCTGAACTATGAAAGCAAGGTTCAACTCTGTGAGTTGAATGCAAACATCACAAAGAAGTTTCTCACAATGCTTCCGTGTAGTTCTGGGAAGTTTATCCCGTTTCCAACGATATCCTCAGAGAGGTCCAAATATCCACTTGCAGATTCTACAGAAAGTGTGTTTGGAAACTGCGCCATCTAAAGGAATGTTCAGCTCTGTTAGCTCAATGCAATGATCACTAAGAATTGTCTGTGAATGCTTCCGTTTGGTTTTTAGATGAAGTTATTTCCTTTACTACAGTAGGCCTCAAAGCAGTCCAAATCTCCAATCGCAGATTCTACAAAAAGATTGTTTACAACCTGCTCTATCTATAGGAATGTTCAACTCTGTGAGTCGAATGATATCATCACAAAGTAGTTTCTGAGAATGCTTCCATCTAGTTTTTATGTGAAGATTTTCCTTTTCCACCACAGGCCTCAAAGCCCTCCAAATGTCCACTTGCAGATTCTAGAAAAAGAGGGTTTCAGAGCTGCTCTGTCAAGAGGAAAGTTCAATTCTTGAAGTGGAACACAAACATCACAAAGCAGTTTCTGTGAATGCTTCTGTTTAGTTTTTCTGTGAAGATGAACCCGTTTCCAACGAAATCTTCACAGAGGTCCACATATCCACATGCAGAATCCAAAGAAAGAGAGTTTCAAAACTGCTCCATCAGCAGGATTGTTCACCTCTGTGAGTTGAATGCAGTCATCACACGAAACATTCTGAGAATGCTTCTGTCTAGGTTTGATGTGAAGATATACCCGTTTCGAAGGAAGGCCACAAAGTGGTCCAAATATCCACTTGCAGATTCTACAAAAAGAGTGTTTGAAAGCTGAACTATGAAAGCAAGGTTCAACTCTGTGAGTTGAATGCAAACATCACAAAGAAGTTTCTCACAATGCTTCCGTGTAGTTCTGGGAAGTTTATCCCGTTTCGAACGAAATCCTCAGAGAAGTCCAAATATCCACTTTCAGATTCTACAGAAAGTGTGTTTGGAAACTGCTCCATCTAAAGGAATGTTCAGCTCTGTTAGTTCAATCCAATGATCACTAAGAATTGTCTGTGAATGCTTCCGTTTGGTTTTTAGATGAAGTTATTTCCTTTACTACAGTAGGCCTCAAAGCAGTCCAAATCTCCAATCGCAGATTCTACAAAAAGATTGTTTACAACCTGATCTATCTATAGGAATGTTCAACTCTGTGAGTCGAATGCAATCATCACAAAGTAGTTTCTGAGAATGCTTCCATCTAGTTTTTATGTGAAGATTTTCCTTTTCCACCACAGGCCTCAAACCCTCCATATGTCCACTTGCAGATTCTAGAAAAAGAGGGTTTCAGAGCTGCTCTGTCAAGAGGAAAGTTCAATTCTTGAAGTGGAACACAAACATAACAAAGCAGTTTCTGAGAATGCTTCTGTTTAGTTTTTCTGTGAAGATGAACCCGTTTCCAACGAAATCTTCACAGAGGTCCACATATCCACTTGCAGAATCCAAAGAAAGAGAGTTACAAAACTGCTCCATCAGCAGGATTGTTCACCTTTGTGAGTTGAATGCAGTCATCACAGGAAACATTCTGAGAATGCTTCTGTCTAGGTTTGATGTGAAGATATACCCTTTTCAAAGGAAGGCCACAAAGTGGTCCAAATATCCACTTGCAGATTCTACAAAAAGAGTGTTTGAAAGCTGAACTATGAAAGCAAGGTTCAACTCTGTGAGTTGAATGCAAACATCACAAAGAAGTTTCTCACAATGCTTCCCTGTATTTCTGGGAGGCATATCCCTTTTACAACGAAATCCTCAGAGAAGTCCAAATATCCACTTGCAGATTCTACAGAAAGTGGGTTTGGAAACTGCTCCATCTAAAGGAATTTTCAGCTCTGTTAGTTCAATCCAATGATCACTAAGAATTTTGTGTGAATGCTTCCGTTTGGTTTTTAGATGAAGTTATATCCTTTACTACAGTAGGCCTCAAAGCAGTCCAAATCTCCAATCGCAGATTCTACAAAAAGATTGTTTACAACCTGCTCTATCTATAGGAATGTTCAACTCTGTGAGTCGAATGCAATCAACACAAAGTAGTTTCTGAGAATGCTTCCATCTAGTTTTTATGTGAAGATTTTCCTTTTCCACCACAGGCCTCAAAGCCCTCCAAATTTCCACTTGCAGATTCTAGAAAAAGAGGGTTTCAGAGCTGCTCTGTCAAGAGGAAAGTTCAATTCTTGAAGTGGAACACAAACATCACAAAGCAGTTTCTGAGAATGCTCCTGTTTAGTTTTTCTGTGAAGATGAACCCGTTTCCAACGAAATCTTCACCGAGGTCCACATATCAACTTGCAGAATCCAAAGAAAGAGAGTTTCAAAAGTGCTCCATCAACAGGATTGTTCAGCTCTGTGAGTTGAATGCAGTCATCACAGGAAACATTCTGAGAATGCTTCTGTCTAGGTTTGATGTGAAGATATACCCGTTTCGAAGGAAGGCCAGAAAGTGGTCCAAATATCCACTTGCAGATTCTACAAAAAGAGTGTTTGAAAGCTGAACTATGAAAGCAAGGTTCAACTCTGTGAGTTGAATGCAAACATCACAAAGAAGTTTCTCAGAATGCTTCCGTGTAGTTCTGGGAAGTTTATCCCGTTTCCAACGAAATCCTCAGAGAAGTCCAAATATCCACTTGCAGATTCTACAGAAAGTGTGTTTGGAAACTGCTCCATCTAAAGGAATGTTCAGCTCTGTTAGTTCAATGCAATGATCACTAAGAATTGTCTGTGAATGCTTCCGTTTGGTTTTTAGATGAAGTTATTTCCTTTACTACAGTAGGCCTCAAAGCAGTCCAAATCACCAATCGCAGATTCTACAAAAAGACTGTTTACAACCTGCTCTATCTATAGGAATGTTCAACTCTGTGAGTCGAATGCAATCATCACAAAGTAGTTTCTGAGAATGCTTCCATCTAGTTTTTATGTGAAGATTTTCCTTTTCCACCACAGGCCTCAAAGCCCTCCAAATGTCCACTTGCAGATTCTAGAATAAGAGGGTTCCAGAGCTGTTCTGTCAAGAGGAAAGTTCAATTCCTGAAGTGGAACACAAACATCACAAAGCAGTTTCTGAGAATGCTCCTGTTTAGTTTTTCTGTGAAGATGAACCCGTTTCCAACGAAATCTTCACAGAGGTCCACATATCCACTTGCAGAATCCAAAGAAAGAGAGTTTCAAAACTGCTCCATCAGCAGGATTGTTCACCTCTGTGAGTTGAATGCAGTCATCACAGGAAACATTCCGAGAATGATTCTGTCTAGGTTTGATGTGAAGATATACCCGTTTCGAAGGAAGGCCACAAAGTTGTCCAAATATCCACTTGCAGATTCTACAAAAAGAGTGTTTGAAAGCTGAACTATGAAAGCAAGGTTCAACTCTGTGAGTTGAATGCAAACATCACAAAGAAGTTTCTCAGAATGCTTCCGTGTAGTTCTGGGAAGTTTATCCCGTTTCCAACGAAATCCTCAGAGAGGTCCAAATATCCACTTGCAGATTCTACAGAAAGTGTGTTTGGAAACTACGCCATCTAAAGGAATGTTCAGCTCTGTTAGTTCAATCCAATGATCACTAAGAATTGTCTGTGAATGCTTCCGTTTGGTTTTTAGATGAAGTTATTTCCTTTACTACAGTAGGCCTCAAAGCAGTCCAAATCTCCAATCGCAGATTCTACAAAAAGATTGTTTACAACCTGCTCTATCTATAGGAATGTTCAACTCTGTGAGTCGAATGCAATCATCACAAAGTAGTTTCTGAGAATGCTTCCATCTAGTTTTTATGTGAAGATTTTCCTTTTCCACCACAGGCCTCAAAGCCCTCCAAATGTCCACTTGCAGATTCTAGAATAAGAGGGTTTCAGAGCTGCTCTGTCAAGAGGAAAGTTCAATTCCTGAAGTGGAACACAAACATCACAAAGCAGTTTCCGAGAATGCTTCTGTTTAGTTTTTCTGTGAAGATGAACCCGTTTCCAACGAAATCTTCACAGAGGTCCACATATCAACTTGCAGAATCCAAAGAAAGAGAGTTTCAAAAGTGCTTCATCAACAGGATTGTTCACCTCTGTGAGTTGAATGCAGTCATCACAGGAAACATTCTGAGAATGCTTCTGTCTAGGTTTGATGTGAAGATATACCCGTTTCGAAGGAAGGCCACAAAGTGGTCCAAATATCCACTTGCAGATTCTACAAAAAGAGTGTTTGAAAGCTGAACTATGAAAGCAAGGTTCAACTCTGTGAGTGGAATGCAAACATCACAAAGAAGTTTCTCAGCATGCTTCCGTGTAGTTCTGGGAAGCATATCCCGTTTCCAACGAAATCCTCAGAGAAGTCCAAATATCCACTTGCAGATTCTACAGAAAGTGGGTTTGGAAACTGCTCCATCTAAAGGAATGTTCAGCTCTGTTAGTTCAATCCAATGATCACTAAGAATTTTCTGTGAATGCTTCCGTTTGGTTTTTAGATGAAGTTATTTCCTTTACTACAGTAGGCCTCAAAGCAGTCCAAATCTCCAATCGCAGATTCTACAAAAAGATTGTTTACAACCTGCTCTATCTATAGGAGTGTTCAACTCTGTGAGTCGAATGCAATCATCACAAAGTAGTTTCTGAGAATGCTTCCATCTAGTTTTTATGTGAAGATTTTCCTTTTCCACCACAGGCCTCAAAGCCCTCCAACTGTCCACTTGCAGATTCTAGAAAAAGAGGGTTTCAGAGCTGCTCTGTCAAGAGGAAAGTTCAATTCTTGAAGTGGAACACAAACATCACAAAGCAGTTTCTGAGAATGCTTCTGTTTAGTTTTTCTGTGAAGATGAACCCGTTTCCAACGAAATCTTCACAGAGGTCCACATATCCACTTGCAGAATCCAAAGAAAGAGAGTTTCAAAACTGCTCCATCAGCAGGATTGTTCACCTCTGTGAGTTGAATGCAGTCATCACAGGAAACATTCTGAGAATGCTTCTGTCTAGGTTTGATGTGAAGATATACCCGTTTCGAAGGAAGGCCACAAAGTGGTCCAAATATCCACTTGCAGATTCTACAAAAAGAGGGTTTGAAAGCTGAACTATGAAAGCAAGGTTCAACTCTGTGAGTTGAATGCAAACATCACAAAGAAGTTTCTCAGAATGCTTCCGTGTAGTTCTGGGAAGTTTATCCCGTTTCCAACGAAATCCTCAGAGAAGTCCAAATATCCACTTGCAGATTCTACAGAAAGTGTGTTTGGAAACTGCTCCATCTAAAGGAATGTTCAGCTCTGTTAGTTCAATCCAATGATCACTAAGAATTGTCTGTGAATACTTCCGTTTGGTTTTTAGATGAAGTAATTTCCTTTACTACAGTAGGCCTCAAAGCAGTCCAAATCTCCAATCGCAGATTCTACAAAAAGATTGTTTACAACCTGCTCTACCTATAGGAATGTTCAACTCTGTGAGTCGAATGCAATCATCAGAAAGTAGTTTCTGAGAATGCTTCCATCTAGTTTTTATGTGAAGATTTTCCTTTTCCACCACAGGCCTCAAAGACCTCCAAATGTCCACTTGCAGATTCTAGAAAAAGAGGGTTTCATTGCTGCTCTGTCAAGAGGAAAGTTCAATTCTTGAAGTGGAACACAAACATCACAAAGCAGTTTCTGAGAATGCTTCTGTTTAGTTTTTCTGTGAAGATGAACCCGTTTCCAACGAAATCTTCACAGAGGTCCACATATCCACTTGCAGAATCCAAAGAAAGAGAGTTTCAAAACTGCTCCATCAGCAGGATTGTTCACCTCTGTGAGTTGAATGCAGTCATCACAGGAAACATTCTGAGAATGCTTCTGTCTAGGTTTGATGTGAAGATATACCCGTTTCGAAGGAAGGCCACAAAGTGGTCCAAATATCCACTTGCAGATTCTACAAAAAGAGTGTTTGAAAGCTGAACTATGAAAGCAAGGTTCAACTCTGTGAGTTGAATGCAAACATCACAAAGAAGTTTCTCAGAATGCTTCCCTGTAGTTCTGGGAAGCATATCCCTTTTCCAACGAAATCCTCAGAGAAGTCCAAATATCCACTTGCAGATTCTACAGAAAGTGGGTTTGGAAACTGCTCCATCTAAAGGAATGTTCAGCTCTGTTAGTTCAATGCAATGATGACTAAGAATTGTCTGTGAATGCTTCCGTTTGGTTTTTAGATGAAGTTATTTCCTTTACTACAGTAGGCCTCAAAGCAGTCCAAATCTCCAATCGCAGATTCTACAAAAAGATTGTTTACAACCTGCTCTATCTATAGGAATGTTCAACTCTGTGAGTCGTTGCAATCATCACAAAGTAGTTTCTGAGAATGCTTCCATCTAGTTTTTATGTGAAGATTTTCCTTTTCCACCACAGGCCTCAAAGCCCTCCAAATGTCCACTTGCAGATTCTAGAATAAGAGGGTTTCAGAGCTGCTCTGTCAAGAGGAAAGTTCAATTCCTGAAGTGGAACACAAACATCACAAAGCAGTTTCTGAGAATGCTCCTGTTTAGTTTTTCTGTGAAGATGAACCCGTTTCCAACGAAATCTTCACAGAGGTCCACATATCCACTTGCAGAATCCAAAGAAACAGAGTTTCAAAACTGCTCCATCAGCAGGATTGTTCACCTCTGTGAGTTGAATGCAGTCATCACAGGAAACATTCTGAGAATGCTTCTGTCTAGGTTTGATGTGAAGATATACCCGTTTCGAAGGAAGGCCACAAAGTGGTCCAAATATCCACTTGCAGATTCTACAAAAAGAGTGTTTGAAAGCTGAACTATGAAAGCAAGGTTCAACTCTGTGAGTTGAATGCAAACATCACAAAGAAGTTTCTCAGAATGCTTCCGTGTAGTTCTGGGAAGTTTATCCCGTTTCCAACGAAATCCTCAGAGAGGTCCAAATATCCACTTGCAGATTCTACAGAAAGTGTGTTTGGAAACTGCGCCATCTAAACGAATGTTCAGCTCTGTTAGTTCAATGTAATGATCACTAAGAATTGTCTGTGAATGCTTCCGTTTGGTTTTTAGATGAAGTTATTTCCTTTACTACAGTAGGCCTCAAAGCAGTCCAAATCTCCAATCGCAGATTCTACAAAAAGATTGTTTACAACCTGCTCTATCTATAGGAATGTTCAACTCTGTGAGTCGAATGCAATCATCACAAAGTAGTTTCTGAGAATGCTTCCATCTAGTTTTTATGTGAAGATTTTCCTTTTCCACCACAGGCCTCAAAGCCCTCCAAATGTCCACTTGCAGATTCTAGAATAAGAGGATTTCAGAGCTGCTCTGTCAAGAGGAAAGTTCAATTCCTGAAGTGGAACACAAACATAACAAAGCAGTTTCTGAGAATGCTTCTGTTTAGTTTTTCTGTGAAGATGAACCCGTTTCCAACGAAATCTTCACAGAGGTCCACATATCAACTTGCAGAATCCAAAGAAAGAGAGTTTCAAAAGTGCTCCATCAACAGGATTGTTCACCTCTGTGAGTTGAATGCAGTCATCACAGGAAACATTCTGAGAATGCTTCTGTCTAGGTTTGATGTGAAGATATACCCGTTTCGAAGGAAGGCCACAAAGTGGTCCAAATATCCACTTGCAGATTCTACAAAAAGAGTGTTTGAAAGCTGAACTATGAAAGCAAGGTTCAACTCTGTGAGTTGAATGCAAACATCACAAAGAAGTTTCTCAGAATGCTTCCGTGTAGTTCTGGGAAGTTTATCCCGTTTCCAACGAAATCCTCAGAGAAGTCCAAATATCCACTGGCAGATTCTACAGAAAGTGGGTTTGGAAACTGCTCCATCTAAAGGAATGTTCAGCTCTGTTAGTTCAATGCAATGATCACTAAGAATTGTCTGTGAATGCTTCCGTTTGGTTTTTAGATGAAGTTATTTCCTTTACTACAGTAGGCCTCAAAGCAGTCCAAATCTCCAATCGCAGATTCTACAAAAAGATTGTTTACAACCTGCTCTATCTATAGGAATGTTCAACTCTGTGAGTCGAATGCAATCATCACAAAGTAGTTTCTGAGAATGCTTCCATCTAGTTTTTTATGTGAAGATTTTCCTTTTCCACCACAGGCCTCAAAGCCCTCCAAATGTCCACTTGCAGATTCTAGAATAAGAGGGTTTCAGAGCTGCTCTGTCAAGAGGAAAGTTCAATTCCTGAAGTGGAACACAAACATCACAAAGCAGTTTCTGAGAATGCTCCTGTTTAGTTTTTCTGTGAAGATGAACCCGTTTCCAACGAAATCTTCACAGAGGTCCACATATCCACTTGCAGAATCCAAAGAAAGAGAGTTTCAAAACTGCTCCATCAGCAGGATTGTTCACCTCTGTGAGTTGAATGCAGTCATCACAGGAAACATTCTGAGAATGCTTCTGTCAAGGTTTGATGTGAAGATATACCCGTTTCGAAGGAAGGCCACAAAGTGGTCCAAATATCCACTTGCAGATTCTACAAAAAGAGTGTTTGAAAGCTGAACTATGAAAGCAAGGTTCAACTCTGTGAGTTGAATGCAAACATCACAAAGAAGTTTCTCAGAATGCTTCCGTGTAGTTCTGGGAAGTTTATCCCGTTTCCAACGAAATCCTCAGAGAGGTCCAAATATCCACTTGCAGATTCTACAGAAAGTGTGTTTGGAAACTGCGCCATCTAAAGGAATGTTCAGCTCTGTTAGTTCAATGCAATGATCACTAAGAATTGTCTGTGAATGCTTCCGTTTGGTTTTTAGATGAAGTTATTTCCTTTACTACAGTAGGCCTCAAAGAAGTCGAAATCTCCAATCGCAGATTCTACAAAAAGATTGTTTACATCCTGCTCTATCTATATGAATGTTCAACTCTGTGAGTCGAATGCAATCATCACAAAGTAGTTTCTGAGAATGCTTCCATCTAGTTTTTATGTGAAGATTTTCCTTTTCCACCACAGGCCTCAAAGCCCTCCAAATGTCCACTTGCAGATTCTAGAAAAAGAGGGTTTCAGAGCTGCTCTGTCAAGAGGAAAGTTCAATTCTTGAAGTGGAACACAAACATCACAAAGCAGTTTCTGAGAATGCTTCTGTTTAGTTTTTCTGTGAAGATGAACCCGTTTCCAACGAAATCTTCACAGAGGTCCACATATCCACTTGCAGAATCCAAAGAAAGAGAGTTTCAAAACTGCTCCATGAGCAGGATTGTTCACCTCTGTGAGTTGAATGCAGTCATCACAGGAAACATTCTGAGAATGCTTCTGTCTAGGTTTGATGTGAAGATATACCCGTTTCGAAGGAAGGCCACAAAGTGGTCCAAATATCCACTTGCAGATTCTACAAAAAGAGTGTTTGAAAGCTGAACTAAGAAAGCAAGGTTCAACTCTGTGAGTTGAATGCAAACATCACAAAGAAGTTTCTCAGAATGCTTCCGTGTAGTTCTGGGAAGTTTATCCCGTTTCCAACGAAATCCTCAGAGAGGTCCAAATATCCACTTGCAGATTCTACAGAAAGTGTGTTTGGAAACTGCGCCATCTAAAGGAATGTTCAGCTCTGTTAGTTCAATGCAATGATCACTAAGAATTGTCTGTGAATGCTTCCGTTTGGTTTTTAGATGAAGTTATTTCCTTTACTACAGTAGGCCTCAAAGCAGTCCAAATCTCCAATCGCAGATTCTACAAAAACATTGTTTACAACCTGCTCTATCTATAGGAATGTTCAACTCTGTGAGTCGAATGCAATCATCACAAAGTAGTTTCTGAGAATGCTTCCATCTAGTTATTATGTGAAGATTTTCCTTTTCCACCACAGGCCTCAAAGCCCTCCAAATGTCCACTTGCAGATTCTAGAATAAGAGGGTTTCAGAGCTGCTCTGTCAAGAGGAAAGTTCAATTCCTGAAGTGGAACACAAACATCACAAAGCAGTTTCTGAGAATGCTTCTGTTTAGTTTTTCTGTGAAGATGCACACGTTTCCAACGAAATCTTCATAGAGGTCCACATATCAACTTGCAGAATCCAAAGAAAGAGAGTTTCAAAAGTGCTCCATCAACAGGATTCTTCACCTCTGTGAGTTGAATGCAGTCATCACAGGAAACATTCTGAGAATGCTTCTGTCTAGGTTTGATGTGAAGATATACCCGTTTCGAAGGAAGGCCACAAAGTGGTCCAAATATCCACTTGCAGATTCTACAAAAAGAGTGTTTGAAAGCTGAACTATGAAAGCAAGTTTCAACTCTGTGAGTTGAATGCAAACATCACAAAGAAGTTTCTCACAATGCTTCCGTGTAGTTCTGGGAAGTTTATCCCGTTTCCAACGAAATCCTCAGAGAGGTCCAAATATCCACTTGCAGATTCTACAGAAAGTGTGTTTGGAAAGTGCGCCATCTAAAGGAATGTTCAGCTCTGTTAGTTCAATCCAATGATCACTAAGAATTGTCTGTGAATGCTTCCGTTTGGTTTTTAGATGAAGTTATTTCCTTTACTACAGTAGGCCTCAAAGCAGTCCAAATCTCCAATCGCAGATTCTACAAAAACATTGTTTACAACCTGCTCTATCTATAGGAATGTTCAACTCTGTGAGTCGAATGCAATCATCACAAAGTAGTTTCTGAGAATGCTTCCATCTAGTTTTTATGTGAAGATTTTCCTTTTCCACCACAGGCCTCAAAGCCCTCCAAATGTCCACTTGCAGATTCTAGAATAAGAGGGTTTCAGAGCTGCTCTGTCAAGAGGAAAGTTCAATTCTTGAAGTGGAACACAAACATCACAAAGCACTTTCTGAGAATGCTCCTGTTTAGTTTTCCTGTGAAGATGAACCCGTTTCCAACGAAATCTTCACAGAGGTCCACATATCCACTTGCAGAATCCAAAGAAAGAGAGTTTCAAAACTGCTCCATCAGCAGGATTGTTCACCTCTGTGAGTTGAATGCAGTCATCACAGGAAACATTCTGAGAATGCTTCTGTCTAGGTTTGATGTGAAGATATACCCTTTTCAAAGGAAGGCCACAAAGTGGTCCAAATATCCACTTGCAGATTCTACAAAAAGAGTGTTTGAAAGCTGAACTATGAAAGCAAGGTTCAACTCTGTGAGTTGAATGCAAACATCACAAAGAAGTTTCTCACAATGCTTCCGTGTAGTTCTGGGAAGTTTATCCCGTTTCCAACGAAATCCTCAGAGAAGTCCAAATATCCACTTGCAGATTCTGCAGAAAGTGTGTTTGGAAACTGCTCCATCTAAAGGAATGTTCAGCTCTGTTAGCTCAATCCAATGATCACCAAGAATTGTCTGTGAATGCTTCCGTTTGGTTTTTAGATGAAGTTATTTCCTTTACTACAGTAGGCCTCAAAGCAGTCCAAATCTCCAATCGCAGATTCTACAAAAAGATTGTTTACAACCTGCTCTATCTATAGGAATGTTCAACTCTGTGAGTCGAATGCAATCATCACAAAGGAGTTTCTGAGAATGCTTCCATCTAGTTTTTATGTGAAGATTTTCCTTTTCCACCACAGGCCTCAAAGCCCTCCAAATGTCCACTTGCAGATTCTAGAAAAAGAGGGTTTCAGAGCTGCTCTGTCAAGAGGAAAGTTCAATTCTTGAAGTGGAACACAAACATCACAAAGTAGTTTCTGAGAATGCTTCTGTTTAGTTTTTCTGTGAAGATGAACCCGTTTCCAACGAAATCTTCACAGAGGTCCACATATCCACTTGCAGAATCCAAAGAAAGAGAGTTTCAAAAGTGCTCCATCAACAGGATTGTTCACCTCTGTGAGTTGAATGCAGTCATCACAGGAAACATTCTGAGAATGCTTCTGTCTAGGTTTGATGTGAAGATATACCCGTTTCGAAGGAAGGCCACAAAGTGGTCCAAATATCCACTTGCAGATTCTACAAAAAGAGTGTTTGAAAGCTGAACTATGAAAGCAAGGTTCAACTCTGTGAGTTGAATGCAAACATCACAAAGAAGTTTCTCACAATGCTTCCCTGTATTTCTGGGAGGCATATCCCTTTTCCAACGAAATCCTCAGAGAAGTCCAAATATCCACTTGCAGATTCTACAGAAAGTGGGTTTGGAAACTGCTCCATCTAAAGGAATTTTCAGCTCTGTTAGTTCAATCCAATGATCACTAAGAATTTTGTGTGAATGCTTCCGTTTGGTTTTTAGATGAAGTTATTTCCTTTACTACAGTAGGCCTCAAAGCAGTCCAAATCTCCAATCGCAGATTCTACAAAAAGATTGTTTACAACCTGCTCTACCTATAGGAATGTTCAACTCTGTGAGTCGAATGCAATCATCACAAAGTAGTTTCTGAGAATGCTTCCATCTAGTTTTTATGTGAAGATTTTCCTTTTCCACCACAGGCCTCAAAGCCCTCCAAATGTCCACTTGCAGATTCTAGAAAAAGAGGGTTTCAGAGCTGCTCTGTCAAGAGGAAAGTTCAATTCTTGAAGTGGAACACAAACATCACAAAGCAGTTTCTGAGAATGTTTCTGTTTAGTTTTTTTGTGAAGATGAACCCGTTTCCAACGAAATCTTCACAGAGGTCCACATATCCACTTGCAGAATCCAAAGAAAGAGAGTTTCAAAACTGCTCCATCAACAGGATTGTTCACCTCTGTGAGTTGAATGCAGTCATCACAGGAAGCATTCTGAGAATGCGTCTGTCTAGGTTTGATGTGAAGATATACCCCTTTCGAAGGAAGGCCACAAAGTGGTCCAAATATCCACTTGCAGATTCTACAAAAAGAGTGTTTGAAAGCTGAACTATGAAAGCAAGGTTCAACTCTGTGAGTTGAATGCAAACATCACAAAGAAGTTTCTCAGAATGCTTCCGTGTAGTTCTGGGAAGTTTATCCCGTTTCCAACGAAATCCTCAGAGAAGTCCAAATATCCACTTGCAGATTCTACAGAAAGTGTGTTTGGAAACTGCGCCATCTAAAGGAATGTTCAGCTCTGTTAGTTCAATGCAATGATCACTAAGAATTGTCTGTGAATGCTTCCGTTTGGTTTTTAGATGAAGTTATTTCCTTTACTACAGTAGGCCTCAAAGCAGTCCAAATCTCCAATCGCAGATTCTACAAAAAGTTTGTTTACAACCTGCTCTATCTGTAGGAATGTTCAACTCTGTGAGTCGAATGCAATCATCACAAAGTAGTTTCTGAGAATGCTTCCATCTAGTTTTTATGTGAAGATTTTCCTTTTCCACCACAGGCCTCAAAGCCCTCCAAATGTCCACTTGCAGATTCTAGAAAAAGAGGGTTTCAGAGCTGCTCTGTCAAGAGGAAAGTTCAATTCTTGAAGTGGAACACAAACATCACAAAGCAGTTTCTGAGAATGCTTCTGTTTAGTTTTTCTGTGAAGATGAACCCGTTTCCAACGAAATCTTCACAGAGGTCCAGATATCAACCTGCAGAATCCAAAGAAAGAGAGTTTCAAAACTGCTCCATCAACAGGATTGTTCACCTCTGTGAGTTGAATGCAGTCATCACAGGAAACATTCTGAGAATGCTTCTGTCTAGGTTTGATGTGAAGATATACCCGTTTCGAAGGAAGGCCACAAAGTGGTCCAAATATCCACTTGCAGATTCTACAAAAAGAGTGTTTGAAAGCTGAACTATGAAAGCAAGGTTCAACTCTGTGAGTTGAATGCAAACATCACAAAGAAGTTTCTCACAATGCTTCCGTGTAGTTCTGGGAAGTTTATCCCGTTTCCAACGAAATCCTCAGAGAAGTCCAAATATCCACTTGCAGATTCTACAGAAAGTGTGTTTGGAAACTGCGCCATCTAAAGGAATGTTCAGCTCTGTTAGTTCAATGCAATGATCACTAAGAATTGTCTGTGAATGCTTCCGTTTGGTTTTTAGATGAAGTTATTTCCTTTACTACAGTAGGCCTCAAAGCAGTCTAAATCTCCAATCGCAGATTCTACAAAAAGATTGTTTACAACCTGCTCTATCTATAGGAATGTTCAACTCTGTGAGTCAAATGCAATCATCACAAAGTAGTTTCTGAGAATGCTTCCATCTAGTTTTTATGTGAAGATTTTCCTTTTCCACCACAGGCCTCAAAGCCCTCCAAATGTCCACTTGCAGATTCTAGAAAAAGAGGGTTTCAGAGCTGCTCTGTCAAGAGGAAAGTTCAATTCTTGAAGTGGAACACAAACATCACAAAGTAGTTTCTGAGAATGCTCCTGTTTAGTTTTTCTGTGAAGATGAACCCGTTTCCAACGAAATCTTCACAGAGGTCCACATATCCACATGCAGAATCCAAAGAAAGAGAGTTTCAAAACTGCTCCATCAGAAGGATTGTTCACCTCTGTGAGTTGAATGCAGTCATCACAGGAAACATTCTGAGAATGCTTCTGTCTAGGTTTGATGTGAAGATATACCCGTTTCGAAGGAAGGCCACAAAGTGGTCCAAATATCCACTTGCAGATTCTACAAAAAGAGTGTTTGAAAGCTGAACTATGAAAGCAAGGTTCAACTCTGTGAGTTGAATGCAAACATCACAAAGAAGTTTCTCACAATGCTTCCGTGTAGTTCTGGGAAGTTTATCCCGTTTCCAACGAAATCCTCAGAGAAGTCCAAATATCCACTTACAGATTCAACAGAAAGTGTGTTTGGAAACTGCTCCATCTAAAGGAATGTTCAGCTCTGTTAGTTCAATCCAATAGATCACTAAGAATTGTCTGTGAATGCTTCCGTTTGGTTTTTAGATGAAGTTATTTCCTTTACTACAGTAGGCCTCAAAGCAGTCCAAATCTCCAATCGCAGATTCTACAAAAAGATTGTTTACAACCTGCTCTATCTATAGGAATGTTCAACTCTGTGAGTCGAATGCAATCATCACAAAGTAGTTTCTGAGAATGCTTCCATCTAGTTTTTATGTGAAGATTTTCCTTTTCCACCACAGGCCTCAAAGCCCTCCAAATGTCCACTTGCAGATTCTAGAATAAGAGGGTTTCAGAGCTGCTCTGTCAAGAGGAAAGTTCAATTCCTGAAGTGGAACACAAACTTCACAAAGCAGTTTCTGAGAATGTTTCTGTTTAGTTTTTCTGTGAAGATGAACCCGTTTCCAACGAAATCTTCACAGAGGTCCACATATCCACTTGCAGAATCCAAAGAAAGAGAGTTTCAAAACTGCTCCATCAGCAGGATTGTTCACCTCTGTGAGTTGAATGCAGTCATCACAGGAAACATTCTGAGAATGCTTCTGTCTAGGTTTGATGTGAAGATATACCCTTTTCAAAGGAAGGCCACAAAGTGGTCCAAATATCCACTTGCAGATTCTACAAAAAGAGTGTTTGAAAGCTGAACTATGAAAGCAAGGTTCAACTCTGTGAGTTGAATGCAAACATCACAAAGAAGTTTCTCACAATGCTTCCCGTGTAGTTCTGGGAAGTTTATCCCGTTTCCAACGAAATCCTCAGAGAAGTCCAAATATCCACTTGCAGATTCTACAGAAAGTGGGTTTGGAAACTGCTCCATCTAAAGGAATGTTCAGCTCTGTTAGTTCAATCCAATGATCACTAAGAATTGTCTGTGAATGCTTCCGTTTGGTTTTTAGATGAAGTTATTTCCTTTACTACAGTAGGCCTCAAAGCAGTCCAAATCTCCAATCGCAGATTCTACAAAAAGATTGTTTACAACCTGCTCTATCTATAGGAATGTTCAACTCTGTGAGTCGAATGCAATCATCACAAAGTAGTTTCTGAGAATGCTTCCATCTAGTTTTTATGTGAAGATTTTCCTTTTCCACCACAGGCCTCAAAGCCCTCCAAATGTCCACTTGCAGATTCTAGAAAAAGAGGGTTTCAGAGCTGCTCTGTCAAGAGGAAAGTTCAATTCTTGAAGTGGAACACAAACATCACAAAGTAGTTTCTGAGAATGCTCCTGTTTAGTTTTTCTGTGAAGATGAACACGTTTCCAACGAAATCTTCACAGAGGTCCACATATCCACTTGCAGAATCCAAAGAAAGAGAGTTTCAAAACTGCTCCATCAGCAGGATTGTTCACCTCTGTGAGTTGAATGCAGTCATCACAGGAAACATTCTGAGAATGCTTCTGTCTAGGTTTGATGTGAAGATATACCCGTTTCGAAGGAAGACCACAAAGTGGTCCAAATATCCACTTGCAGATTCTACAAAAAGAGTGTTTGAAAGCTGAACCACGAAAGCAAGGTTCAACTCTGTGAGTTGAATGCAAACATCACAAAGAAGTTTCACAGAATGCTTCCGTGTAGTTCTGGGAAGTTTATCCCGTTTCCAACGAAATCCTCAGAGAAGTCCAAATATCCACTTGCAGATTCTACAGAAGGTGGGTTTGGAAACTGCTCCATCTAAAGGAATGTTCAGCTCTGTTAGTTCAATCCAATGATCACTAAGAATTGTCTGTGAATGCTTCCGTTTGGTTTTTAGATGAAGTTATTTCCTTTACTACAGTAGGCCTCAAAGCAGTCCAAATCTCCAATCGCAGATTCTACAAAAAGATTGTTTACAACCTGCTCTATCTATAGGAATGTTCAACTCTGTGAGTCGAATGCAATCATCACAAAGTAGTTTCTGAGAATGCTTCCATCTAGTTTTTATGTGAAGATTTTCCTTTTCCACCACAGGCCTCAAAGCCCTCCAAATGCCCACTTGCAGATTCTAGAATAAGAGGGTTTCAGAGCTGCTCTGTCAAGAGGAAAGTTCAATTCCTGAAGTGGAACACAAACATCACAAAGCAGTTTCTGAGAATGCTTCTGTTTAGTTTTTCTGTGAAGATGAACCCGTTTCCAACGAAATCTTCACAGAGGTCCACATATCAACTTGCAGAATCCAAAGAAAGAGAGTTTCAAAAGTGCTCCATCAACAGGATTGTTCACCTCTGTGAGTTGAATGCAGTCATCACAGGAAACATTCTGAGAATGCTTCTGTCTAGGTTTGATGTGAAGATATACCCGTTTCGAAGGAAGGCCACAAAGTGGTCCAAATATCCACTTGCAGATTCTACAAAAAGAGTGTTTGAAAGCTGAACTATGAAAGCAAGGTTCAACTCTGTGAGTTGAATGCAAACATCACAAAGAAGTTTCTCAGAATACTCTTCCGTGTAGTTCTGGGAAGTTTATCCCGTTTCCAACGAAATCCTCACAGAGGTCCAAATATCCACTTGCAGATTCTACAGAATCCCAACTTAGTATTCCTGAATCACGAGCCAGAGCTCTTAGGCACCAGGACCTGCTCTCAGCTCCCTGCTCCAGATACTTAGGGTTGAGTTCTGGATGTGCTGGAGGATCTGAAAGGCTCCTGGTCTGCTAGGTTGCACTCAGATGGAGCAAAGCATCAGTACCGGGTAGTGGGGGCTGCATTGTGTACATGTTCTTGCAGAGTGGCCAAGCAGGAGCCTGGGAGAGGCTGGCAGGTAAGTAGGCCTATAGGACAGATGTACCCCAACCCTGCAGGGAAGCCAGCCCTGTTTCTTCCAGTTCATCTATTAGCTGGTGCCAAAGTCGCTCAGAGGAAGATGGGGAGCCCTGGGGGATGGCACTTATGGCTGGGTTCCATAGAAGCTGTCCTATGCACAAAGATCACTCCATACCTGCTGAAGCCTTATCTCCACCTAATCTCTGGAACCAGGATACCAGAGGTCTATGGAGAGAGTGGGCAGTCCCCCAGTTCCTTCATTCACCCCTTCTCCAGGACCCGTTCAGGGCCAGTAGCCAGCCCTTCCATTTGGGTACCCGACAGGGGTTCCCAGCTTCCTTCCTCTTCAGGCTTGGTG